>NC_000005.10:173337081-173640111 GCF_000001405.40 Homo sapiens | reverse complement strand
ATGTGTACCTCCATGGTTTCCATATACTGTTACAATCGTGCCCTGGGAGACCTTAAGCTCCATGGCTCATGGTTACCTGAGGGCTGCCATGGTGGGTGAGCATTGAGCATAATAGTAATAACAACGACCAAGAACCGCCACAACAGCAGCATCCACCAAGCACCGTAGCAGGTAGCACTCACTGATTTCCTACTGTACTTCAGACACTGTAATGACACCGTATTACATTATTTCATCGTCACAATTGTGCCATGCCCATTTTTCCAAATGAGAAAACTGAAGAGAGGCACAGAATGGCCAAATATTTGCCCAGGAGCAATTCTGTCCTCCATATGTCCTGAATTCCCATATATGACTTGATTTATTTACTCATTCTTTCATTCGAACATTCATTCAACAGATATGCCTTCTGTTTCCTTTGATTTCATTAGAAACAATACTGATTTCATCTTAAAATGAAACTTGAAGTCCCTGCTGTCTCCAGCTTCCTGCAGGCTTTGACTCTCATCCCTCTGCTCCAGGCCTTCTCAGATGGCTTCCAGTTGCCCTCTGTGAGCTTTGCCATGGTGCGGCTTCCGGATCTCCCATAGGGACCCAGGCACCCATTCCTCTGGATTCTGGGAATGTTGGCTGCTGGTGACTCTTCACTGAGTCCTTCTCTGGGGTTGGCACTAGGCTGAAGAGGACTGCGTGGCCTTAGGTTCTGGCCCCACCCCAGGGGGCAGCCACAATCGCGACTGATCTGCATGGGGGAAAACAATGCAGACCCCTTGCCCCTATTCAAGCCAACTCTATGGGGCCACCCTGGCTCCTGAGCTCCCGGGGGACCAGCTGAGGCCTCAGTGGCAGCTGCGTCACTGTCCAGCTGCTCCCTCTGCCCGGCCTTGCCCCCTATACCCCCTCACAGGTAAGCTTCTCCTGCTTACTCCCCAAAACGCCATCCATCTCAGTCTGCTTCCTGGGAAACTCAACCTAAGGCCCCTTCCGAGGGCGCTCATCACATTCAGAGCTGCCACCTGCTCATCTCCCGGCAGCCCCTTCCCAACTAAGACCCCAGCAGAGGAAGCCTGGGAACCTCAGACCTTCGCAAAAGGCCTTGTGGCACCAAAGCCCCAGGGTCACCTCAACCTCCACAAGCTCAGAAAGCCTTGAAGGTTGTTGGGCTTCTTTATTTATACGTTTTACTACATTAGCTAATTAGCTTTCTTCCCAGGCCCCATTACTGTTCCCTCAAGTGTATCGTGGCCTCAGCTCTAATGACAGGCAGCCACTCAGCCTGGCCAGAGAAGACATTCTCTTTCAGGCCCACAGGGATCAGTCGGGAAGGAGAGAGGAAGGAGAGGGCAGATTGGATTACGGGGTGTCAGGCAAGGGTCACTGCTCCCCCCACCTATTTCTGCCTTCCAGCAAGGACAGGGAGATCAGCATTTCCCTTCTTGCAGTGGGGCGTCCTTCCTGAGCCAAGAGAAGAAGACCCACGTGGTAAGTGGTCTGCCTTTGCTTGATTCTGAAATGGTCCATTCTAAAAAAGAGCCCACATCTGCCCCAGACTTGACCTCTAATATTTCTTAAGTTTAATTGCAAATTACTGTCTCAGCAATTCCATAGGCTTCCCAATCTGGCCTGAGCCCAGAGAAAAAGGCAGGAAACAAACGGAATTAGAACCTGCAGGCTGCAGAAGCAATTTGGGATGTGGCATGAGGCTCACGGTAATCATACTTAGCATGAACCAGGCAGGAGAACTCAGCCTACAGAAGCTCCCAGGCCACCAAGTGCAGCCCCTGCTTAGAACCACAGGAGGAGACAACCAGGCAGTCCAGACAGTGTCTTAACGAAGAAAAGAGAACCAGAGAGAAATCAGTACAATGCAGCCTGGCATGTCATCATCCCCAAAGGCCTGGATACCACAGCTATTTAGTGAGCACCTACTGTGTGCCAGGCCAGCAGCTCTCAGGCTGTTTGGTCTCAGAACTCTTTTACACTCTTAAAAATTATTGAAGACCTTAAAGTACTTTTGCTTCTATTTACTACATGATAAATTAAAGCTGAAGAATTGCACATTTATTTATTCAGTAATTTAGAAAACGTAACAAGTCCATTCCATGTTAACATATAACATTTTTATAAAACTAAACTATATTTTACACAATAAAGACATTTAATAAAAAGTACAGCATTGTGGTACATGATTACAAATCTATTTAATATCAGGCTTACTCGAAGACAGCTGAATCTTCATATCTGCTTCTGCATTCAATCTGGTGCCACATCTTGTTTTGGTGAACACGAATGAAGAAAATCTGGCCTGACAGACATGTAGTTGGAAAAGGGGGAAGTACTTTAATAGTCTTTTTGGATAATTATGGATATTCTTCTTTGAGACTACATGAAAAGTTGACAAGTGGGTAAGCGATGTTGCAATGTAAAATCTGAAATCATGTGAATGAACTCTTTCTACTCCGTCACTTTAAGATGCAGTGGTCTGGCTTGCCCTTTGAATGGGTCTTTTACCCATGCACGATTTGATAACATCACGTATTTTATTCATTTGGAAACTATTGCTTCGCTGCCTCCCCCGCAGATCTTTCAAATATTGACACATTTCATTATACAGTATCAAAAACCATATGCCTCCATATCACCACAGATCTCATGGGAGAAGCGTAATGGGAAGTTGCCACCCTCATAGTTGCAGATAAAATTTTCCAAACTTCTAATTTTCACTTAGCTTGAATTTTATCATTGGCAACAAGTACTGTTAATTGCTTTCTTTGAAGTGCCAGCCTCATTTTGTTACTTTTTGGGAAAACATCTGCCAGAAAACCTATCTAAATAACCATGGGTTGTGCTGTCTGTGTGTGTGTGTGTGTGTGTGTGTGTGTGTGTGTGAATTCTTTCAAGTAAAATGAGTGTTCCATGAAAAAAGTGGCTATTTCAGCTCAAACAATCACATGTGCTTCTCCTTGTCATTACCTTCAACCATTGTGCTTTGGTAGGCAGCCGGAGTGAGAAGTGCTTTATGCATACTTTCCATTTTTTCACACAGATTATTAAAAAGACATGCATTCAAGGGTTGAGAATTTTTTAATTAATAATTTTACTGCTTCATTTGGGAGGCCGAGGCATGTGGATCACTTGAGGTCAGGAGTTCAAGACCAGCCTGGCCAACATGGTGAAACCCTGTCTCTACTAAAAATACAAAAAAAAAAAAAATTAGCTGGGCATGGGTGGCACATGCCTGTAGTCCCAACTACTCAGGAGGCTGAGGCATGAGAATCACTTGAACCCGGGAAGCAGAGGTTGCCGTGAGCCGAGATTGGCCACTCCACAGTCAAGCCTGGGCGACAGAGTGAGACTCCATCTCAAAAAAAAAAACAAAAAATCAACAACAACAACAAAAAAACAAATTTTACTGCTTCATTAAGAGTATTTCTAAGTGAAACTGGCATGTGTTTTAATGCAAGTAGGTGATAAGAAGAATACAATGAGTACCTGTACACTTCGGGGCCACTCCCTTGATTCATACTAAGGTGTAAGCAGTTTTACCACCGCAGGTGTAAATGACAACACAATGAAAAAAGAAATAATATCCCGGAGTTATTATGAAAATAGTTTTCTTTTCTTCTTCTTCTTTTTTTTTTTTTTTTTTTTTTTTTTGAGACAGAGTCTAGCTCTGTCATCCGAGCTGGAGTGCAGTGGCGCGATCTCAGCTCACTGCAAGCTCCACCTCCCGGGTTCACACCATTCTCCTGCCTCAGCCTCCCCAGTAGCTGGGACTACAGGCGCCCGCCACCATGCCCGGCTAATTTTTTTGTATTTTTAGTAGAGACGGGGTTTCACCGTGTTAGCCAGGATGGTCTCGATCCTGACCTCGTGATCTGCCCGCCTCGGCCTCCCAAAGTGCTGGGATTACAGGCTTGAGCCACTGCACCCAGCCCCGAAAATAGTTTTCACTGTGAGGCCCTCTGAAAGGGTTTAGGAGGTCCTCCACGGTTCTGCAGACCACAGTAGGAGAACCATTTAAGTGAGGGGAGTGTAGCAGTCTCTGCACCTCCAGAAACTCCCAATCTGGCTGAGAAGAGAGACCATAAACAGACGTAATTACCATGTCATGTGATGAGGGCCAGTTGGAGCCATGGCAGATAGAGTGATTTGTTTTCCAATGCGGAAGTTAGCAAAGGTTTCACAGTGAATTTTTAAAATGGGTCTTGAGGATTGAGTAGGAGTTCATGCAGAAAGAAAGTGGATCTTTATATTTCTGGTTTCAGAAGGACAGGTCCTAGGAAGGCAAGGCACCAAAAAAATGAAAATAAACAGGACAGTTCATATGATTTTTTTTTTCTTTTGAGATGGAGTCTCATTCTGTCGCCCAGGCTGGAGTGCAGTGGCGTGATCTCTGCTCACTGCAACCTCTGTCTCCCAGGTTCAAGCGATTCTCCTGCCTCAGCCTCCTGAGTAGCTGGGATTACAGGCGCACGCCACCATGCCTAGCTAATTTTCATATTTATAGTAAAGATGAGGTTTCATCATGTTGGCCAGGTTGGTCTTGAACAACTGACTTCAAGTGATCTGTCCCCTTTGGCCTCCCAAAATGCTGAGATTACAGGTGTGAGTCACCTCACCCTGCCCATATGATTAATAAAGAAGAATATTGGCCGCCATCATGGAATACCTATTACATAACCTCACACTTTGCATACATTATATTTACCTCCAAAAACCTATGAAATGCATACAATTATTGTCTTTGTTCAGAGAAGTTAGGAAACTTCCTTAGGGACACAGAGCAAATCCATGAGGAAAATCAAGATTAAAATCAGAATTGGCTTACTCCAAAGCCCACTTTTGTTCTGTTTGCTTACTTCCCTAGAGGAAGCCAAGAGGAAGAGCAGCCTCCTGGGCCACCACTGCTCCAAACTTTAGCTGTCCCCTGATGTTGACCAAATCAAGCCTAGTTCCCCCGACTTGGCATTCAAGGCTTCCCAATGCAACTCCACCTCCCCTTTCTAGCCCCACCTGCTGTGAATTCCCAGTTTAGATACACTGGAATTCTTTCCTCTTACCCAGAGCTATGACCTCCACCAGGAGTCCCTTCCTCCTTTCTCCTTCCATCTTGATTTACTGCTTGAATCCAACCTATCTTTCCAGGCTTACACATCCCTCCTTTCCAATCCTCTCCCCACAATCCCTTTCCTCAGCATTGCTTTTCTGCACTGATGTCATGCATCAAGGTCTGTGCACCAGACTACAGGCTCTATGATGGCTGGGCCCACATGAATCTAAGAATATTATCTCTTGGTTCTTATTCTTGCTTTTTGAGCCTCGGTGTTCCCCTCTGTAAAATGGGGATACTAGCACCCTACCTCATGGGCTTGTGGTGATGATTGAATGCACTAAGGTGTGTGCTGAGAAAACCGCCTGACACATACTGAGTGCCCAATCAATGTGAGTCACTTTTGTTATTATCACAATAATTATTGTTGTTAAATATCACCAGGGGAGGACGAGCCTGTTCCTGCCCCACATCAGTTTCACAGCACACTTTCTCGTAATAAGGGCAGGCTCTGTTAGCACCATTCATTTCAAGCCTGTGAAGAAGCATGAAAATATATTCAGATGTATGTTCCTTTGGTTTGCCTGCAAATAGTTCTTGGTTTTTTTTGTGTTTGTTTTTGCTTTTGTTCTTCCACCCAGGCTGGAATGCAGTGGCTCGATCATAGCTCACTGCAGCCTCCACCTACCAGGCTCAAGCCATCCTTCTACCTCAGCCTCCCAAGTAGCTAGGACCACAGACGCGTGCCACCACAGCTGAGTAAGTTTTTGTATTTTGGGTAGAGAAGGGACTTTGCCATGTTGCCCAGCCCAGGCTGGTCTTGAACTCCTGAGCTCAAGTGATTTGCCTGCCTCGGCCTCCCGAAGTGTTAGGATCACAGGTGTGAGCCACAGCACCCAGTCATGCCTGCAAATAGTTCTATTCCTGGGGGCTTATTTTAGTCGGGTCCCTCTGTTGTGTCCCTAACGAACCCTCCGGACCTGAGAAATGTGGAAATGCCTGAACCAGGCCCTATAGCCAGGTTCTGGGGACAGCTCAGGGCACATGGAGCCCTGATCAAGAATGCAGCGGTGTTGCCATCCTATCAGCTGAGTATCCTTCCGTTTTCAACTTCACACACCCACCCTCCATGGGCTGCTTGGATGAGGTAGCCCATTCAGTCCTGCCGGGCACCCGAAAACAGAAAGATAATCGGCACATTAAACTTTTATCTCCATGGCTGTCACTCTAATAAGCAGACGAGGAAAGCTCCTCTGTCCCCAGGCTCTGACCTGCCTGAAGCAGGCTGATGGGTTGTTGCCAGTGTGCTGGGTTGCTGGGTTTGCTTTTAAGGTTAGCGAACAAAGCACCCCAGAATGCCAGCTGCCCCGGGTTTGGTTACTATGCTCTTGATCCGCGATGAGCTCTTGGCAGTGTGTGGATTCTAGGGAGGACCGGATGTGGTGAGTGGCCTCCAAAGGGCAATTCAAGAAGATCAATCCCATGGAGGCGCCCAGCTCCTGTTTCCAAACACGCTTCCTGGCCTGCAGATACCTTGACGGCAAACTTCATGTAAAGACTTGGTAGAGATGATTCAGCGTTTCCAACATGTTTCATCATCTTTCTAAGGTTGGTACAAAGCTCTAGCCCTATACTGATGCCACCAAGGGGCACCATATCTGTGACCTTGACTAAGCCAAGGTCACCACGGCAGTGATGCCAGCACCTTCTACACGCCACCAATGGGTTCAACATTTCACATGCATTGCTAGTTTCATGCTGAGCACAGCCCTCCGTGGAGGGGGGGCTCTGGATATTTGTTTTACAGATGAGGAGACTGCAGCTCAGAGAGGACAGTTCACTTGTTCATAATATACCTCTTCTGGAACCAGAAACAGAGACCAAGCCCACGGTGAACAGATTCCAGAGTGTGAATTCTTTCATCTTCTGTGTCCCCTGAAGGTTTTATTTGCCATCGTGCTTAGCTGAAAAGAGCTGAGAAAAAGTTAGAGCTAATATTTTGGGAGCATCTCTATCTGCACCTTACTGCTTACCCAGGCATTGCCTTGTTGAATCCTAACAGCAGTCCTGTGAAGTAGGATTATCACCCCCAATTTTCAGGAGCAAACTTGGACGCCTCGCTCAACTTGTCGATTGAATCTCCTAAGTCGATTGAATCTCCTAAGTCCACGAATCTTGAGCGGAGCGGGGATCCAGGCTCAGGTCAGCATCCATGGCCTTCTGCCACATGCACTGTTTTGCTGTTGTGCCTAGGACATTTGCTTCTCCCTGGAGTGCTGAGGTCCCACATAATGAGCAAGATTGAGAGGAAAGGGAAGAAGAAAGGGCCGATACCAAAACCAGCTCAGGGTAGGGGACTGCAATAAAGGGGAAGAAGAGCAGGACATGAAAAGGCTGGTCCCTTCCCCATGGGAACAGGGAATTAGGGGAGAGAGTTTGGTACTATGATCATGACTGTTCTCCCTTCATCAGAATTAGAAGTACCTAGCCCTCCAATTCTAGATCTTCCCAAATTTCAGAACTTTGTTAAAGATGAACATTGTCAGGCTGGGTGCGGTGGCTCATGCCTGTAATCCCAACACTCTGGAAGGCCGAGGCAGGCAGATCACAAGATCAGGAGTTCGAGACCAGCCTGGCCAACATGGTGAAACCCCATCTCGACTAAAAATACAAAAATTAGCTAGGCGTGGTGTCAGGCGCCTGTAATCCCAGCTACTTGGGAGGCTGAGGCAGGAGAATCTCTTGAACCCGAGAGGCAGAGGTTGCAGTGAGCTGAGATCACGCCACTGCACTCCAGCCTGGGCGACAGAGTGAGACTCTGTCTCAAAAAAAAAAAAAAAAAAAAAGATGAACATTGTCTGTGGAGCCTCCCTCCAGCCCATACTGAGCCTGATCTCTGCCAGCATTTAGAGCCTGTGCTTCAATCACTCACAGCGTGTACTGTGGTCTGTCTCAGGTGTCTTGGGGTAGAAAATTCCCATTCGATAGGCGGTCTCCATTGAGATAGGAAGTTGCTAAGAGGGAGGACATTGTCCTACTCATTCCTTTCTTGTTCCTCACAGAACTCAGAAGACTAGTGAAAATAGATATGGGCCCAAATAAATACTTGTATTGTATTGTACTTGTATTGTACAAAAAACTGTTCCCATTTTATACAGAAAAACAGAGGCAATGGCAACTCCTATCAATTAGGTCAGTGGCTCTGGGCTTATCCGATTTTCCTTTAACATCAAATCTCCTGATCACTACTAAATCACAAATCAAAAGCCAAGTAAATCTGGATTGATTTTAAAAGGAGGAGAAGGCAGAGAGAAAGAGAGGGAGGAAGGAGAGAGAAGGAATGAAGAGGAAGATGAGGTGGGAGGAAGGGGAGGAAGAAGAATAGGAGGAGGGAAGAGTTGCGGTGAGGGATGAGGAAGAGAGTGGAGAAGATGAGGACTGGGAGGAGGAGAGGGGAGGAGGAAGATGGGGAAGAGATCGTGAGATGGAAGAGGAAGAAGGAGGAGATAAGGAGGAGGGGGGTAGGAGATGAGGAGGAGGGGGTAGGAGATGAGGAGGAGGGGGGTAGGAGATGAGGAGGAGGGGGTAGGAGATGAGGAGGAGGGGGATAGGAGATGAGGAGGAGGAGGGGGGTAGGAGATGAGGAGGAGAAGGGGGGTAGGATATGAGGAGGAGAAGGGGGGTAGGAGATGAGGAGGAGAAGGGGGGTAGGAGATGAGGAGGAGGAGGGGGGTAGGAGATGAGGAGGAGAAGGGGGGTAGGAGATGAGGAGGAGGAGGGGGGTAGGAGATGAAGGGAGGGAGGAGGGAGGACTTGAGGAGAAAAAGAAGGGGGCAGTGGGGGAGAGGAGGAGAGGAAGGAGAGGAGGATTTTGCTCTGGAATGGGGCACAGCTTAAAACTGAAAGTGGGTACAAAATCGGATTGGAGACAGAAATAGCACTCTTTTCTCCAACATGAATTCTATGTTTCCTAATCTAAAAAGGGATTGTTCTGCCACGCAAACCTCCTCTTCTGTGCCTGCCTCACCATGATGCAGGTATATTGACTTCATCAAATGCGGAAGCCTAACTCGCTGTAGAATGAACTACATCAGAAACTCTGCCAGGTTAATCTTGACAGAAATCTGGCGACAAGGTCAAATCTTGAAGCAAAACAAAACAGACAGCCCAGGAATGTGCAGCCCAGCCATCCCTCACTTGGCACAGTGCAGGCAGTCACTGTGAGGGGCTTCCGGTGTGTGGGTGGGAGTGCTTTACTTCCAGGCAATGCCAAACAAGCAGGGTGCTTATCCTTGGGCCCCCAGTGCCCACCACAGTGCCTGACACAGAAGAAGCTCCACAAACATGTCATCTGTTCTCATTTTTGTGTTTACAAACACAGTAAACAGACCACTACATTTAACAACTTTCGTTATGTCAAGATTCGCCAACGAGTCTCAATACTAGCCAGACAGACTTTCTCCACAACATCGTTTTCATATTGATTTATTTTGGCAGTTATTGTTAATAATGAATTTCATATATGATACAGGCATTCTGGGAATGCATCAGTGCCCTTCAAAATGGTGTTTTATGATTCTGATCTTAGCTGAGCCATTCATCTCTGTACCGTCGGATCCAGTTTGGCCACTCCTGGATCTGGAACATAAGCCCCATGCTTTGTTTCTGTCTTTTCTGTCACTTGTCATGGTTTAGAATTATGTATTTGTAGGTTGATTTGTTCTGTGTCTGTTCACCCCCCTAGAAATACAGATGTCCATGAGGGCCAGAATCATTTCTGCTTTGGGCGCCACAGAGTCCTCCATCTTTAGTATATAACCCTGTGCTGATATAATGTATGGCACATCATAGAAGCTTGACAAACATTTACTGAGTGAATGTATGAGGCTGGATTCAATGCCTCTTAACTTCTTAGCTCCCTTTCAATGGGGAGAATCTCAAGCTCCATAACACAGGGAGCTCTTGGCTGTCTGACCCCAAGGGTGCAGTGCTTTGTGAACTGGCTGGTCATGCTATCACAGTCTTAGGACTCCAGATTCCACCCCTAGGGTGGCTGCAGGGCCTATGGCACAGCTTGGACCAGGGGCATCTTGGCTGAGAGGGTGGACTCAGCCTGGGGGGATGGAGGACCGGCCCACCATGGAGCTCTCCTGATACTGCCCCCATCAGGCCAAGCCTGGGAAGAGCATCTCTGACTCCAGTAGGTCCCTGGCTGCTATAGCAGCATGTGCTCCATGCCAGGGCAGGTGTGTGGGGAGCAGCAGGGGGTCTACTCCTCCATGCAGGGGTAACCCTGAGGTTGGGGGAGACATGCACTTCTGAGAAGGTGGGCCACACATAATAATGCTGAGTTAGGTATTGCTGCATCACTGTTCTGCAAGACCTGCCCTGTCATGCAGAGTTGCAGCATGTGCAAGGCAAAGAGGGGGCCAGATCCAGCCTCCAAGGAGAGGTTGGTGAGAGCCAGTGACACCCAGCACACATTCTGGGCTCCAGCCCCAATCCTCCAGGCCGACTTCCTGCTTTTCCTGTTCCCAACACTGTGAAATAACCTCTCCAGTGGCTCCCCAGAATTCTTAGAATGCAACCTGAACTCCCGCAAGGCCTCCCCCTGCAGCCATCCTCGTCCCCGCTGCCCCTCGGTCAGGCCAGGCTTGTTCCCATCTCCAAGCCTTTGCTATTGTTCCCTACCTTGGGACCCTCTTCCTGCCTTGTAGGTCTAAGTGTACCCAGCTCCTTCTTGTTATTTAGGTCTTAGCTCAAATGTCACCTCCCAAGAGAGGCCTCCTCTGATCATCAACTTATCTGCACCCAAAATGATTTTGATCTTGATTTTGCATGTTTGCTTTTTTGTTTGTTGCTTGCTTGCTGGCTAAGCTCCAAGTACTGAAACTGTGCTACCTTTTACTTACTCTTCTTGCCCTACCCCCTAGCACAGGGTAGCACGTGGAAGGCATTAGATAAGTATTTGTATGAATGAGTGAGTGAGTGAAGGCTCAGTTAAATAGCGAGGGCCAACACAGCTTCCCAGGGTCCATTCAATACCAGGCCTGTCCAGCAATGAGACTAATTCCAAGATGCATGGGGACTGAGCATTGACTATATGACAAGCACTTTACATGTAAGACTTTATTTAATCTGCCAGCCCCCCCAGTGAGCTACCACCACGGGGAATCCCATTTTACAGATAACTCACTCAAGGTCTCTTGGCTAAGACATCACAGAGCTGGGACTCCAACCTCATTCCGCCTGTCCCTGGAGACTGAGCGAGGGCTCAAATGCCTCTCTCTCCTGCGACCCCTGCACATCACAAGATCCATCTGTAAGTCCATGCCCGAACAGGGCAAAGGCAGGAAAAAGGGCTCCCTGAATGCAGCTGGTCCTATCCCTTTGTCCAACAGGTATCTGCCAGCCCCTTGCTCTGTGTGGGTCCCGAGGCCAAGGGCTGGAACACAGACAGCAACAAGGCTGAGCCTTACCCTCCTGAGCTCAGGGACCCATATCACATTGAGCCACACTGCAGTGGTCTTCTAGAACATTTTTCCTTAATTAAGGGCAATTAAAATTCCTTGGGTTTTGAGGATTTCTTAAAATTCCTTGGGGGCGTGGACGATGTCTGAATTCAGGGGAGACACATGAGATGGGGGGAGGAAAGCCAGCTGGCTAGGTAGACTGGCCTCCCAGGGCTTGCCCCAGTTTGAAGTCACTTCCTCTCCCAAATTCCAACTCTCCAGCTTTCCGGCCCCTAGCTCTGAACCCAGGCTGAGGGCCAGAGGGCACTGGTGTGGGGAAATGTGCCTGCTCAGCATTTTGTAGCAGGTCTGGGAGTAAAGGCATCAGGGCTTCTGCTGAGACACTGGAATTTTTCAGTTTAAAGCCCGAAGTTCACTCTTTCTTTCTCTCTCCCTTTCATTCATTCATTCCTGGCAAACTGCGCATTCTCTCCTCCTCCCACTGCGAATCCCATTGTCATTCCAGCAGCATTTCAACCCACTGCAGGCGAAGTGGAGGCTCTCTCTCTTCCAGATTTCTCTGTCGAATTGCTGGCAAGGACAAAGCCGTTAGGAGCAAGATTCGGTAACTAGCTTTTTAATTTCATGGCTGGAGGTTGTCAGGACAGTACAGAGAAAATTGCCAACGATTCAGAGAGCGGCCCATGAATCTGGGGCAGAGCAGGAGAGAACAAGGGAGCGCTTCAGCTGGGGGTGAGGTGTTGGCAGCCACTTGGATGAGAAAGTTCTCTTCTTCCGAATTTCTTTGGTTCAGATCCGCGTTCATTTAAAAAGATCAATTCAGCAATTTTTCACCCTTCCTCAATAAAGCATTTTAGACAGCGGAGAAAGAAAAGGAGAAGGGGCCCTCTCGGGATCTTTCTGTAGGACGGAACGAGCATCAGTTGGTCATCAGTTGTTATGAAATAGGGCTGTTAATTTGAGAGAGAATCGTCCTATTTCCAGTATATTTCTGCAGACTTGGATTATAAAACAACCCTACCTCCAGATTACAACCCCAATATCAGGTTCAAAAGTTCCACATTCCAACCCCCAAGCTCAGCTACAGAGTTGCTGTGTGGCCGTGGGTTAGTGGCTCCCTGTCTCTGAACTCTGCAAGTTGAATGTTGAATAAAACGGTCCCTAATATTCTTTCCCACCTCTATGCTTCTCTGTTTTTACCAAGTTCACAAGGAATTTCTTCGTATCTAAAGGCTGGGGTTTTTAGGTCTCTTGGGCAGAACCTCACATGGGTCTGAATGAAGAGGAATGAACTGTAACCTCCAAAGAGCTGAGTGACAGAGTGACATTAGGAAGGGTCTCAAGATGCCACTTTACCTTGTTATGCCAACTGCGATTCCACAGCTGGATATACTCATGCAAGCTAACACTTGACAATAATAACATGGTAAACTTGTACTGGGGGTCTTGTTTTATCATTCCTGGAACTCTCTCAAATACATTCTCTTTCAAATGCCTTCCTCATATCCACCCTAAAAATAAGGTCTTTTAGTCACTCTATTCTACAGATAAGGGAAGTGAGGCTCACATGCCCAAAAGGTGACCAAGTCTGACCAGAAGACCCTTGCTTGCACTGGGCTAAGATATACAAGGCCTGCCCCTGGAGAAGCAAGTTTGAGAAAAGCAAGGGAAGGCAGGTGCATCTTGCCAGTTTCTGCCCTCCCTTCCAGCTTCACATTGACCTCTAACTGGCAGTACTGCTCCAAGGCTCTTAGTTGCAAGCAACATAAATGTATTCTGGGTGATTTAAGCTGAAAGGGAATTCATTGAAAGATTCTAGGTAGCTCACGGAATTGACAGGAAGACTGAAGAACTAGGCTCAGGAAATAGGTAAGAAAAAGGGCGGTCTCGCAGCCAGAATCACAAACAAAACTCTTGCTCCAGAACCAGTCCAGTGACATCATTGCTGCAGCTGCTACAAACACAGGGCCCCTGTCATTGCAGCTGGAGCACTGTCCCTTCTGGCCATGGCTGTGCACAGAGCTGCAAAGGAGGCTGGGAAAGTGGGTATCTGGTATTTTCTCTACCCATAGGAAGGCTCTGCCACCTAACAAGCCTCAGGGGGTACAGAGTTCCCCCCAAATAGGAAGGGCATTGAGAGTTGAGATGCCAGGTAACCAAATCTCAGGCAAATGTGCACGTATCAATCAGGTTAGGCTCAGTAATGCTGTAGTAACAAAAACATCTTAAATCTGAGGGGCTTAAAAACAACCAAGGGTTATTTCTGGGTCACGCTTACATGTCCAGCAAGGGGCTCCATTCCAGGACTTTCTTAACTCAGACCTCAGGCTGCTGGAGCCGCCTGATCTCAAATATTTCCCACAGTCACCATGGCATTGGGAAGGGGTGATTAGAGCAGCAATTACAGGCTCCCAACCAGAAGTGACATATGTCACTTCCACGCATGGCTCACTGGCCAGACCTAGTCACATGGCCCTGCCTTGGGGCCAGCAAGTGCCGTCTTGCCTCAGATCTGGAGGGCAGAGAGCTGGGGAAATCTGGCAAGTAGTGTTGACAATGCCCAGGGTCCACTGAATGGGGCCTGCCAATCAAAGCCCACCTGGAAAGGGAACAGAAGACAGAGCACTGAAATGGAGGTAGGAGAGCAGAGTTTCATTCCTGGTTGAGCCCCTGAGAACTGTACATGTATCTAGCAGCACCTAGGGGCTAGAGGAAACCCTTACTTCTGGGTGTGGCCCCAGAAGACACTCTGCTCAAACTGCAAGTGGCAGCAGCAGATGTTGGAAGCACAGCCCACGAATGAAGCACTGGAGGGCCCAGAGTAAGGGGAGCTGGGAGCCAAGCCCAGCCTCTTGGAGCTCAGGCAGGCAGCCTTTTTCCTGCCTACAGGCTCCTGAGCCACTGTCTCCTAAGGAAGATGGGTGCTTCACTGTAGCCCCAGGCTCCCTCTGGAAATAAATCCTCTTCTTGTAACTGTCTGACAGGCAGCAGGAGCCAGGATGCCTAGAATATCCACAGGCTTCTTGGGCCCACACTTTGTTTTGGTTGCAGAGAGATGACAGGCCAGGGTGTGTCCCCAAGAAGATCCGGGGGAAGCGAGGCACTGTGAGCTGGATAGTGAGTGGGTGGGAGGCTGACTATGGGTCCCTTGGGACATGGAATGTCCTCTAAGAACAAGGTTGAAAGTACAATTTGCCACTTGTTTATTTGTTTTTAATGTGGCTGAAACATCAGTCCCTCCTCTGATACCTTCAGAAAGTCAATCAGTACCAAATAATCCAGGTGCTGAGATTCGTATAAAAGCCCCTAAATTTAAAAGAATACAGTAGAGGCAGGACTTCAATGCAGAGGTGAAGAATTTGAAGAAATCATGGAGGGGGTCAGGATTGGCCTTCTGCAGGACCTAGGATGGCCATGGGGAGAGGTAGGTTGGGAGGCAGTGAGCAGGCTGAGCCAGATCTCAAGGAGCAGTGATGCCCTAGCCAACACCCGCCCCATGAGATGATCCCTGCAGCCCCCTCTCTGGTCTCCCTGCCTCCAGTGTCACCCCATCCACTCACACTTCCGTGCTGTCCCAGAAGAATCTTCGTAAATTTTGTATACTATGCTGCTCCTGCCCTATTGAAAAGCATTGTCTTTACTCCAAGGTCAAATTCAATCTCTGAAATTGCAGCATTTGAGGTCCCAGGCTACTTCATCACCCTATCTCAAACACATGCTCTGCAACCTCCACGCAGCTCATGGGACCAGCCCCACCTTTTCAGAATATACTGATACCCTTCAAGCCTCTGAGCTTTTGCTCAAACTCTTCCTTCTTCCTGGGGCCCTGAGCCACTCCTTCCTCCACCTACTTACCCGGGAAAGGTTCTTAGTTGTAACAGAAATGAATTCTGGCAACTTTAAGCAGCAAAGGTATGCAGGATAGAATATGAGTGACTCTCAAGATCTCTGGGAAGGCCAGAGATTCAGGCTGAGAGACTACAGGGATAGGATCCACACCCACATCACACCACTGGAGATCCTGTAGAGACGTCACTACCCTGATGCTGAGACAGACACGACATCAGATGCCTCCCATGCTGCCCACTCAGCTATTACACATCTCTGTGGGACTTCGCCCTGGCCCCTGGGAAGGCTGGCTGCATTCAACAACAGCCACCTGTGCCCTGAGAAAGCTTTCTGAACTCAGGAGTCATAAAATCTATACGCATGTCCCTCCTCACCCCGGCATGGCCCCTCCCCTCTACAGCAAATCACCACAGCTGAGTCCCTTTTCTTTCTAGAATCATCATGGGAGCATGGTCTAGAGCCTGGCCCTTACCAGGCATTGTCTCATATAATTCTCACAGCATCCCTGTGATGTAGGTTCTATTATTGTCCTCATGTCACACACAAGGAAAGAGGCTCCAAGAAGAGAGAGAACCTCTCCTGGTGGTGGGGCCAGGATTCTACCCCAGACCTATCTCTGAAGGCCACAATTCTCCTGATATGTTATAGCAGGAGGAACCCAGGCTTTAGGTATCAGGCAGTCTTGTTTGAACCCTGGCTTCAACACCAGGCAACTGATGTCCCTTCTCTGCCCCTTAGTCTTCTCATCTGTAAAATGGGAATAACATCTGTTTGCCTTGCAGAGCTTTTGTCTCAACTAGAGGTGATGGGAGTAAGGAGGGTAAGGACCAGGTATGTAGAAGGTGCGTAATAAATATTACTTCCCTTCCCCTGGCTGGCACCATCTGCTGTTCTCCTCTCCCCATCCCCTGAATCTCTAGGATTTCAGCTGCATTTTCAGAAACATCCAGCACATGCTGGGGCCTGCTCAACCCTCGGAAATGAAAGGGATTCCCACGAGCATCAGCTCAGATACTTCTGCTTGCCTCTGACACAGCCTGGCCACAGAGAGGTGGTACCTAAGCCACACCCAGCCACACCTGAGCCACACCCAGACACCCAGAGCTAGGCTTCCCTGTGCTCTCTTGGCACAGGATGTGGGAAGTCCTTGGATGAGATTGGATGGCAGGAGAGCTATTCCCCTGGGCCTCACGGTCCAGAGTCCTCAGATTTAGATATTCTCTCCAAATAACGCTAAACATGCAATTGCAGATAAATATTGGCAGGAGCAAAGGAGACATTTGTCCGCAGCTTTAAACTTTGTCCCATCATTATGCCCCAGGGCGTGCAGCACACGTGAATGTATACACATAATACATATTGGCTGGGTGCGGTGGCTCACGTCTGTAATCCTAGTACTTTGGGAGGGTGAGGCAGGTGGACCACGAGGTCAGGAGATCAAGACCATCCTGGCCAATATAGTGAAACCTTGTCTCTACTAAAAATACAAAAATTAGCCAGGTGTGGTGGTGTGTGCCTGTAGTCCCAGCTACTCAGGAGGCTGAAGCAGGAGAATCATTTGAACCCGGGAGGTGGAGGTTGCAGTGAGCCGAGATTGTGCCACTGCACTCCAGCCTGGGCGACAGAGTGAGACTCCATCTCAAAAAAAAAAAAAAAAAAAAAAAAAAAAAAAATATATATATATATATATATATATATATATTCTTCATTATCTTAGAAGTAGCACAATCACTCATCACACTGTATTGTATGCGTGGCAGCAGTGGAATTGTTAGATTGTTCAATGTTGTCTCTCACAGATCTACTACTCTTCTGATCACCCTGTTTCAGCTCCTTTCTTTTACAGGCAAGAGGTGCAAAGGCCAGAGAGGATACATTGCCAACAAAGGTCGTAGAGCTTGACTTTTGCATTCAAGTAAATCTTTACCAAAGGTATTCAGTTTTAGGCAGAAGTGGCCAGCCAGAAACAAGCAGGCAGGATGGGAGTAGGAGTTGAGGAGAAAATGATTTCGAGAAACCCACGTGCCGAAAATAATCTCTCTTTCTGCTCCGTTGACGGATCTGATGTTTCTACCCAGAGAAACAACAGTTCCCCACCCTGGCCCACTCTCAGAACCCCCTTGAAAACTTGCTTAAAAATGTAAACGGCTATGGCCTGTCTCTACAGATCCATTCTGTGGGTTTGGCAGGATGACTGAGCACCTGTATGTTTTGACGACGTCCTCAGGGAATTTCAACAAACACCAAAGTTAAAGAAGGACTGACCTAAGCTGTCTCAAAGAGTTATAGAGTAAACTAGGTTGAGTCACTCATAGAAATTATCTGGGCCGGGTGTGGTGGCTTACGCCTGTAATCCCAGCACTTTGGGAGGCCAAGGCGGGTGGATCATGAGGTCAGGAGTTCAAGACCAGCCTGGCCAAGATGGTGAAACCCCGTCTCTACTAAAAATACAAAATATTAGCCGGGCGTGGTGGCACGCGCCTGTAATCCCAGCTACTCCAGAGGCTGAGGCAGAGAATTGCTTAAACCTGGAGGGGCGGAGCTTGCAGTGAGCCGAGATCACACCACTGCCCTCCAGCCTGGGCGACAGGGCGAGACTCCGTCGCAAAAAAAAAAAAAAAAAGAAAAAAGAAAAAAAAAAGAAATCATCTGAAGGCACAGGGCCCTGGGGAAGAAATTTGATCCACTCATGCATTTATTCACTCATTAGCTTTCATATTTGGTCATTCCAAAAGTGATGGCGTTAGTGGAGGAATGTGCTCAGGGTTGTATCAGGCAGGATAGGCTAGGTTACGCCACAGTCAAAAACAACTCCAAATCTCAGTGGCTTAAAACAAAAGGTCTCTTTCTCACTCATGTTACATGTCGGGTTATCTGGGGCCTCTGCTCCACATCACCTCACTTTGAGGCCCAGGATGATAGATTAGCCATCATCTCAAATTTTCCTGGTTACCACGGCAGGTGGAAAGAGAGCTCTGGGAGGTCTTATGTTGGTATGAAAATGGCCCGGCCTAGAAGTGACACAAGTCACTTCTGCTCACAACTCTTTGGCCGGAACTAGTAACATGGCCCCAAATAACCCTCAGGGTGTTGGTTCTTGAGTGCTGAACCTCCCTGCAGGAAGAAGGAAGGATGCTACAGCAGGAAGGAGTGGTGCTTCTATCAGCAAGGCAAAGCTTTCCCAGAAACCCTCAGTTTCTCTCTCCTCAGCCAGAACTGGGCCCTACGGTCACTCTTAGCAACAAGGAAATCACAGATGTATATACTTTAGCCAGATGTGCTGCAGCCCCAGACAAAATTGGATCCTGTTTATAAATTAGGGGAAATGGATATTGGGTAGGCAACTAGAAGTAACTGGGGGCAGAGGAAGTGTTGCTAGAGAACACCAAGTGTGAAGACAGAGGTAGAGGATGGATCCAGACCCAGCAGCAGTAGCATGCAGGATTTGGCCATGAACTTGGCTTCACTGAGTCCACCACTTTAGAGACTGGCTGAGTCAATCCCTACGTCATCATAAGATTGAAACTATCAAACTAATACATTTATTAGTGTTAACTCTAGATACACATTAGCCAAGACTTCTGCCCAATAATAGGCTACAATTAAATACATCGGGTTGTTGTATCAAGTCCACATTATTAGTTATTAGCTATTGAGGGCCTACTCTGTGTCAGGTTCTACACAGATATTGTCTCTAATTTTTGTGACAGTTCTTCAAGGCAGGTATTACTATCCCCACTTTACAGATGAGCAAATGGAGGCTCAGACTGGCTAATGGATTGCCCTAGGTCACACAGCCAATAAGCAGAGGGGCTGGATCCAAACGTAACCCAAAACCCAAACGTCTCACCTTTTTCTCTGTATTGTATCAGGTTTCCTCTTTCACTATACATCCTCTATTACTAATAATTTGACATGACAATGTGTTAAAAACACTGTAGCATGAAATCTTGTCCAAGATGCGTATTTGGTTGGAGAGATGCTAGTAGTGTTGCTTGGTGCTGGGGATTCCTGTGTATTAAAGCCCTGTTTTTGTTGTTTTTGTTTTTGTTTGTTTTTTTTTGAGACGGAGTCTCGCTCTGTCGCCCAGGCTGGAGTGCAGTGGCGCGATCTCAGCTCACTGCCAACTCCGCCTCCCAGGTTCACGCCATTCTCCTGCCTCAGCCTCCTGAGTAGCTGGGACTACAGGCACCCGCCGCCACACCCGGCTAATTTTTTGTATTTTTGGTAGAGACGGGGTTTCACTGTGTTAGCCAGGATGGTCTCGATCTCCTGACCTCATGATCCGCCTGCCTCAGCCTCCCAAAGTGCTGGGATTACAGGCGTGAGCCACTGCGCCCGGCCCCTGTTTTTCTTCTTAATGCGTATCAGATCCAATCTATCATTAGAGATGCTGGAAAACATCAAAAGGAAACAAACAACAACAACAAAAAAGCAGGGATCAGATGGTGCAGATGTAGCCAAAATGCTATAGACAAGGCAATCTCAAGAAACTCTGGATGCTGTTAATTAAGAAATGAACAGCTGTCCAGACTAAGAATTGGCAAGACTCCTTGGATGAATAAACATAGGTAAGAAGAAAAAGAGCCACCTCATGATCACAAAGAAGGACCAATAACTAGTCTACCCCAAGCAGCTTTGGTGTCTAAATGCAGCCCTGGGCTCAGTCTTAGGGCTCTGGAATGCTCTCGCTTCAGGACCAGGATCTTCGATTAGAAGGTCGGAAGGTTACCAAGGCAACTCCCAGATTATCTTCTAACCTTGGGCCTGCTCCAAGCCCCAGACTCTTAGTCCAGTTTAGTCATATATTATGGACAGATTCCTAGATTGTACTTGACCCCTCTGAATATTGACTATATTCTGACATTTGGTCCAGGGCATTATCAAAAGTCTTAAATGGCCTTATCCTATACCTAGAAGAGTAAATTTCCCATTCACTCATCCTTTATTGTTTTTCATTCATCCGTCATATATTTGTGGAGAGCCTGATGTCCCAGGCACTGTTCTTGGTGCTAGGGATGCAATGATGGTTGAAATGGACAATCCCTGCCTTTGTGGAATTTAGAGGCTAAGAGGAGAAATAGAAGTTAATTAAATCACCTCCTGACCCAAATGTAAATTCATGATGATAATATGTTATTAAACATTTGCTAAAGACCAGGAATTGTGCTAAAATGGATTGCCGAAATGGCACTTAAGCCTCTCCACTGTCCTGGGGAAACTAAGGTTCAGAGGGATGATCCAGCTTTGCCAGCTGGGATTCCAATCCAGTGTCACCTGATGCAAAAAGTCCATACATGTGACTACTTTCTTATATCTCCCTTGGCAAATGATAGATCTCATTTCTTTTCCAGTTTCAGTGAGGTCTAGATTTGGGCTTGGGGAAGTTCTACTTTTTCATGTGGCCTTCAACAAAAAATATTCCAGCACCTAAAATGCGTAATTCTTTGGGGTCGGGCAACTTATTACAGACAAGTTTTAATACTGAGAAGCAACAACAATTTGCTACGTGAAGGATACCTGAAAACCAGATTACTACCTAAGCCAAAGTTAAAACAATGTTCCGCACAGCCATTTCCGAATGTTTTGGATTATTAATACAGCAATGGCGCTCTCTGATGACTGCTGGTGTGTATTACATGTCTCTTGAAGGGAAGAATACATTTTGGATGTTGTGGAGGCCTCCTATTCCACGGTTTGGATAAATAATAAGCCTCCCTTCAGCTTGATCATCTTCACTCCTCATCCCCTTCCCCTTTTATCCCTCATCATTTACTTTGATTGCAGAGGGAAGGTCATGGATACAGAATGCAGCCTTTTGTCAATGTTCAGAGACCCAGCAACCAAGACACAGGTCCCCATGACAGATAGTGAAATTGTCACAGTGTGAACCAAGTGCAGACAATCTCCAGGATCACTTACCTATTTAAGTCATGACAGATTCATCCATCATCTCCTGCTAGAATGCTCCTTCTTTTCTGAAGATTATGGCTACACATAATCCTACCCACGCACTCTGTGATGCTATCCCACAGCTTTAGGAAACAGACAGGAATTTATACATTCTCTTTGAGCTAAGAACTATCGTGCTAAGAGCTGGAGACACAGTGATGAACAAGTCGTGGTCCCCATTCTAAATATTACACCCTATCAGGGGACTCAGGTGGCCAATTTGTCTGTAAATCATTCACTTCCAATTATAATAATTGCTACAAAAAATGAGGCTTTGAGTTTCTGTAGCATGGAGGAAATATCTCATTGGATCTAGGGGTCAGAAGAATTTTCCCTGAGGAAGGAGAGTAAGATGTGGGGTGCCAAAAATGGAGAAGGGACTAGTCAGAGTGATCAAGGGCTTGCAGAAGAAAGAACCTGGGGCTGAGGCAGCCTGAACTGGGCTTCTCCTGGGGTTAAAGGTGAGTGATCAGTGTAGAGTCAACCAGTAGGAACAGACATTAGGTAATCTCAAGGATGGTGAGCTATTAAGAGAGAATGTTTGTCATTAACTGACCCATTGTGAATGATTGAGCTGGTGTTAGAGGATGAGTATAATCCAACACCTGAATGTTTCTTTTGAGGGTTAATTTAAACTCTCTTGGACAGGTGTGGTGGCTCACACCTGTAATCCCAGCACTTTGGGAGGCTGAGGCGGGTAGATCACTTGAGGTCAGGAATTCAAGACCAGCCTGGCCAACATGGTGAAACCCCCATCTCTACTAAAAATACTAAAATTAGCCAGGTATGGTGGCATGCGCCTGTAATCCCAGCTACTCGGGAGGCTGAGGCAGGAGAATTGCTTGAACCCAGGAGGTGGAGGCTGCAGTGAGCCAAGATTGCACCACTGCACTCCAGCCTGGGCGATAGAGTGAGACTCTGTCTCAAAAAAAAAAAAGAAAAAAAAATTAAACTGTCTTGAGTACTAAATATTGGTGTGGAGAACATCCTGGATCTTTGCCAATTCTGCATCTTCGCAGGAGCCAAGGATATTGCAGAATTTGCTATTTACATCCCCTCTGCTGCTTGTGTAAGATGAGGAAACAACAATAGCAGACATAATTGCTGAGGTTGGGAGGGGGAGCTGAGCTAACAATAGGCAAAAGATGAAGGGAAGAGAGGATAATGGTGGCAGCTATAGGATTCCAATGGTGAATTGTGGCTACTTAAAAAAATCAGGATATAAAGCCTTACCTATTGTGGGATACCAACTAGCTCTCAGGATACCTCAGGCTAAAATGCAAGATTTAGATCCTCAAAACCTGGGTTCAAATCCTACTTTTCTACCTCTAGGTATGTGATTAGGTTAACAAACTTTCTTCTGCCTCCATTTCTACGTCTGTAAATAGCAATAATAGTAGTATGTATCTGCTTTTTTAAATTATCGTGAAGAAGTGCGTGGAAAGTGCATAGCATCACGCCTGACACTTTTCAATTATTCAATATTGGCTTATGATTGACAATATTTAATATTTGGGAGGAAATCCACACACATATAAGACAGACTTAAGGAAAACTTTTATTTTCTTCTTCACACTTTTCCGTTATTTTCCAATTTTCTAAAATGAGTATGCATTGCTATTAAAACCAAAAGGAGGGAAACTCACAAATTTCTGAACAATAGAAGTTTGACTGTTCCACTGTTTCCGGAATTTCCCGGAACATGTTGTTCAAGAAGGACGTGGGAGTGCATGCTGAAGCACAGATTGCTAGGTCTCGACCCGTAAATACTGGATAAAAATCTTTAAGAAATAATTCTGGTAATCTATACTTTTAATCAGCTCCACAGATGACTGTTATAATCGGGCACTGCTGGGACGTGTTGATTGAATGGGAAGTGAGCAGAGAGTGGGCGGGGAAGGCCTGGCGGGGAAGGCCTGGCGGGTTGCAGCGATCACGAGGCCTGCGCCTACAGTTCCCATATTACCCCGCGAAATCGCGACGAGCAAGCACGAACCCTGCCGGGAGTTGTAGTTTCTCTCGGCTAGGCCGCTGCCTATAAAGAACGCCGGAGATGGCCACAGAAAACTTCCCGCCCCACAATGCAAAGGTCAACGTTGACGCCATCTGGGGTGCGCCTGGAATCGAGCAGGCCGTTTCTGCCGCGTCCACCACAACCTCTGCTGTATCAGAGGGGGCCTTCGCCGCCGCCGCCCCCACCACCGCCCCTGCCGCCATCGCCACCTCCGCCGCTGCCGCCTTGGGGCCCTCCTCCTTCACCGCCCCCTTCACCACCTCTACACGTTCTAGGCCTTCTGTCCTGGAGAAGAAGCTATAGTCGTTCTCCCTTGTGGGCCCGGGGCGCAGCCATGGCGGACGGCGGCGGCGGCGGGGGAACTGGCGCGGTGGGCGGCGGCGGAACTAGCCAGGCCTCTGCCGGGGCAGCGACTGGCGCTACTGGGGCCAGCGGGGGCGGTGGCCCCATCAACCCGGCCTCGCTGCCTCCCGGCGACCCGCAGCTCATCGCTCTCATCGTGGAGCAGCTCAAGAGCCGGGGCCTTTTTGACAGCTTCCGCCGGGACTGCCTGGCCGACGTGGACACCAAGGTAGCTGCGGCCGCCTGGGCGTTGGGGAGCGGGGCTGCACGTGAGGCCGCCGGGTGGCAGCTTTGATTTTCGAAAGCCGAGAGCAAAACAAAAGATAGCTTAGAAATCTCAGCGGTGAGGTCTTACACCGCTTGGGGCAGTACGGAGAGCTTTCTGAGCGATGCACACGTGGGTTCCTGCCTGATACATTTACTACTAGTTGTGATTTTACCCAGTCCCTTCTCCGAACTTGGGGTTTCAATGTGGGTTTTAGAGCCTAGACCGTATCATTCCCAAGATGGAACTCCTCTGAGGCCCTTAATAACAAACTTCGAAACCAAGTAGATAAGCAAGCGTGCTTTAGAATTTCCACCTGTTCCGTACTCACCACTGAGAAGCTGGCATTAAACACAATGATTTGAACACACAGTCATCACCATTTTATAGCTGTTTATTCCTTTTCTCTAGCTCATTGTTTTGCAGACTAGTACGGCGTTGAATTAAGATAAATTGTAGAAACAGCACCCTTATTTTGCACTTCATCATTGATAAAAGGAGATTTGGTGCCTAGTTGAGATCCTAATGCCATTGGTCAGTCCCACCAGTAAAACGCTATTTCACTTTACCTACTCGTCAGGGTGGTTTGGATTCAATGAAATAATGGGTGTTAAGTATCAGACATACAGTAGTTGCTGGAATGTTCATTTTCTTCCTTTTCAAAACTTGTCTAGCCACGACTGTGGTTGTAGGTTAGGAGACCCTGTCACTGGACTCCTGCAGGGTAGTGATTTCTCCTACCAGAGCCTGTCATGGAAACATTTTGCTTACCTCACAGCAAGATTGTGAGCTTAGAATTAGACCTTAAGATAGGGAAAAACGTAGTCTGTTTATTCGTTGAACGTTTATTGGCCTCTAGTTGCCAAGCTGTGCGATTACAGGAATAAGTCACTACCCCATCCTCAAAACTTATAGTCTAGGTTAGAAAACTGACATGTAAATAAACCAGGTGGTAAATACGGATGTAGAGAGAGAAAGTGGTATACACTGTTCCTTCTCCAAGATGAAAAGCCCAACTAGAAGTCTGTCCTTGAAACAAAGTAATTTAATACATATACATCCCAGATCTGTATTGACAGAGCTTTCACCTTTCCTAGGACAAGTTCTCCATTCATATTTCTTATATTCCGTTAGGTTTTGTGTGTGATTTTAAAACAAAAGCGACTACAGTAGCCCGCCCCATCCAAGGTTTTGCTTTCTGCGGTTTCATTTACCCAATTGTTGCGGTATGGAAGTACTTGTGTTCAGGTAACCCCTATTTTACTTCATAATGGCCCTCAAAGACATTCATGCGTAGTGTATATAGGGTTCAGTACTACCTGAGGTTTCAGGCACCCACTGGGGATCTTGGAACGTATCCCCTGAGGGGGGAGGGGACTACCCTCTTGAGCGGCTGGTGAGGGAGAGTGGTTGGAACCTTCCCATGTACAGCTCCTTAGCTGTTCCTTCTGAGAATTCCAGGTTGTTTTAGTTCTTGAAGATAGTGTTTTTTCAGGCATATCTTATCTGAGACCTTTGTTGCTTCAGCCCAGTGGTTCTCAAAGCGTGGTGCTTGGATTAACATCAGCATCACCTGAGAACTTGTTAGAAATGCACATTTTGGGCCCCACCCCAGACTGCTGAAGTATTTAGGGGAAATTGAACAGATGTCTGTAATTTACTTTGCACTGTAATTTACTTTGAACTGATAAGTGAACAGGTGGAGGGGTTGGTAGTACAGTAAAACGTTATGAGTGGGCTCATGAGTTCCTTTGACTTCTTGAACTGAGATGATTCTGTATCGCCTGGGTTTGTTACGTGTTTTGGTGGTGATGTTCACTGTCCTTTGTCCTTTTTCGGTAAACAGTTCGTATCATCTCAAACCAGGTGCGTTATTTTGAGTAGACGGTATGGCATCAGGATTTATGCTTACAAGGGACAAAAATAATCCTAACTGCTTTATGCAAAGGGGAGAATCTATTGTCTTACGGAATCCAGGGAAGGATTGAACGAACAAACTCTCCCAGAGGGTGGTAGGCGTGCGTTTGGAACCAGATATTCCCCATTCGTTCTGTCTTTCATCTCTGTTGATATCTGTTTTACTGTTGGTTCAGAGTGGAGTCATCCATTTGGTTACTAGTATCTCTTGATTACATTTTACAGCTTCTTCCTCTAGAGAGAGGCTGTCAGCTCCAATCTGGGAAATCCCAGGGAATGTCTGCATTGTCTTAGCGTGGCTCAGGCACCCACTCCTGTGGCACCCTCTGCCCTACCCTTGTGAAGAGAGGAAGACAGTTACTAGAAAGAAGGCGTTACTAGGCAGATAGCACATGGTATCTGTGAATTTTACTCCTCTGCCCCCATTTCCTTGCCTTTCTCTTTTCCAGGTTTAGTGGAGTCTTTGAGTTTGCTCTCTCAACCTTTTGGAAGAGGCCAGTCATGGAATTGAGGCCTGCTGGTTCCTTTGTCAACTTCATTTCCCTGACTGTTAGCAAACTTTGCCGCAGTAATGCTGCATAGCAAACTGAATCTCAGCAGCTTATAACCAGCACTTGTTCACATGTTCATGGGGCGGCAGGTCTACCAAAGTTCAGCTGAGCTAGGAAGGCTTCAGCTGGTGGCTTGGCTGCAGGCTGCCCAGGTGTGGGTCCAGGCTGTGGGTTGATGTCAGGCCTGCTGCATGTAGAGTTACTTAAAAGCAAATGGAATAATATAAGTAAAGCGCCTGGCATTGTGCCCACCCACCATCAGGTGGGCACTTGTGTTAACCATTAATTCCTGACTGCCACATTGCATGGTGATCTTCATGCACAGTGGAAGTGTATTTAGACTTAATAACGTTTCTGTGAAAAGCAGTGTTCTGAGAGACTAAGTTCAAAACTTTGGTGCATATAACTTCTGACCTTGCCTCCTCTTTTTAACATTTTAGCCAGCTTACCAAAACCTGAGGCAGAAAGTGGATAATTTTGTGTCAACACATCTGGACAAGCAGGAATGGAATCCTACGATGAACAAAAACCAGTTGCGAAATGGTCTGAGGCAGAGTGTGGTTCAGTAAGTAAGCAGAATTTAAAGCTTTTGAAAAGGCAGTCATCACAAGTGTGATGCACAAGAAGGTTGAGGTCTCTGTTTAGTCAAGGTTGATGGGACTTTATATCAAGTATCACTTAGGAGTTGCAGCAGTCTGCTCTTTTGTTATAATTAAGGTTAAAGGAAGCAAAGTACTCAGTTGAAATTCCAGTTTCTGCAGCCTGTGAAGGCCTCCTGTGTGCATCTCTACTGGGTGCATCAAAAGGCATTCCAAATCGTGAGACATTTTCCCTGCTCTTTGAAGTTTCAGTGTTGTCCAAACATATATGTGAGTTTTATACCAAGATATCAGGGTTTGGATCTTGGGCAAGAGGAGTTGGATCTTTATTCTCACAGGTGAATGTGAACTAAATAAATTCTTTGAGTCCACCAGGACTGCCACCTCTAAAGTGTAATGGTGACAGCTTTCAGGAAGGCATAGTCTTAATAAAGTATCGTACTTCACAGTAACAAACTGAACCTTAGTTAATAAAGGTGCTATTGATAGCTTATCTGAGTGACGCACAAAAGTGGAGGTGGAGGAGGGTACAGAAATGGGAGAACACATTAGTGATTGCCTGGGGTTACGGATGGGAGGAGGGGGTGAGTGTGACTTGCAAGTGGTAGCACAAGGGGGAGCTTGCAATGGTGCAGTTAAGTGTCACTGAATTGTGCTGTGCTCACGTGCAACAGCTCGTATGGTAAAGTCGCACGGAGCTACACACACAAATAAGTGCAAGTGTAACTGAAGTCTAAATAAGGTCTGGATTGGACCAGTGTCATTTTCCTGGTTTTGATATTGCACTAGTTACGCAAGGTGCTGACATTAGAGCTGGCTGGGTGAAGGGTGCGTGTGGAACTCCCTGGACTCTTCTTCACAACTTCCTGTGAATATGCAGCGATTTTAAGATTTCTAAAGTTTTTAAAAGTGTTTTACTAACAAGCTAGTACTTCCAATATGGCTGAATGCTGGGAAGAAGCCTGATAGCAGAAGATGCCCAGTGCCTTGTCATTCTGGAGTCAGTACCGAGTGCCTTTCCCTTTCTCCAGAGAACAGACTGGTGGCACCGGGCTCTTTCAGAAAGAAGGGGACAGTAGCTGCCCCTTACTGAGCAACTCTTTATTACATGTCTGGCACTGGTCTTTACATATATCACTCATCCTCATGAAAAGCCTGTTTCACAGCTAAAGTCACTTGTGTTTACCCTGTCTTGAGTAAATCAAAACACTGAACATTCTGAAATATTTGGAAAGTTGCCATGATTGTATGAAGGCTGTTAACATTGCTTTGATTTCTGTAATGAGCATGGATGTCATTCTAGAGGTATGCATGTGGCGCTTCCTCTTGCATTTCTTTAGTAGGAATTGTAATACGGAAAAGTGCACAGAAGTTCAGTGAAACAGATAATTAGAACATCCCTTGATCACCCAGATCGAGAAATGGACTCACACCCCCGAAACAGCCTAGCTCCGGATGTACTTTCCTCCTTTCGGAAGTTTTCCATATTCCTGACTTTTATACTAATCATTTCCTCTCTGCATAGTTTTTACCACCTCTGTGAAGTTGTTGTTTTTTTTTTTTTCCCTGCTTTTTGATTTGACTTAGAATGTGTTTAACCTGAAAACATGAACTTGGCTTTAATACTGGGACATTTCTCCACAATTCTTGCTAGCATTTTGAATTTGAGGCAAAATCTACTGGAGTTTCGAAACGCAGACTTTCTGCTTGCCCCCAGGTGCTCTCCCCAGGTGGACACTGCAGGCCTTCAGAGCATTGGCTCACTGGCCTGGCTGTTCTGGCCCAGATGCTGTAACCCAGTGCCACAGCCTAGAGGGTTTAACAGGAAATTAGCCTGTGCTATTGCACTGAATTATGACGAATAACTCTTGTAACTGTACAATATTTGTTTTTTCCATCTTGTACATTGGGCTCCTGACAAGATTTTATGTTTTCCTCAAAAGTTTAAGAATCTCCAGGAAAGTGAGCTGCACTCCCTTGGTAGTTTGTTTCCCCTGATCAGGGGTTTTGGTCAGTTGGGGATGCTTTAACAAGGCGCCGTAGACTAGGTGGCTTGTAAACAATGGAAATTTACTTCTCACCATTCTGGAGGCTAGAAGTCCAAGACCAAGATGCCAGCATGGTCAGGTTCAGGGGAAGGCCTTCTTGCAGGCAGCAGACTGCCAACTGCTTGTTCTTCTCATGTGGTGGAAAGAGAGCTCGCTAACTTCCTGGGGTCCCTTTTGTAAGGGCATAAATTGCATTCGCGGAGGCTCTGCCCCCATGACCCGATCGCCTCCCAAAGGCCCTACCTCCAAAGGCCATCACATTAAGGATTAGATTTCAACATAGGAAGTCTGGGGGACACAGGCATTTAGTTGATAATATCAAGCTTTTACATCTGGTAAAGGACCCTGTGAATCCGACTCAGGAAGTGGTTTGGTAAAGTTGGAAAGGTATTGGCTTGTGACTGAGGAGAGGTGGCTTTCCTTTGTTAGCATCCCATAGCCGGATGCTAACTTTGCTGTATTTAACGATGCTCATCACTAAGGGCCGATACTGTCTAATGCCTGGTCTACCTGAAAATGTGCCCTTCAGTGCTCTAGTGGTGGTGTATTTACATCTAGGCTTCCTGTCGATAAGCTGTTAGTTACCATTGAATCCAGGGAGCACTTTACACACTAATCATCTTTCCCAGTTCACAGCCTGTTTCTTATCTTCTTTGTCATGATGTACATTTACTCATGTCTTTCCTTTGCTGTACCCTGACAGACCATTTGCCCACTTGCTGCCCAGCCTATTTTTACCCGAAGGCTTAAATGGCCTCTGAAGTCTCAAGTCTACGGGAAAATAAGTAAAACCTGCCCACATGCTTGTGATGGTATTGGAATATTTCAGTCCTTTGAGAAGAACACTTCACTTTGAACCTTACGGGCTATTTTCCAGACTGTCCAAATATGATTTGTTTCCTCTCACCATCATTTCCAGTACCCTGTCCCAAGTGTTTGAATATAGACATTGATATGCCCTGATTTTTGCTCTACTTCAGAAAGGATCGGGGATGTAATTTAGCCCTCTAGGAGCTTGGAACTAATTTGTTTGTCTATTTCTTGTTTGCTTCCAAGTTGCTTATTATGTGTTACAGGTAGCAACTACAGCTGAAGGCCATGGTGAATTGCTGGTGATGTAAATACTCCCAGCCCTGACTGATCGGCCTTGTTTAAATTTTAAGGATTAGTAAACAGGTTGCTGCTGGAGCTACTTCTGCTTAGGCTATTAGGAGAATAAATGTTGAAGGAAATGGAGTCCAATTCGGGGCTTACTGGCTTTGACAGTACGAGGAAGCTTTTCAGTGCCACACGTGTCAAACTCTTTCTCACCATGCTGTCATTTGTTTGTTGTTTTGGAGCAACTCACTTAGTTTTGTTTTTGATTCTTTTGTACAAGGTTGGGTGATTGTGGGTGAGATTGTGCAGTAGGAATAACAGCTGCTGGTTGAGAATTACCCCTCAAAAGTGAAAATAGCGTGAGCTGTATATGGTAAGTGGATTGACCTCTAAACTCCCTAGAAGGGCTGTAGCTTTGAAGGTGGACATTTATTGGGCTCGCACGTGACACTTATTGGGGCTAAAGATGAATCCCGAAGGAACTAAATAACAGAATGATCTGTTTGTCTCCACAAGGTCAGGGATGTTGGAAGCTGGAGTAGACAGGATTATTTCTCAGGTGGTGGATCCAAAACTTAACCACATCTTCAGGCCACAAATAGAACGAGCAATTCATGAGTTCCTGGCGGCCCAGAAAAAAGCAGCTGTGCCAGCACCCCCTCCAGAGCCCGAAGGCCAGGACCCTCCAGCTCCATCTCAGGACACTTCCTAAGGTCCAGTATCCTATCTTCTGTCCAGGAGTATGCATCTCTGGCTTGTAGATATGTAAAATGGATAGGAATGGGGTAGGCCGTAATTGAGGATCATTCAGGAAGTATTTACTGCAGATGGACTTCACCTACTGTTATAAGTCACTTTTTACTGAGAACTAATTAGTAGCAGTTTCCTGTGTCAGTGACTGATTTTCTGTTCCACCAGCGCTAAACATGTAAGCTATGGATAGATGCTTCATTAGAAATCAGCTGGGATGATTGGTGTGCATAAAGGGGATTCAAATGAAAGTCTTATTTTGCTGAAATGTTTAAATGAGTCTCTCCTGGACATGAGTTAACTTAGGCTTGCAATTTTATTTAAAATCAAGCAGTGCCTTCTGAAGTGATATCCTAAATGGGATTCAGAGTCTGCTTTGAGTGCGACTCGATTTCCATGAATTTAGAAGGAGTTTGTTTACCACTATCAATTACCATGGGATTCTTCTGTTAGGAACACTCCCCCTTTTTAAATTAAATTTGGAATTAAATGTAATTTTAAACAGCTGTAGATGTACAAAAGAATGCTTTTTGCAGGTTTTGGGAGACATTAGTAGGAGCAGCGATGAAGTTAGCAGTGGACTTTTCGCCGTTGTTGGTGACTGCTGGGATATGTTTTATCCCTTCATTCTGATTTGGTGTTCTTTTTAAGATTCTCTGAGATGCCTGTTATAATCAGTAAGTGAGGTGAATTGACTAGGGCGTTTTGAGTGTCAGTGATGAGCAACGCAAGAGCATCAGGACTGTCTTTTTGTTCCTCTATTGAGAGAAGCCCTTGAGTCCAATATGGAGTGTAAAACATTCATTTTAAGTCTTTCTTTTTAATTGTAAATTCCTTTAGGAACATAAAAGTGAATATAGTCTGTTATCAATAAATAACATTTTGATATGATTATCTTTCCTTTTTAGAATACGCCAGACACCTTTTGAAAGCTAATTTTTGGTGAAGAAATGGATTCGGTTACATAAGAGTGCAACTTCAGACTGAAGATAGGCCAAGGTCGTCACTGATCTCAAGATTTCAACCTTGACCATGGGCAGTGACCAGATTGAAAGGGGAGCAAGTTCGGCAGTGGGAGAGTTGACCGTGTCACCCCCTGCATTGTGCTGCCATTTGGCCAGCCTGTCCAAGGGCATGACACCAAGTAGACACTACAGAGAGAGAAACACTACAGCAACCCAGGGTTGTCCTGAAACAGACTTTTATACTTGAACATGGAGACTGCACATGGACTTTAGGGTTTGTGCTGTGGGATAAACGGAAGCTACAGTGAGAACATAGCCAGTCCCAAAGACAATTTCAAAGAAAAATGACAGTAAAGATTAGCTGGGAGTAGTCTTTGACAGTGCTTATTTGATACTGTCTCTCAGAGTTTGCAAACCAGATTGTACAAGTCATTAGCGTCAGATAGCTTTAAAGTTGTGACCTTCTTGTACATGAATCTTCTAGCCAGTTTCCTTTCCTTTGTAACGAAACATGAAATCCTAGAATGTATGAGAAGTTCAGACATTAGGCATAAGGAAACTCGTTTGCAGGCTCTCTGTCCAGGGCTGCTTCCTGTCCTGGAGGGGCCAGTGAGTCTTAGGTATGTTTATTTTATTCTCACATTTGTGTTTTTTTAGAAAAGTGAATGGTCAATAAATGGCTTATCTTTCATAATAAAATTATTTGATACTTTTACTCCGAAGCTTCAGCTGAAGCTTAAACCTCAGGTCTGTGAAGGGCAACCTTTGTCTTCTGCCTCTGTGCACCACACATGATCTACTGGCAGTGAAGATTGGTACATATAACTTGGAACTATGAAACTAGTAGGTGTAGCTAGTAGTGGGCTGTTTCTCTCCTCCCTGAGCCATTACTGACACTGGTCTTTAGTTGAGGTAGTCCGTGGTATGTGTCAGTGTTTGTCATCCTTGTGTGTGCAGAAGTAGCACCTGGGGATTTAAGGGAAAATGCATATTTCTGATTAAGAAGTTCTGGGGTGGGACCTAAGAGTGAGTGTTTCTGACAAGCTGCCAGGTGATGCTGATGCTGCCAGGCCTCTGAACATACTCTGTATAATAAGCCTTGGATAATATATCCAAGATTATGTCTAACTAAGTCTGTGGTTCTTGGTTGAGTCTACTACTGCATATTGCTGCTAATCTGATCAAAATTTTAACCAATTCAGTTGGTTCCCTGTTAAGACAAAGGCTCCACTTCCACCTTTACCATGAATACCCCTGTATGAGCACTGCAGTGCCATATTCAGCAAGATGCTTGGTAGCATGTGCCCTAATTTTAAAGCAAACTGGCCACACGTTTAAGGCAGGTGCCAGTTATATCTGACGTGTGGTCTGTTCCCACCTGGTAGGTGCAGTTCCATTTCAAGCTGCCTTACAGTTGCAGGAGTCAACAAAGTTCTTAACCCCAGAAAATGGACCCTCCACTCCTCTCTACTACTAGGCAGACAGGGAGTGGCCAGAATTAACCAGTCCTGTGCTTGCAGAAAAGCTGCTCAGACTAACTGGAGTGTCTCCTCTTCAGGACCACATAGCTTTAATGGGAAGTTCCTTCCCTGTGAGGCATCCTTCTGGGAGGGAGATCTCCACACAACTACTTTGTGTTGACCCTCCCAACATCTTGCCTATCCCGCACTGACCTCAACTAGCAACAAAGGGCAAAAGCCCAGAGAAGGCTTCACCCTTTCTGCCCCCAAATGCTCAATTAACTGCATTTTATATATGTTTTTGGCAGACAGTTTTTGGTTCATCTCAGTTCTCTTACTTTGCTGCTGCTTTTACTAGAGATGGCTGGACCAGTTGATGAGAAACACCCGAATTTTCACAGAATGTTAAATGTGCCACATACCAAAGAGTTTCTATTTTTTTTTAAATCATTCTGTTATATCCACCAAGATTCACCTAGATTCGAGATTATTTCATTTGAGAACGTGAGATTATAGAAGTAATTGGGCACATCGTTACTGTTGGGATGGACGGTGGACTTTTTGGCTCTTAGCAACACTGAAAGGGAAGACGTGCCTAGATTGGTTTGGGTAACCATATTCAGACTGGCACAGGAAGGCGAGTCAAGACAATAGCACTAGAAGGCTTAGGGGAAAGAAAGCCAGCCTCTTCCTCCTCAGGAACTGGTCACCAGGTAAGCCTCTTTGCATCCTCAACTGAGTTCTCATGTTTTAATTGGGTTCGTGATATAGAATCTAGAAAAATTGTGTATGTTCTGAGATCCTGAGGAAGACAAGACCACCACAAAATTCCACCTCTTAAACACACCCTTGCTTAATTCAGTCCTAAACAAATTAGCTGTCACTGACCTCAAGCCAGTTAGGCCTCTCTCTAGTTGGGAAAACTGCTGTTTGCAAAAGCCCAGTAAAACACAGTTAATACATGAACAAATATTACCAACACTTGCAAGCCGATTGCGGTCATGAGTGTCTTAAGAGCGCCATCGTGTACGGTGGGGGTCAGCCAAGGTGGGAAGAAGGGTATCATTTTGAAGCCCAGTTCTTTTGTCTCGGACGGCATCTGTGATTGCTGCTGGAGATTCTTGTTTCTGGCATGTTTCCAGTTACCAGCTTAGATATTTGATTGGTATTGCCAACTCGTCTCAACCCAGTCCTGATTGTTTTAACTTTTGGCCTTTAGTGAGGTTTGTGACTCCTATAGCAAAATTGAAGGAATGGTTTTATCCTGTTTCCATCATTTTGCTTTAGCCTCTATTTACTCATCAGGTGGGTGGAGGGTAAAGGTTTCTGTGCATTCTGTGTCACTCACTAGCACCGTGAACTGAATAAGTGCTAACAGATCCATTGCAACAGTGGTTCTGAACGTATAATCCCCAACCAGCAGTATCAGCATCACCCTGGGACTTGTTAGAAATGTGGCCCCCACCCCAGACTCGGAGATGTGGAGGGCCCCAGCAAGCCCTCCAGGTGATTCTGGTGCGAGCTAAAAAGCACGTTTGCTCAGGAAACATTTTAATTCATAGTTGTGTGTGTGTCTAACAGCTCCTGAAGGGCAAGACTAGTATGTCATTTTAAAAAATTCCATAGTCCCTTGGAAGTGCCCAGAACAAGAGGAGAATCAAGTATGGGTGAGTACTAGAAGTCTATCTTAGCCTTTCTGACTGCCAAGTATATGGTGTATTTTCCCCACAAAGATACTCATCCTGCTCCATGGAAGATGATCCCAAAATACCGTCTAGTCACTGCATCCAACCCAAGGTTCAGGACATCTCTACAGTGGGGACTAGGCAGCTCCTCTGTTAGACCTAAGAAAACTCGGGTTGTCTGCCCAACATCCCACCTGATAAGCAACAGGAATCATTAGAACAGGGAGGAATGTGAAACCTTGCCATTCCTGGCCCGTAGCAATTCCAAAATCCCAGTAGGCAGCCACTGTGGGGCCACTTCACCTAGGCTGGCAGATGTTGCTTGTTTAGGACTGGGTTCCATTCTTTAGCAGGGGTCTCCCCATTCCATTGTCCTCTGTGGCCTCTGGCTTCACCCTCTGCTAGGTTCTTTCATTTCCATTATCCTCCCTTTCCATCCTCCTTTTCGGCCACACCCAAAAGAGACATTCAAGAATTTCTTGGAGGTTGTGCAGCCTTCTCAATCCTCATCCTCTAGGCGATTGGAGACCCAAGGAATATTTTAAGTTTTGAACAGACACTTCTGGAACCTGGGCTTGTGAGTTTGTTTTATTTTTGTCAGAATAAGCTTCAAAAATGTAGTAGGAATTTTACCTGATTGATTGCAATCAGTAACATGGGCCAGAAGCCACACTCAGTTCTTTTTTGTGACTCAGTTCTCAAATCTGCTGTATTTCTTCACTCCCTTACCCTTATGCCTCTCTAGATTTAAACTTTGAGTCTAGATTTAAACCTGTGGGGCTTCTGTGCAAAAAAAAAAAAAAAAAAAAAACCAGACTATTTTCCCCCTGAGCCATTTTGTCCAGCTGGAAAGTTTGCTTGGGTGCCTCCTCCTTAATCATCACACTGAGGCCTTTGTCATTCCACTGTTCTCTGCATTTGTTTCTTGTTGTTTGGAGCCGAGTCAGTTTACTTATTCAACATTATAGGTCCTATTCAACATTATAGGTCCTCGAATTATCTGGACTGTCCCTTAATTTCTGCTGATAAACTGGAAAACTTGTCTGCGGGCTCATTTCTTTCTTGTAAGATCTTTCCAAATATAGTCAACCACCCATACCATTGGCATTCTGCTTTCCACCTCTTCCCTTACAGCCACTGGCTCATAGGTGCGTGACCTGCCCCGAGTTACTGCTGCCCAGTACATACTCCTTCTATGTTGGTTTATTTGCATTTTTGCAGCTTGCAACTAAAAAATGTCCCGACCGATTGTCTCATAGCATTTGTTTGATTTACCCATTAATGATCCTCCAGTTGGTAGATGTTTTCTTCAGCTGACAGATCGGGTTTGTACTTCCTGCTGTATTTAAAATTAAACTTTTTACATGCGAATAACTGAAGATGCACATGTAGTTTTTAAAAAATAATAGACTGTATAAACATTGATATTTACCCGATTTCCCCAACGGTAATGTTTTGCAAAAAGGTGGTACAATATCACAACCAAGATTGCTTTATTTAAAAACTGATGGCCTCTGCCTTTATTTCTGGCTATTTGCACATGAAGATGTCTTTTGTGAGTTTGCCAGTGCTATCGTTGAGCCTACTTTTGTGTTAAGGTTGGTCAGGAGGTTTTGTTTTGATTTTTTGTGTGTGTGTGTAATGGCATATGTAATATATGGCACAAGTGTGCCAAGCAATGCACTTGGCCATAGGACTACATCAGTGGCCAGGACAGACGTTGGCCCTTCCCCTAATAGTGGATATATCTCACTGGTTTCTGTGAAGCTCAGGGAAATAGTGTTTGAAATGTCAAAATGCCACAGAGCAGTCAGGAAGATCAAGGGAGAAATTTGTTGAATTTGTCAACAAGGGCAAGAGCAGTTTGAGTGGAGAGCTGGGGGCTACTGCAAGGTGGCAGTGGGCTGAAGGGTGTGAGAGAGAAGGGGAAAGGGAGGGGTCTCTCTGGCAATTTGATTATTGTGAAAGTTGTCAGAGTCAAAATAGAGTCACTTATGTCAAAAAGCCATACACGGCCAGGCACAGTGGCTCACGCCTGTAACCCCAGCACTTTAGGAGGCCAAGGCAGGTGGATTGCCTGAGCTCGGGAGTTCAAAACCAGCCTGGGCAACATGGCGAAACCCCATCTCTACTAAAAAAAAAAATTAGCCAGGCGTGGTGGCAGGCGCCTGTAATCCCAGCTGCTTGGGAGGCTGAGGCAGGAAAATTGCTTGAACCCGGGAGGCAGAGGTTGCAGTGAGCCGAGATGGCACCACTATACTCCAGCCTGGGGTGACAGAGTGAGACTGTCTCAAAAAAAAAAAAAAAAAAAAAAAAAACGTAACATGTAGAGCTGGGGAAGGCCATGAAGGGAGAGGTTCTCATGCCGGAATGCCTGATAACAAAAACTATCACAAGACTGCAAAAACCACAGCTTTGCAGAAAGGCCACTGCAGCCTTATTACCACACAAATTCTTCTGCAAGGACAAGAGCCCAGCAACCGCCTCTCCAGCCTTGGACTGACGCCACCCTTGGTCAGTGTTGTTATAGCCAAGGATAATTATCTCAATGATGCAATCCTCTCATTTTTTCTTTAAAAACCTTTTTCTTTACCTGCCCTAATACGCACATAGTTTACTATGGCATGAATATTCCCATTGCGGTGTTCTGAATCATGTTATTTTCTTTCCGATAGACTGTTGTTTAGGTTGACACTATCCATTTATTTAAATAGATAAGCTTGTAGTGGAAACACATTCAAAGGGTACAAATGGGTTTAGCAGCGAGAAGTTTCCCATCAGTGTCCCTCCAGTCTCTCAGATACCCTCCCGAGAAGCTGTTACCAGTTCCATCCTTGTCTCCAGAGACATCAGTGCCTGTAAATTTTTACATATGCCTTTAGCTGGGACACACTTCACCTCTGTCTCTGGTGGAAGTTCCTAGAGAGTTGAGGATAGCAAGTCCAGACTTTGGGTGGCCAGCAGTTGTTAAAGATAGGAAGGGAGGGCACTGGGGAAAACAACAGCAGCCTTACTGAGCTATGGAGTCCATGATGAGCGATGATAAGAGGAGTTCACCCAACATGAGTGTGTGCCGTGTGTCCACCCCAGCCCTGCACTCCAGGGCTCCCTGCAGGAGCTCTAGCTATGCACCACAGAGACAGCACTGTCGTCCCCACTGACAAGCGCTTGTCAGTGACAAGTATTAAAGCTGAGAGTCCAAGCCAGGGTTCACTTCAAAGCCTATTCCCCACCTCTCCCCCCCCATTTTTAAAAGAACTATAAGAGACACATCACAAAATTTACCTCAACTATTTTTATGTATACAGTTCAGTGGTATTAAGTACGCTCACATTGCTAAGCAACCATTTACCACCATCCATCTCCAGAACTTTTTATCTTCCCAATCTAAAACTCTGTACCCTTTACACAGTAACTTCCCATCCCCTTCTCCCTCCAGCCACTGGCAGTGACCGCTGTGCTTCCTGTTGCTATGAATTCGACTACTCGAGGCACCTCATATAACGTGGAATCATACAGTATTTGTCTTTTGTGATTGGCTTGCTGCACTCAGCAAAATGTCCTCAAGGTTTATCCGTGTTGTGGCAAGTGTCAGAATTTCCTTCCCTTTTAAGGCTGAATATATTCCATTGTATGTATGTATCATATTTTGTAAAGCTAGCTTTTAACCACAACTCTGATCTAAGATGCCCAACTGTTAGTAGACACTTAATAACTCTCTGAAAGCTTTTTTCTTTGAAATGAGTTCAAACTTACAGAAAAGTTGTAATACAGATAAAAATAACTTCTTCCTGAGCCATTTGAAAGCAGTTGCCGACCCGATGCCCCATCATCCCCAAGTACAAACAAGGATGGCCTCAACACAGCCACAACAAAAGCATCAGGAAAGCAACGTGAGCGCGTCGCTACCATCGAATCCTCAGACCTTATTTCCGTTTTGCCAGTTGTCCTAACTACATCCTTTTTAACAAAAGGATCCAGTTCAGAATCACACGTTGCATTTAGTTGTCACGTGTCTTTTGTCTTCTTCAATCTAGAACAATTCCTGGGGAATTTTTTAAGACTATAGGCCAGATCTTTTGTAGAATATCCCTCAAGTTGGGCTTGCCTGAGGATTCCTCATGATCCAATGCAGACTCTGGACCTTTGGCAGGAACATCCCGGATGTGACGCTGTGCTCTTCTCACTGCGTCCTGGCAGATGCATGATTTTGTCCTTTGCTGGTGAGGTTAACTTTAATCAGGTGATTGACGTAGATAATGCTTTTGCCCCTGTGTAATTAATTAGTGTTTTGTAGGGAGGGACTTTAAGCCTTTGCAAGTATCTTGTTCCTCATTAAACATTCACACCCATCAGTATTTCTTGGTTGGATAAAGTATTGCTATGATGGTGGCCAAATGGTAATTTCCCATTTCCATCATTCCTTCTACATTTATTAGTTGACATCCTACTGTAAGTAAAAGCTTTCTCTTGTCTGCATGTGTGCATGTATATGTGTACATAAGTATGTATGCATGTATTTATTTTGAGACAGAATCTCGTTCTGTCGCCCAGGCTGGAGTGCAATGGTGCATTCTCAGCTCATTGCAACCTCTGCCTCCTGGGTTCAAGTGATTCTTGTGCCTCAGCCTTCTGAGTAGCTGGGACCACAGGCACGTGCCACCACATCTGGCTAATTTTTGTATTTTTTTGGTAGAAACGGGGTTTCACCACGTTGGCCAGGCTGGCCCTGAACTCCTGACCTCAGGTGATCCACCCACCTCAGCCTCCCAAAGTGTTGGGATTACAGGCATGAGCCACTGCACCCAGCCTTCTGTGTATTTATTCACCTATTTGTTTCTGTCTGTATGGACCTATGGATTCCTATTTTATCCAGTGGGTTCTAATATCTAGTGTTACCATTTTTCTTTTGATGCCCAAATTGTCCCAGATCTGGCCACTGGACAGCCCCTCCTTCCAGCTGGGGTTTGCATCATTTTACATCTCTCCATCTGTCTTGAGCTCTTGCTTTCTGGCACGACAAAGTGCTGCAGGCTCATCTTGTACTTTCTCTACCCCAGCCCCAGATCTGCTGTTGCTCCAGGGAGCTTTGGTTCCTTTGACTGGTATTTAAAAATCAGTTCTGGGTGCTGGATGTGCCATTGTTCCCAGGTCCTCTTGAGGTTCGTTCTAATTGCCTCCCATCCTTTAATTCTCTTTTTCCCAGCAGTCTCTCATCATCCTCTATACGTTTACATTGGATCAGTCTCCTCTATACAAAGCCAGTCTCTGGTTACCACCACCCCAAGCCACAAAGATGTCCCCTCACCCCGTTTGGGCTCTGACACCCCATGCTGGTCCACTGCTGGCCTCCATCTCCATGGACACTACCTTGCCCAGCCCTACCTGGTGACTCAGAAACCAAGGGTAAGCCCTTGATTTGATCACTACTTAAGGTCATACAGTATGAGCTGCAGAATTAGCTAGAATCAGCACCATGTGACAGGTGACAGGAGGCTCAGCTGCCTTAAGGCTTGGCCACAGAGGAAACAGTGGGCCACCGCCTGGACAGGGTAGAACAGCAGAAAGAGAGGAGGCTATGCAGCCAGGCTCATCACACTGTCTTCTGGTCCCCGCCACCCCGCCACCCCTTCTGCTTTACAGGGCCCCTGTTGTGGCTCATTGTCAGCCACTCGGTGGGACCCTGCCTGTCTCTGATGCCTGCCCAGGGCTTACTCCTCATACACCAACTTAGACCATCTAGAACATACCTACCAAATTTGGTGAAAGTCCATGCAACCATTTTCACAAGCTGTGGAAACTCACAGAAATATATTTGTATTCCATAAGTTATTAATAAGCTAAGATTTTACTGGTTTCCATTCTCAACACAAATCTCTCCATAAACACTTGGGCCAGGGGTGATGAAAACACAGGGCACATTATTGGATGAAGCCCCCATAAAGGGAGTATTGTAATACGGCACTCTGCTTTTCCTCATTAAGTCTACGCTGGGAACGTCTTGTGGTTTGCAGTTGTAAAATAGGACTCATTTGACTTGGAGACCCAGGACCACTTCTGTCCTGCCTTGGCCCAGCTTCCTGCCTCCCCACAAGTCCCCGAGGAAGATGTTTGCACAGGAGATGCTGGTAAAGTGGCTCTTTATTATCAGTTGAGACACTGGCCCCAAACTCTGATACACAAGTCCAGGGGGCAGGCTGGACCACACAGGGTGTGTTTGCCCAAGCCAGTTCTAGGATGACGTGGCCTTGAACCAAAGCCAGCCTTAGGAAGGCAGCTCGGCCTGTGAACCCTGCCTAGACCCAAGTCTTGGAACTTACCCCTCTGGTGAGATGCAAGGCCTCTCCCACCTGGGGCAGAAGAGAGCAAGAAAGATGGGCAATAGGAGATGGCCATGGTCCCCGGGCCCGGAATGGAGCCAAGCTGAGGCCTGGAGCATGTCAGGTGGCGGAGGAGGACAAACGGAGATGGAGAAGGCCTTTCCAGAAGCAGTAGAGCTTATTCACACCACTTGCCTCCTAAGTGGAAAGAGAGAGGGGGGGATCCTTCCCAGCCCCCCGAGGGAGCAGGGCCAGCTCTCATGCCCACCCTCATCTCACAAGATGGTCATCAAGAGGGGCTGCCCAGGAATGTTGAGTCTGTGCATGACACCACCAGCCCTGTGGCCCAGCTAGGGCCCTGGGATGTGGCCAACCCCACCAGGGCTCATTCTCGCAAGCAAGTAGGATCTCCTTAGTGGGATCCATCCCTAGGGGTGTCAAGGGGAGGTGGGAGCTGGCCTTTCACAACCTGTCAAGGAAAGAGGAGGTGCATGGTTCCCAGCGGCTGCTTTGAAGAAGGTTTTTAGTTGTCCTCTGTGGGGACTGACTGTGGACTTGTGGCCCATCTGTGAGGAGGAACACAGCCACATCCTTGAGGGATCAGGTCGCCCCCCTTAATCTCTGCCTTTTTTGTCCTGCAGCTTTGCTTGTTCCCTGGGCTCTGAGGCATGGTGGTGCTCTCATGGCCAGGCTCCTTGGGAATAGGAGAGGGATGGCATGGGATGGGATGGGATGGATGGATGGATGGAGGGAGGGAGGGAGGGAGGGATGGATGGAGGGATGGGTGGGTGAGTGGATGGAGGGAGGGATGGAGGGAGGGAGGGAGGGATGGATGGATGGAGGGAGGGAGGGATGGATGGAGGGATGGGTGGGTGAGTGGATGGAGGGAGGGATGGAGGGAGGGAGGGAGGGATGGAGGGATGGATGGGATGGATGGAGGGAGGGAGGGATGGAGGGATGGATGGGATGGAGGGAGGGATGGATGGAGGGATGGGATGGGAGGGATGGATGGATGGAGGGAGGGAGGGATGGATGGAGGGATGGAGGGAGGGAGGGATGGAGGGATGAGTGGGTGAGTGGATGGAGGGAGGGATGGATGGAGGGATGGATGGGATGGATGGAGGGAGGGAGGGATGGATGGAGGGATGGGATGGGATGGGATGGGATGATGGAGGGAAAGAAGGAGGGAGGGAGAGGAGGGGAAGGGAGGGGAGGGGATATAAGGTAGGGTATTGGAATGGAATGGGGAGGAAACAGCAGATAACAGGGACCTCTACAAAACCAGCATCACTTTCTCATCTCTTTCCACCATTTATGAATTGAGATGCTGCTACCAAGCACTGGCATGTACAGGGCACAGAATAAGCCCAGGAGTACCAGGAGTTGTTGCTGACTCCTTTGACCATCGTAACACCCCAGAATGCAGAGCAGCCATCATCACCCATTTCACAGGTGGATAAACTGAAGCCCAGAACTGTGATGTTACCTGGCCAAAGTTGCCTAGCCAGCCGAGTGGTGGCACAGCCAGAGCCAGAGCTTGTTCCCTGCGGGAGGTCACAGGAACCCAGCTCAGGACATGGACTTTATCTTACAGGGAACTAGAGCAGGATCCAAAAGATGTGGGAAAAGGGGAAAGAGAGGTGGAAAATAGTGGGTGTGGACACACCAGGGGCATGGAAGGGAGAAGAAACAGGAGAGCTGGGGGAAAAGGAGGCTGGAGGCAGGCTTACCTGTTGGAGAGGGTGCACCTGGACATTGGTGGAAAGCCAAGGCCCCCCAGCCATTTGGAAGATGTGCAGGAGGGAGGGAGGCAGCGGCTGCCTGAATCGGAGCTCTGGAGTGAAACCACCCTGCGCTTTTATCCTCAGCAGCCAGGTGACCTTGGGCAAGTTCTTTGGACTCTCTGAGCCTTCACTTCCTCGTCTGTAAAATGAGGGAGATGGTAGTAGCTGCTTCACGGGGATGCTGTGGGAATTAGCGAGATGATGTCACTCACATGCACAGCTCAGAGTCACCACCCAACCAACAATGGCAGTTATCATTGATGCGAAGAGTGAGGCTGAGCCCACGGCAGGGGCGAAGGCCCAGCCTTCCGCCCTCAAGTGCACTGAGGGGCGCACTCCATGTTGTCATGCCAGCAGAGGAACCAGCAAGGCTCTACCTGTGTGGCAGGCCAGGAGGAAAACACCCTGCGTTTTTCCTAGAGGAAAAGTTTCCACCGGAAGAGAGCCTCTTGGCCTGACAGCCAGGCTCCTTCCCTCACAAGATGGAGGAGCTGGGTGATGTGTCCCAGCTCTGTCACTTCCTACCATACACAAGTCATGGGTCCTCTCTGAACCTCAGTATCCTCATCTGTAAAATGGGCTGCTTTGAGGATTATAGAGAATCTTTAAACAAACAGTATTGGTATTAATTTTAATCAGGGAGGCAAAATAAAGTGGAGATAGCCCAGACTCTGATCTCAGATAGATCAGGGCCGAAAAACCCCAGCTCCCCCAAAAAGCCGCTGAGCAGCCATGGGCAAGTTTCTCAGCCTCTGTTTCCTAATCCTTGTGGAATAAATAACTGAGATGGATGCGAAGCCCTTAGTTCAGTCTGGGATGTAGTAAGGACTTTTAAAAATGGTTGCTGTTGTTATTACTGCCTGTCTGTTTCACTCAGCTGGAGCCAGCCCCTGGCCTGACCTTGCTTCCTATCTCATCATGCTCATGTCCCTAACTTTCCAGCCCAGTGTGGCCTGAAAGCTGTCTTTGTGGGGCAGCCACCCAAGCCCAACCGCAGCGTTTGTCCCCTCAGTGCCACTGCTATAAACAGGACTGAGGCAGTGTAAGTAAACACCCACTCCCTGGTGGCCCTGGAGGCCACCTGCCTTGCAGGAGGTCAGTTGGAGGGGGGCAGCTGGTTTGATGGAAACAACAAGAGAACCAGGGAAAGGGCAGACCACCAAAGACCCTCTGCGAGCAGAGCCACAGTGGGGGTGCTGAAGCCAGAGGGCATGTAGCCTGCACCCCTGCTTCTGCCTCCCCCACCCCTGCTGAGCCTGGCCATCACCCTACCCTGGGTTCTTTGCTCTTCTTCCAATTCGGCAGTGACCTCCCCAGAGTGAGCACCTGCCTCTCTGTGCTCTCGGAGTGCCTGTCCCCCAGGTGAGGTCACAACGCAGCATTGGCAACGGGATGACCAGGCACCTCACATGCACTTTCACCTTTAATATGCCATCCCATGTGATCACAGATCACAGACAAAGAAACGGAATCTCCGGGAGATAAATAGCCCCAAATCTCAGAGCTGGTAAGACACAGGGCTGGGATTGGAATCCAACTCTGGCTCCAAACCTCAGCTCTCACCGCTGCTTCTCGCTGGAAAATCACTTCTGCCAGCCCCGGAGCCAACCCTCTGGGAGCTTCCCAGACTCTAGTTTACCCCTCTTTGGCCAACACCCCCAGTGAAATAGAGCGTGTTTATGGAATGACTTTACGAATGGATACAGAAACAAGAATTTGAGTGGGAAAATACTCTCTGAAGGAGGAGATGGATTGAATACCTATCAGTGCTCTGCACGCTGCTTTGCAAACACTCATTCATTTCACCGCCAAACCACCCAATAAGGCGAGTGTCCTGATTTTCATTTTACAGTGGAAGAAAAGGAGACTAGAGATTAAGAAATATGCCCAAAGGTCAGACTTAGGAGGCTGATGTGGGGACCCAGGGCTGGAATGCTGGCACCTCACTCTGCCATGGTCAGGAGCATAGGATGAGACCACTCGAGTACAGGCCCCAGGTGCCTTCCGTTCTGTGCAGCTGACACCCCGTGCAGACCTGGCACAGCATTGGTGATCACAAGTTTGGCCCGTGAATGAACACACAGGTAGATAAAGTGATGACCTCTTAGGCTTCTTGAACTTCCAGAAGCATAGTACAGGTGTTAAAAGCATGGACCCTGGAGCCACATTGCCTGGATTCACAATCCTGGCAGCCCCCTACCAGCTGTGTGTTCTTGAGTGAGTTACTTCATTCTTCTGTCCTCCAGTTTTCTCATCTGTAATATGGGGTTATAGTAGTGCCTGCCTCATAAGGTTGATAGGAAAATCCAATGAGTAGTCAGTATTCATAACACCTTAAAACATTTCCTGGCACAATTAATTGCTGGCACAAGATAAGTGTCAATAAGTGTTAAAATCTCTCTTACATATTTATTTAAGAATTTATAACTCAACTCTATAGCTGTCTCAATTTGTTTTTGGAACAAGTCATGATTGAGTGTACCTTTAAAATTAGGCATTTATCTAAGCTAGTAGCTGACCAAGCTGATATAAACATGGTCTCTTGGTTGCTTCTGGATTTGGATACATTTGCACAAACTCTTCATTTGTTTCATATAGGAGATAGACATCAGGACTCCATCATGAACATTTGGTGGGATAGGGCAGGGGTGGGTGTCGCCAGTTAGACTTGGCCCATGAGTCAAAGCTTTGCTATCTTTCTCTTTAAGTTGAAACAACATGAAAGGAATAATTTTAAATGCCAAAGCTTTTAATGTTCTGTGTTGCTAGGGAAAAACATAAAGCAGAGCTTCTCAGAAGCCCCAGGGTGAAGACAAAAATGGAAGTGACTAGTAGGTGCTAGAAAAATGTCATTCCCAGGAGGAAGTTCAGCACATGGTTGGGGTGTGGGGTGGCCCGGGGAGCTGTTCCACCACGAGAACAGGGGAAGGACCTGCAGACCTTGCCACAGGAGCCAGCAGAGACCCAAGGCAGCACCTGCTCATTGATCCCACACAGGCACATCATCTGTACCTCTGGGATCCCAGCCCTGAGGTCACTAAGTGCCACCCCAGCCTTTAAGGAACTCAAGATCAGATGCAGAAATGATAGCGCAGCAACACCTCATGGGCACACTATGGCCCTGCTTCCACTTGTGCCATAAAAGGATGAAGAAGATGTTCTCAACCAGGATCTTCTGAGGGAGAATATACATTTTTAAAAAATTGAAAAAATTATTTTGTTAGAATGATTGGGCTGGAAGGTAAGAGCCTAAGAACACGTGCACATAAAAACAGAAATGACAAAATGGCACAGGGACTGGGAAATAAGGAGACAAGGAGAGGGAGGTATCTTTTCCCATGTGGAAGGGAAGGAGAGTGAGGACTGGCTAGGAAATGGTGGCCCGGGAAATAAGTGCACCCTAGAGGCCCTGCGGGGAAGGACCAGAGGGACAGCCTGCTGGGAGATGACCAAGGAGAATATGGTGACAGAACTTTCAGAAAGGACACCTTTAGGCTTTATGTTGTGGGGCATGCAATGCAACCCCAGACATCTGGCCCACTTCCTAAAACATGAGTAAAGTCCACACTGATCACCACTGCTTATGTGTGAGTAGATGGTTTTGAGGGCACTCAAGAGAGGCTGAGTCTTATTTTAAAAAATTAATTTCTGCTACATGCTGTACATTATTCTTTGTGCTTTCCGTGGATTGATGCATTTAATCCTCACCACAGTCCTACGAGGCTAGGCCTATCATTATCCCCATTTGCAGGTGAGGAAAGTGAGGTGCCAAGAGGGAAATATCCTACCCAAGGCTCACAGTGAGTGGATGGCAGAGCTGTGATTTCCAACCTGGGCAAAAAGGATCCCTGCCCCAGGCTGCTCACATTAGAGGGCCTGATACTGTCCCCCTCTGGACATGCCTCTTTCCAGGCAGCAAGGGCCAATGGATGTGCCCACCTGCATCCAATTTCCTCCGCCCTAACTGGGTACTCGGTACCCCAGAATTCTCTACCCAGATGGATCTGTCAGGTAAGACCAGGTTGACCCTATCAAAGTATGTTGGGAGGGAGGGACACAAAGCACTGCACAGAGAAACTCACTGTCTTAGTCTGCCTGCACTGCTGTAACAAAATACCATGGACTGGGTGGCTTCAACAACAGACATGTACCTTCGCTCAGTTCTGTGGGAACTGAGAAGCCCAAGATCAGGGCACCATGGCTGGGTTCTGGTGAGGGCTCTCTTCCCGGCTTGCAGACGGCTGCCTCCTCACTGTGTCCACACATGGGGGAGAAAGAGAGCACACACACAAGTTCTCTGGCATCTCTTATTAGGATACCAATCCTACAGCATCAGGACCCTACCCTTATGACCTCATTTAACCTTAATTACATCCAGAAAGTCCCCATGTCCAAATACAGGGATTAGAGCTTCAACGTATGAAGGGACACAAATATTCTGTCCATAATACTTGCCTCTAAAACATGTAAGTGTCTAGGTCAGTAGTCACTGATTTGGGCTCAAAACCTAATAGTTGATGGAGGTGGTGGCCCTAGAACTATGATAGCTGAAGCTGAAAGCTACTCAGGGTCTCATTTGGGGGAATAATGTCTGAACATCAACCAAGGGAGCCAACTTTGGACCCCAAATGTGGGACACCACTGCAGAAACGAGAGATACAAAAGAGTGAAGATCTCAACAAAGCAGTGTGAATGTCCATGGAGCTGTGCAGGACTGGTGTTCAACAGTGCCACCTTGTGGTGAAGAGAAGCAGGCACAATGGAAGGCTGATTGCAGTTTTTCTCTACATCTGGTATTTCAGAAATAAGACTAAGTAAGGCCTCAGGGGGTATTGGAAAATTCAAAAGCAAGATATTAAACTTTATAATAACAGTGTGTGAGGGGGAGAGAGGACTCAGTGATTAATTAGAATAAAACAGAGATATGACTAGATTTCATACCCCAAGCTATAGGTCAGACCAGTTGTACAGGAAATGAATGTATCTCCAGAGCTGTTAAGCTCCTTGGTGATAAAAGCTTTTCAGCTGTTCAGATTGGCTGATCTTAACGTATCTTAATGTATCCGCAGCACATAAAAGCATAGGCACACCTAAATATCCACAAACTAGAAGGCAAGACTTTAGGGTTCTCTCACAAACGAAAATGCCTCAAATACTTTCTAAAATGTGAAAAAAATTAAGGTCTACCTGTGGTAAATTACCATGTTTGGATTTGTGGGAAAATTGGGATTTTTTAAAACCATCTCAATACTCTGTTGAATTGTGTACTTTAAAAAAAAAATAGTAGAAATGGAGAACAGGTTAGCTTTTTAAGAATCAAGAGCAGGAGGTCTGTGTCAAAAGAGGAAATCTATCCTTCCCCATTTACTATTTGTTTTTTGCAATCTGCTATTTTTCAGGCATTTTGCATATACCACTTCATGTCATCTCTGCCTGCAGTTAGAGAAATTGATGGAGAGATTACAGTGATAGATCTGGGATTCCAATCCAGCCTTGTCTGACTGCAAAGCCACAGCTGCCTTGGCGCCGCTCTGCCTGTCTCTCTGTAAAGGAGGGAGGCCTGCAGCGAGCATGAGTGAGAAGCACCAACTGCATGCTGATTTCATATGTCTCCTAGAAGAGCCATGGCTCTCAGGCCCACTTATCTGATACTTCTCAATTCAGAATGCAGGAATGCAGGGATCTCAGCTCTAAATCTGTCTACAGACAATCATCAGAAAATATTTTCTGTCCAGTTTGAAAGGATGTGTGCACAGGGCATGTGACCTCAGCAAGAAACTCGCCTCTCAGTGCATCTGCAGAGAGCTCAAGGACAGAATGACCCAGAAGGCAAGGTCCCCTGTGGCCTGCGTGCCGGTGTGTGGGCGGCAGCTCCGGGTCCGGGACGGCTCTGAGGAAGGATGGCGATGTCACTTTAACAAATGAAACCTCAGTCTCCCCTTCTGGAAACAGACTTCAATCCTCAGGGGACACCAACTCAGTTGGCAGGGACTGCTCGACCTTGGCTGTGGTCTCCCTGAATTCGTGAAACATTCACCACAAATGGGCTCCACAGTCAAAAGGACAGACCCTTAAGTGCCCGTAAAGTTCCCCGGGGGCCGAACAAACTTTGGCAATTGCAGCATTTCATTAGATGGCTTGCTCTCCGCAGTAAAAATAACCTTTTTATTTTGTAGCCAGATCTTGTTTTTCCCAAATTGCTTTTGCCTTTCATTAAAGATCCAAAACTAGAAGAGTTCTTTCTTCCCTCCCAGAGTGGAAAAATTCTTGGTGGTTTTTTCCCCAGAGCTGGGACCTGTTCACAAGTCCCAAGGACCCCATTTCTCCTGACCAGGTGATGCTGGGGCATTCTCTGGGGAACATGTTCCTGAGGACTTCCCTACAGTAGGTCTGGGCACACAGCTTAGCGCCCGTCACTCATTCAGAGAGAGGAGGGAGGAGGAGAGACACTTTTGAAACAGATGATTTTGCTGTGGTCTTATAACCATATGACTCTTTTTAAAAATAGTCTGCTCAGAACAAAAGAAGGAAAACTTTTCCACTATTGTTTAGGAGGCTCACCAATATATTATTTCAAGATTCTGGGGCATGTTAATGGGATCTGAGGTACAATTGAGACAGCCTGGAGCAGTGACATCGGTGGGCTGCCCAGCTTTCGCCGTGCTGGTGAGCAAGCAGGAGGGAAGGCACAGCCACCACCTGCATGTGCCCTAGCTTGCGAATTCTCCTTCCTCTTTTCTCTTTTCCTTCTAGATTTGCACCATCCCTTCATTTCCCTAAAGGGTAGAAGAGCAATTCCAAGCTTGGAGACATTTCTCCCCCATGCCATCCCCATTGCCCCCTGCTTTGGTTTGTAACAGATTTTAAATGAATGGTTCAAATATCACAGGCAGAAGAATTCCGAATAATCATGGAGCTACTTAATGTAGCCATCTTCAACCAGGAGGAACATGACTCCCACTCCTTAAATATTGGCCACGTATAGTGACTTCCTTCCAAAGAGTATGTATAGAAAGGCGGGCAAAGAGTCACTTTGCAATGGAGAAACCTGACAGACACTACCTCAGCCAGGTGGTCAGCATCAACAGTGATAGGTCATGCTGATAGTCTGTACCCTTGATAGAATGTGATGTGAATGGAACTTAACCTCTGTGATTCTCCACCCCCAAACCTATTACCCCAGTCTAATCATAAGAAAAATAGCAGACACGTTTCTAGTCGAGGGACATTCTACAAAATATCTGACGAATACTCCAACACTGTCAAGGTCATCAAAACAAGGAAAGTCCAAGAAACTGTCACAACAAAGAGAAGCCCAAGGAGACATGGTGACAAAATGTGGTGTGGAATCTAGATGGGATCCTGGAACAGAAAAAGGACATGAGGGAAAAACTCAAGAAGTCTGAATTAACATTAGTTCCTAACATGTACCAACGTTCATTCATTAATTGTGACACATGTACAATAATAATATAAGGTTTTAATAGTGGGACATGTGGGAAGGCATCTGTATTGTCTTTGCAATTTTTCTGTAAATTGAAACTTTGCAAATTAATTTTTTTAAATCAATGGTTTGATTTCATCTTTGCCTTACTTCATTCCCTTTTTTTTTTTTTTTTTTTTTTTGAGACAGAGTCTCATTCTGTTGCCCAGGCTGGAGTGCAGTGGTGCAATCTCGGCTCACTGCAATCTCCACCTCCCAGATTCAAGCAATTCTCATGCCTCAGACTCCCAAGTAGCTGGGATTACAGGTGCCTGCCACTATGCCCAGCTAATTTTTTTTTATTTTTAGTGGAGACAGGGTTTCACCAGTTTTGGCCAAGCTGGTCTCAAACTCCTGAACTCATGATTCGCTTCCCTCAACCTCCCAAAGTGCTGGGATTACAGGCATGAGCCACTGCGCCTGGCCACATCCCCTTCTTACCAGCCTTGGCATCTTGATGATGATAAGCTTATTTTGCTCTCCCACTTTAGGGGTATTTACATAAGGTGTGAGGTAGGGGTCTAACTTTATTCTTTTGCATGTGGATATCTAGCTATCTCAACTCCATATGTTGAAAATAGTCTTCTTTCCACATTTAATTAGCAAGTTTGTAAAAAATCAGTTGACTGTAAATTTGAGGGTTTATTTCTGGAGTTTCAATTCTATTCCATTGATCTGTATGTCTGTCCTTATGACTATATTACACTGTCTTGATTGCTATAGCTTTGTAGTAAGTTTTGAAATCAAGAAGTATGAGTCCTCCAATCTTGTCCTTATTTTTCAAAATTGTTTCAACTACTTGAGGTCCCTTGCATTTCCGTACAAATTTTAGGATCAGTTTGTTGATTTCTTCAAAGAAGCTAACTGGGATTTTGATAGTGATTATTTTGAATCAATAGATCAGTTTTGGGAATATCACTATCTGTATTAGTTTGCAAGGGTAGCCATAATGAAGTACCACAAACTGGTTGACTTAAACAACAAAATATTATTCTTTTAAAAATATTATTATTTAAAATATTATTCTTATTTAAAGTTCTGGAGCCTAGAATTGCCAGGTCAAGGTGTTGGTACAATTGAGCAATGTGAGGGAGAATCTGTTCCATGCCGTTCTCCTTTATCTTCTGATGCTTTACTGGCAGTATTTGGTGTTCCTTGGCTTTTAGATGTATCAACCCAATCTCTGCCTTCATCTTTGCATAGTGTTCTCCCTGTGTGCATGTCTGTCTGTGTGTCTAAGTTTCCCCTTTCACCAGTTATACTGGATTAGAGCCCACTTTAATGATCTGGTCTTCACTTGATCAGCTGCAAAGATCCTATATCCAATAAGATCACCTTCATAGGTATACTAGGGGTTAAGACTAACTTCAACAAAATTTTGGAGATCACAGTTTAATCCATGGTACCATCTTAACAATATTAAGTCTTCCAATCCATGAACATGAGATGTCTTTCCATTTTTTTAGGTCTTGTTTAATTTCAATCAACAATGTTTTATAGCTTTCAGAGTATAAGTTTTGCACTTATTTTGTTAAGTATTTTCTTGGTGTTTTATTGTTTTTGATGCTATTATTGTAAATTGAGGTTTTTAAAATTTTGTTTTTCTTTTACGCATTACTGTTGTATCAAAATACAATGAATTTTTGTATATTAATCTTGTATCCTGCAACCTTGCTGAGCTCATTTATTAGTTCTAATAGTTTTCTAGTGCATTCCTTAGGTTTTTTTTAATCTGCAAGTATGGATAGCTTACTTCTATTCTGATGTGGATGCCTTTTATTTCCTTTTCTTTCCTATTAATTTTCTTTTGTCTTGATTTCTGTATCAAGACAATTTTCTTTTTCTTCATGTGGTACACATTTGTGTAAGCCATCCCAAATTATTTTTGGAACAAGATAGGATCTAAATTAACACACTTAAAAAATAGAACTTATGCTCTATTCATATAGTCTTTTTTCTCTCAACTAATTCAGAGGTATCGAATTTTGACAATAATTTTTTTCTGTGAAGAAATTTTAGGGAAAAAATTCCTGATGTTCTAGTAATTTAATTATCTACAAAAATGTTGATAGCAACCATTATTCTTCAAAATGCTGCTTTGGAAAAAGGATAATATATAAGTAGATTTCACCCTGGAAAAAAAACACTAAATATTTAAATATATATTATAATAGCATCATGTTATCATATTATCATTAAGAAGGCTACAGAAACTCCGAGTTCATGAAGTAGGTCTTTCTTGTGCTGTTCTCATGATGGTGAATAAGTCTCATGAGGTCTAATGGTTTTATAAAGAGGAGTTCCCCTGCACAAGCTCTCTCTCTTTGCCTGCCACCATCCACGTAAGATGTGAGTTGCTCCTCCATGCCTTCCACCATGATCGTGAGGCCTCCCCAGCCATGTAGAACTGTAAGCCCATTAAACCTCTTTCTTTTGTAAATTGCCCAGTCTCAGATATTCTTTATCTCAGTGTGAAAATGGACTAAGATAGTAAATTGGTACTAGTAAAGTGGGACACTGCTGAAAAGGTACCTGAAAATGTGGAAGCAACTTTAGAACTGGGTAACAGGCAGAGGTTGGAACAGTTTGGAGGGCTCAGAAGAAGAAACTAAAATATGGGAAAGTTTGGAACTTCCTAGAGACTTGTTGAATGGCTTCGACCAAAATGCTAATAATGATATGGACAATAAATCCAGGCTGAGGTGGTCTCAGATGGAGATCAGGAACTTATTGGGAACTGGAGCAAAGGTGATTCTTGTTATGTTTTAGCAAAGAGACTGGTGGCATTTTGCCCCTACCCTAGAGATTTGTGGAACTTTGAACTTGAGAGAGATGATTTAGGGTATCTGGCAGAAGAAACTTCTAAGCAGCAAAGCATTCAAGAGGTGACTTGGGTGCTGTTAAAGGCATTCAGTTTTAAAAGGGAAACAGAGCATAAAAGTTTGGAAAATTTACAGCCTGACAATGCAATATAAAATAAAATCCCATTTTTTGAGGAGAAATTAAAGTTGGCTGCAGAAATTTATTTGCATAAGTAACGAATGAGGACCCGAATGTTAATCGCCAAGACAATGAGGAAAATATTTCTAGGTCATGTCAGAGACCTTTGTGGCAGCCCTTCTCATCACAGGCCCAGAGGTTTAAGAGGAAAAAATGGTTTTGTGGGCCAGGTCCAGGGTCCCTCTGCTGTGTGCAGTCTAGGGACTTGATGCCCTGTGTCCCAGCTGCTCCAGCCATGACTAAAAGGGCCAAGGTACAGCTCAGCCTGTTGCTTCAGAGGGTGGAAGCCCCAAGCCTTGGCAGCTTCTATGTGGTGTTGTGCCTGTAGGTGCACAGAAGTCAAGAATTGAGGTTTGGGAACCTCTGCCTAGATTTCAGGGGATGCATGGAAATGCATGGATGTCCAGGTAGAAGTTTGCTGAAGGGGCGGGGCTCTTATGGAGCACCTCTGCTACAGCAGTGCAGAAGGGAAATGTGGGGTCAGAGCCCCCACACAGAGTCCCTACTGGGGCTCTGCCTAATGGAGTTGTGAGAAGAGGGCCATTGTCCTCCAGACCCCAGAATGGTAGATCTACCAACACCTTGCACCATACTCCTGGAAAGGCTGCAGGCACTCAACAGCCCATGAAAGCAGCCAGGAGGGAGGCTATACCCTGCAAAGCCACAGAAGCAAAGCTGCCCAAGACCATGGGAACCCACCTCTTGCATCAGCATGACCTGGATGTGAGACATGAAGTCAAAGGAGATCATTTTGGAACTGTAGGATTTGACTGCCCCACTGGATTTCAGACTTGCATGGAGTCTGTAGCCCCTTTGTTTTGGCCAATTTCTCCCATTTGAAATGGCTGTATTTACTCAATGCCTGTACCCCCATTGTAGCTAGGAAGTAACTAATTTTTTTTTTTTATTTTACAGGCTTATAGGTGGAAGGGACTTGCCTTTTCTCAGATGAGACTTTGGACTGTGGACTTTTGAGTTAATGCTGAAATGAGTTAAGACTTTGGGGGCCTGTTGGGATGGCATGATTGGTTTTGAAATGTGAGGACATGAGATTTGGGAAGGTCCAGGGGCAGAATGATATGGTTTGGCTGTGTCCCCACCCAACTCTCATCTTGAATTGTAATTCCCACAATTCCCACATGTCATGGGAGGGACCCAGTGGGAGTGAATTGAATCATGGGGGTGGGTCTTTCTTGTGCTGTTCTCATGATAGTGAGTAAGTCTCATGAGATCTGATGGTTTTATAAAGAGGAGTTCCCCTGCACAAGCTCTCTCTTTGCCTGCTGTCATCCTTGTAAGATGTGACTTGCTCCTCCCCACCTTCCACCATGATTGTGTGACCTCCCCAGCCATGTGGACTATAAGTCCATTAAACCTCTTTTTCTTCCCAGTCTCAGGTATGCCTTTATCAGCAGCATGAAAACAGGCTAATATATACCCCCAAAGTTAGATACTTTATCATATTACAGTTGTGTGGATTTGGATTTGCAGGACTCAGCTGGTTGATTCTCTTGATGAATGTGGTGCCAACGGAGGTCACTCCATGGTAATCAGCCTGTAGGTGTGCTGGGCTGGTCTAGAGATCCCAGGATGGCTTCACTTACATGTCTGGTGACATTGGCTGGTGGGGGCTGGCTGCAAGGCTGGGCTCAGCTAGGACCACAAACAGAGCTCCTGAACATGGTTTCAGCAACCTGGTGGTATTAGGGCAGTTGATTACATGGCAGCTTCAAGCTCCCAGAGAGTGTCCTAAGAGAGGTGAAGTGAACTGCCACCCTCTAAAAAGCCCAGGCCTGGAAACTGACAAGCACCACTTCTGCTGTATTCTGTTGGTCAAGTAGTCACAAGCCTGCCCAGGGCACCCCACCTCACCTCTCCATGCAGGGAGTGACAAGGAATTTGGGACCATCTTCAATCCACTACAGTCCCCATTCTCCACTTGCAGTCCGAATTCCCCCACAGGCAGCCTTTCTGTGTATCTGATGTGCGTCCTTGAATTTGAACATAGTGTCTAACGTAAGCTACCTAAATCTGTGTGGACATCCCCTTCCTTGCTTCTGACTGATAGATGCTTCTCCAAGGTGTACACCCACCACATTTACTTCTGTCTTCCCCAGGGATGGGTGCCTGAGTGGCCAACGCCCCTGCCAGAAACAATGCTGAATGAGCACCTCCCCACATGCCCCTTTTGGACAAAAAGTGTCTCTGCGCCGCATACCGAGGAGTGGCATTGCTGTGGGCAGAAGACTTACGCAGTCGACTTGAACCAGCACCATCAGACAGCCTCCGGAGTGGCTGCACCTTCTCATACTCCCTTGCAGAGAACAAGGGTTCCTCTTCCCCCCCTACTCCAGCTAACACTTGGCATTAGCTGACTTTCTAATTTTTGCTGACCTGATGAGTGTACAGAGTAAAGTTTCATGTTGAACTTTTAAAACAAAGGGGGAAAATACAGAGGGAAAAGAATAGGAAGGAAAGTGGTTAGGAGGGAAGGAAATGGCAGCTGGCTAAGTGGGAAGAATTGGGAAGTCAAGTTTTCTGGACTGCACAGTACCCTACAGAATCCTAGGGGCCATCAGAGCAGCTGCAGGTCACCTTGTGGAAAAGTGCAAAATACAGTTTAGACATTTGGAATTTGGCTTCCTGGCAGCCTGGCTGGAAGGTGTTGGTTCCACAGGGCCAAGGCTGGCTGTGCCTGCCTCCCTCTGGGTCCTGGAAGCTGAGGGAGGTGGACCAGCCTCCAGCTCCCAGGTTCTTATGCTCCTCCTATTTATCTCTCAGTCCTTTCCTGGCAGCCAGAGAGTCCATCTTTAGCGGGGACCTGTACAGTATTGTTTTAATCTTCAGCTCTCTCTGCTTCCTCTCTGTTCCCTTCCTCCCTTCCTCTTCTCCTTGTCTACCACACAGAACAGATGTGGAAAAAGCCAGGCCTTTAGGAACATCTGCTGAGACACCAGCTGCCTTCCTCCTGGGCTAAGGAAACTGTGACCCCTCTGATTATTGGGTTTCATCCAAGGACCTCAGTTCTCTGGCCAGAATATTTGCATCGAAGTCAGCAAGGTCTTCTAGCTATTTAAGAGAATTTGCTAAATCCCTGAAGATCTGTACATATAGAAGGAAGGGAGAGATGCTATTTTTTAAACATTGGCTGCAGTTGGAGCTGGCTGGCCCAGAAGTGCAGAATTCCCAATGCTTCCCAAGGAGCATGCATCACTCTCGGAAATACCTGGACACATAGGAGAGGTATAGGAAAAATGAGTTGAGTTGTTCTGATTAAGAAAGGAACTGCAATTTGGAACTTGATCAGCAGCTGCATGCTGACTGCTAGAGGAAGAAGGGTTTGTTTCTGTTTTTGTTTCTTTGTTTTTTTGGGAGGGGACAAAGTGATTTCTGAAAGAGAATGAGAGGGCCTAGAAGTAAAAATGAGGCAGAGGGAATTGGAGGAGGAAATGGCCAGTGATAAATTCCTCCTAGCAGGAGTTCCCCGCCCAGATGGGGACTTCAGTGTAGAATCATTTACTTTGGGGATGACACCTCTTGTTAACTGCAGACCTGCAGGAAACATCTGCTAAACTTGACAGCTGTGAGCTGCTGGTGGTCATTGAAAGACCAGCATTAAGTTGACAGGCAGAAAGAAAACACAGTCCCGGGGGAAGAAAGGAATGAGATGGGAGTGCTCAGTGTGAACAGGAAATCAGAGCCAGGGATGACCAGTAAAATATAAGCCCTGGGGGAATCTAGAAACATCTTGGAAAGGGCCCAAGGCTTTTCCATAACATGTGGACTGGGAGGCTCTCGGGAAGGACCCCAGACTGGTGAACTTGGGAATATGCAAGCTGAAGGCATCTGGGATACACGAGTGGGTGCACACACGCACATGCGCACACACGCACATGCACACTCACACGCACACATGCACACACTGCAGATCCCCTAGAGTAGTGGTCCTCAACCTTGGCTGCACATTTGAATTGCCTGGGGCTTTAAAAAATGCCAGAGCCTACCCTCACCCCAATGCCACCAAACCAATGACATCAGAATCTGTGGGAATCAGACCCACACGTCAGGTTTTCAAAGCTCCCAGGGCTGAGCAGCATTGTTCTACAGCCTGACAGCTCCAGCTGCCTGGAGAGCAGATGCCATTTACAGTCTCCTGCAACCAAAGACTCGCCTGAACCATCGTGCCCTTCCATCACACACCATACCCAGGCCTTCTCCCTTCCTTTCTCACCACCTCCCCTACCCGCTTCCCAACAGATCTCCTCCCACAGTCACAAGATAAGACACAGGCGCCCAGTGGAATTTAAGCCTGAGAGAAACCACAAATAATTTTGTTTAATATAAGTATGAGTTGTGTAAAATTAGTAGATGTCATGCAACATACTCATACTAAAAGTTATTTGTGATTTCTCTAAAATTCAAATTTAACCAGGCATCCTGTGTTTTTAGTTGCTAAATCTGACAATCCTAGATAGAGACAACTTAAAAACAAATAGAGAGTGTCCTTCCTCGACAAGGGACAGAGATCTGGTACCACCACTAGCACTAGACCCAGAGTCAAAGCCCAGGGCTCCTGGGCTGAGGCCCCTGGGAGAATCAGCAAAGCTTTTCGCCTTCCCCACACGTGCTGTGGGCGCGCAGTACTGCAAGTTATCACCACCAGAGGGCGCACTCTGAGTAGGCGGGAGGAGCCCGCAGGGACAAGACCCCAATCCACAGATGCTTAGAGAGACAGTGAGGGCGCAATCCCCAAAGGAGCATTAGTGTTCAACTGGTGGGGTCCAGGGACATTTCTTCCTCTTCTAAACTAAATGATCCCGAAGACACCTGAGATTCAATGAGAGAGAAGGGTGAGCCCGGGGTAGAATGGTAAGACTCAAAACCTGGCAGGTTTCTTTTACAGTGATTTATTGCTTTGATTTTTAAAAATTGCACAAATAAAATAGACCATTCAGAATTAAACGTGGAAGTCCTCCTTTTAATGTCCCCATTCACCTGCCTCGCATGTGTGTCATGGATCTTCCTAGATCTACTTCTACGCACGTGAGTGCGTGTGTGTGTGTGTGAGTGTGTCTGTGTGAGTGTGTGTGTATGTGTGTGTAATATGGGTTTGTTGGTTAAATTCTTTACACAAATCCCATCAGAATATGTATGTAGATAATTTCTAGAAATTTCTTTTTTCATCTAATAGATTTTGAGGAGGATCACTCTGTGACATAGGCAATATTAATTTCATTTACTCTTCACAATGACCCTATGAGGTAGGGGCTAGTGTTATCGTCCGTTATACAGATGGAGAAACTGTGACACAGAAAGGCTAAGTGAGTTGCACAAGATCACACAGCAAGTAAGTGGCAAAGCTGGGATTGAAACCTAGGCTATCTGGCTTTGGAGCACGAATGCTTAATCACTCTTCTGCAATACTTGGCTTTAACCACTGCATCACAGTCTAGCCTAGAGATGGACCATAGTATATTTATAACCACTGCCCTTTTGATCCATATGCAGGCTGTGTCCAGGGTTCCACTAGTATAAAAAAGGATGCAGAGAAGAGCTTTGTGCAGCAGCCAGAGGGGTTCTTGCAGGGTAGTGGCCCAGCTGTGGAGTATGCACAGGTTACATTCCAATAAATACTGTTAGATTTTATTCCCAAGAGGTTGAAACTTTCCCATTCCCAGCAGTTGTGTTAGTGTGCCCATCCCCCTTGGTGCCATCGAGGGCATGCAGGCAGAAGGAACAGCCTGTGGAGAGGGGCGTGGATATGGTTTGGGGAATGGCAAGAAGTCCAGTGAGGCTGAAGGTTGGGTTGTAGTTGCTGGTTGCGAATGTAATCTATTTTATGCTCTGCAAATTTGATACACGATACCACGATATTTCATTGTAGTTTTTGTTTGCATTTCCCCAATTACCAGGAAGCAATATCATCTTTTTGTGTGTTTATGAGCCATTTGTGTTTTTTCTTCTGTAAACTTTATGTTCATATTTTTACACTTTCCCAATGGGATGTTTATCTTCTTGGTTTGTAGGTGCTCTAGTATTATGGGATGTTAGTCTTTTGTCAGTTACATTTGCACGAATATTATCTCATGGCGTGTTGCTCTTACAAACTCAAGTTTTTAGATAGTAACCTGGATTGTCAAATGCGACAAGACGGTTTCTCAGTCACAGCTGTGGAATGTGTAACGAGACAACCTCTCTGAAGGGCAGCTTGGTAATAGATACCAAATGTGCTTTAAATCGTGTACACTTGCTGATGCTGGTATTCTATATCCATCCTAAGGAAAGATCAGGGATAAAGACAGCAAGTTAGCTCTGAAGATGGTCATTCCAGTTTTGTTAATGATGTAACAATTTGAGAACCTTTACATGTCCAGTAATAGCGCATTGGAAAAATCAATTACATCTTAATCACTGGCAGGAATATAATGTTACCATGAAAAAAGATGCAATAAAACTGTGTTTTTGACTGTACTAGTAAATGAAAAAATTGATAGCATGAAAGATTTTGTCCAGTATTATTCCATTTTTGTAAAAATGTTTAAAGTTCAGGCTGATAAGATATACCCCAAAATGTTGATAATGATTTTTCTCTGCATGGAGCTATTATGGGGTAATCTTTACTGTCTTATTTTTGCTACTCTAAATTTTTTTTAAATTTCTACAAATAATATTAATTACTTTTATAATAAATATATATTTTTAAAATTATACATACATATATATATACACACACGTATGCATATATTTATACCTAATTTTTTCTTTTGACTATTGGTGGTAGACAGCTCCCAGATGATCCACAGGCCCTCAGTGAAACTTACCTCCTGTTATTCATGCTTTTGTGTCCTCTTTTCTCAAACTGAATCAGAGCTGGTCAGTGTTACCAGTAGAATACTGCAGAAGTGATGGTGTGTCACATCCAAGGCTAAGTCATAAGGGCATTGTGACTTCAACCTTTGCTCTTGGATCACTTGCCCTGGGGAAGCAGCTACCATGTTGTGAGGCTGCTCAAGTAGCCTTGTGGAGAGGTCCACCTGGAGAGAAAACAAGGCCTTTGCCGCAGCCGGCACCAACTTGCCAACCATCTGAGTCAGCCACCTTGGAAGTGGATCCTCCAGCCTCATTCCAGCCTTCAGATGACCACTGTCCCAGCTCATATCTAGACTGCAACCTCATGAGAGACCTGGAGCCAGAACACCCAGCTAAGCTGTTCCTGAATTCCCGACTCACAGAGACTGTGAAAGATAATATATGTTTGTGTCTGTTTTAAGTCACTAAGTTTTGGCTGTTGCCTAACAGTAGATAGCTGATATAAAGCTTAGTACCAGAAGTGGGGTGCTGATGGAACATAAACCTACCAATGTGGGAGCGTCTTTGGAACTGAGCAGAGGGCAGAAGCTGAAAGGACTTTGAAGAAAGTGTCAGAGAAAGCCTAAAGGGCACTGGAGAAGCCAGTAGTGGGAGGAGAATGTTGGTGAGGGTTTATAGGAAAGTGAGAACAATGCATTAGAGACTGGAAGAAAGGTGATTCTTGTTATGGAGAGGCAGAAATTAAGCAACACTGCAACAAGATGGAAAGCTCATAAATTGAATGATCTAGCTAAGGAGACTTTTAGGCAAGCCCAGATATTGGGCTCTTCCACTAAGAGTATCTTGCTACAAATATAAAAGAACCAGAAAATGCAGCCCTGCCCTTGGCCTTGGCCTCTGGGCGCCATCTCACTCAGTAGCATGAACTGTGCCCACTGGCCTCCTTGCAAGTGACTGATGCAGAAGGTGGAGAGTTGTCATGCTTGCTGGTTCCCAGGATGGTTCTCAGAAAGCTTGGAACTGAGGTGGAATCATGTTCGTGTTCCTCCCAGAGTATAGAGCAGTTAGACTCTCGGTACATTTCTGGAGAGAGATGGGGGTGAAGAGTGCTCAAGGGAAGAATTGAATCAATGCTCCCAGCACTCCACCCTGCCCATGGGAAGTCAGGTTGCACAGAGGCTAACCTGAAAACTCAGTCACAATGCTCCCTGGATCTGATCATATTTAGGGTATACTTTGGGGTGCCTGGGCCCCTCAGCAGGTGGGTCTGGACAGAGGCTGCACACTGCAGGTTCCTCCCATGTTTTTCTTCCTAAGGATGGAACCACTCACATGCATGATACTCACACACATGACACTCACACGCATGCCGTCTCTCCTTGGGATACCTGACGGTCTGAGCTTTAAAGTAATTTACCTTTATTTACCTGTAATGAACATTCGTCCCGCTTTCTTCTTGTCCAGTGCTTCAAACATCTTTTCTTTGGGGAGCTCCTGCCTCCTCAGTCCCTGACTGTCTAGAGGAGCCAGAAACTCTATTTCTCAGACAGGAGGGTGCAGGCATGTGACCAAACTCACCATACAGATGTACCTGCACCAGACTCAGATTCAGAGCCAGGGGCTCCAGGACGAAGCAAGGTCCCATGGGCTCCACCCTGGCGGGGAGGCGACATTGGAAGCCCCTTTGCAGTTGCCCTACTCAGGGCAGGCTGCCGTGTTGTTTCCTGGAGCTGCTCTGCAGTAGGTGGCACGTTTGGGCCATATTCTAGAGCCCAGTTCCCAGGTCATTCAAAAGATGCTGGGGCCCCCAAGTAGCCAGTGATAAATCCCATTTCTGCTTAAACTCAATACAAGTGGTTTCTGTTGTTTGCAACCAAGCCTGCCTGAGGCCTTCTACTGGCGCTGCACCTTTGCAAGGGAGACATTTGGTGTGATATATAACAGCAACTTTGGGACGAATTCCACTCTACCAGACACAGCTGGGAGCAGAACAATCCCAGATACCTCTTCGGGTAAATGGACCCCTAACTAGGGAAATGCATTTTTTAATGTGCTTTTTAAATCACTTGGAATGCCCTGACCTCCCCACCTCCTCCTCTGTCCCACTCGGGTCCACCCTCCACATCACGGCCAGTGTGATCTTTCTCCACAATGATCTGGTGGTGCTACTCCCCATGTGACACCTGCGCTGGGTGTCTCTGTCCCCACCCCATCTTCCTCCTCCCTGCTGTGCCCACCCAGCCATGCCATGGGGACAATCACTCTTGCTCTCTGGCTTCAAGTGGGGTTTGGCCAATGGGAGCATGGGCAGGCCCTCACAGGGCAGGAAGAATGGACTTGGACATCTGTTACCCCCGGTCCTTCCCTGCCAGGTTACCACAGGTAGGCTGTGTCCCTTTACTGCAGACTCATATGTGCTTCTCCACACAGCCACCCTCTCTGGGTTCTGATAGCCACTCCCTGGCCTCCTCTCTTCGGGTCTAGGGGTAGGCACAGCTCCCCAAAGAGACAGTAGCACCTCACAGCTGTGTCAGTCCCAGGCATGCTCCATGCTCTGCTGGCTTCCCTAACCCCGTCCACCCCTTTGCAGACAGCGTCTTTATCAACCCACACTTCAGTTACCCATCTTAGTGTGTCATCTGTGTCCTGTTAGGGCCCTGGCTGAGACAACAGCCTTCACTCAATGTTTAGGTTTTGTGCAAGACGCAATTCCTTCAGGACTAAGCTGAGATTTCAAGACCCTATGAGATCTGGCCCCTGCCAGCCTTTCCTGCTCATCTGTCCTTCCCTGACTATGCCAGGCTTTCTCCCTCCCTGCCTTTGCCACTCCACCAAGGCCCTCACCCAGGAGCACCCTCACTCTTCTGGCCTGCCGCTGCAGAGATGTCTGCTCTAGGCAGCTGTGCAGGCCAACTAATGCCCACCACAAAATGTCCATGTCCCAATCCCTGGAACTCAGGAATGCTACCTTCTATGACAAAAGGAACTTTGCAGGTGTGGGTAAGGATGTGGAGATGGCAAGAGTGTCCTAGATTATCCAGATGGGCCTTAAATGTCATCACAAGTGTCCATAATGAGGGAGGCTGACGGGCATTTGAGTGCAGCAGGGAAGGCCGTGTGATGTTGGGTGCAGAGGTTGCAGGGGTGCATTTTGAAGAAGGAGAAGGGGGCTGCAGGCAAGGATGCAGGCAGCCTCCCAAAGCTGAACAGGGCCAGGAAGCGATTCTCCCCTGGAGCCTCCGGAAAAGACCAGCTCAGATGACACCTATAGCCAGGGAAACTGATTTCACACTTAACGACCTTCAGTGTCATAAGAGAATACATTTATGTTGTTTTAAGCCACTAAGGTAGTGGTAATCTGTTACAACAGCCATGAGAAACTAATCAGATGCCTTTCCCAATCCCAGACTGGGCAGGCGGACCCCTCTGAGTTTCTGCCACCCGTACTCACTCTGAGTGGCACCTGTCAATCCGTATCAGACCTGCAGTTTACCTGTTGATCTTGCCACCAGATCCCGAGGCAGGGGTTGTGCCTTTTCATGTCTGTTTCACCAGCACCTGCAGAGAGCCCAGCACGCGGTGTGGCATAAATGAAAAGTTGAAGGACAAATTGCATACTTGGCATTGTCACTCACCAACTGAAATTCCACAAAGCAGGGATGCTTACTTATGATTTTCAGGAATCTAATAAACTCTTCCTGGTGACCCATCAGACACCAAAGTGGGCTCCTTGGACACTGGTTGTCGGTTTTCTACGATGCTCCACTGGGACTGAGTCAGAGCTGGACTCCTGTCCTCCTGTGACTGAATTAATTCCTCTGATACAGCCCCCATCCTCAGGGTCCCAGGGAGTGTGAATTTTGGGAAGTGTCTCATATAGCATGGAAAGTGGAGCAAAGGGCCTGGGCATGTGCACGCCACCGCTTTCTTTTCTCTCTGCCCCATTTTCTCCTTTCTATCCCCGCCCCCCCCCGCCCCGACATTCAGGGACAGGGACTGCAGCTTTGTCCCTGCCCAGAGCTCCCCTATCACGCGCTGGCTGAGGCTGCAGGGTGTGCAGCCTTCTCTGCACGCTTTGCCCTCTCGGTCCCAGCATGGGGACTGGGCAGGAGGCCCACAGCTGCTCAAGGGGCTGGGGGAAACTCACACAGCGGCTCTTCCGCCCTCCCTGCACTCCTTTTCTGAACACCTCTCCTGCCCATCCCCCCTCTCCTGTCATGAGAGTGCCCAGTTCTGCCACCCCACTCAACTCCAGAGACCTCAGCCAACACTTCCACCAAGAATGGGGTTGGGACCTGCAGGGCTACCCCTTAAGGCCCTCTGGTCCAGCCTCCACACCCATAGGTCACCAGAGGACTTAACGGCTTCAACCACTCCCCACCGCAGGGCTCCTCACTGAGCTTCCAGCAGGGCCGCCCTCTCCTGTCCCTTGCACTAGCCTGGGAAGTCTTTGAGCACAGCCATCAGCAACTTCCTCTTCATGTTCCCAGGGCCTGGAAAGGGGCCTTGCATATCAATTTGCTGAAATGTATCAGGGTAGGGGCTGGGGGCACGGTTCAACTCTTAGCAAGGCAGCTGGGGGACCTGAGGTCGCAGGGCAGGAGCCGTCCTCACGCTGAGTTTCTGTTTCCTTCTGTGTAGAATATGGCTAGGGAGGAGTCCTGCTTCGAAGGATTGAGAAGAGATTGAAATAAGAGCTCCCAAGGCAAATTGAGAAGTGGGGAATGTGCTTCCATTGAGAAAAATGAAAGACAGACCCTATCGGCACCTCCCCTATGATTGAAAGAGGAACCTCTGGGCAAGGCAGAGGAGAGACATTTGTGCTTTCATAGTTTGTAGTGGGAATCAGCCAAAAAAATGCTAAAAAGGATGGTATTATTGAGACAATTGGTGAAATTTGAAGAAGGTCTGCAGATGAGATAATACTATTGCATCCATGTTAATTTTCTTGATTTGAACAACTGTACTGGATTATGGAAGATAATGACTTGTTTTTAGGAAAGACCCACGGAACTATTATAAGGGGGCATTATATTTCAAATGGCTCAGATCTTAAAAGTATGTAGAGACAGAGCAAAAATTATAAAGCAAATGTGGCAAATTGTTAACAACTGAGGAATCCTGCTAAAAGCTATGTATTAATAGAAGGTTTTTGTGCCATCCTTGCAACTTTTCAACTAAGTTTGAAATTGTTTCAAAATGAAAGTTTTCAAAAACACTTAAAAACATTTGCAATATGTTCATTCATACTGTTTGAATCTTGTTCGGTGAGAATACATTCATGCGTTAATAGAGTGTTGCGTGTTTTTTTGTCTGTCTGTCTGTTTGTTTGTTTGTTCTCAAGACGGAGTCTTGCTCTGTCTCCCAGCTGGACTGAAATGGCGTGATCTCGGCTCACTGCAACCTCTGCCTCTCGGGTTCAAGCGATTCTCCTGCCTCAGCCTCCTGAGCAGCTGGGATTACAGGTGCCTGCCACCACGACCAGCTAATTTTTTGTATTTTTATTAGAGACGGCGTTTCACCAGTTGGCCAGGCTGGTCTCGAACTCCTGACCTTGTGATCCACCCACCTCAGCCTCCCAAAGTGCTGGGATTACAGTCGTGAGTCACCGCGCCCGGCTGAGTGTTGCGTATTTTTAATGATTGAACTGACACAGCGTGATGGTTAATTGTATGTGTCAACTTGATTGGGCTCAGAGATGCTCAGGAGCTGGCAACGCGGAAATACATCCGGCATTAAAATAAATGCAATTAAAAGTAAAACACCAAAAACCCCACATTATTTCTAGGTGTGTCTGTGAGGGTGTTTCTGGAAGGGGTTAGCGTGCATCCGTGGACTGACTGAGTCAAGATCGCCCTTCCTTGTGTCGGGGCGTCCTGCAATCTGCTGAGGGCCTGAAGAGAACAAAAGGCAGAGGAAGGGTGAGTGCCACTCTTTCTGCTTGAGCTGGGCCGTCGGCTCCTCTGGTTCTCGGCCTTTGGGCTTGGACTGACCTACTCCACTGGCTTCCCTGATCCCCTACTTGCAAACAGCAGGTCGTGGGACTTCACAGTATCCTCAGTCATGTGAGCCCATTTCTGATAACAAACCTCTTTCTGTCCATCTATACATGGCCTACTGGCCTGCAGAGTCCCGAGTAATCTACACAGTAGGCGAAACCTTGTGGGCTGAAAATCACAAACTGTTAAATATTATTATATTTGTCATTCTACTTATTAATATGATTGTTATAATTATTGTTGTTGACATTGTCAGTAGTTTGAGGGGTGACTGGCAAGGGGTGGGTTGTCTTCGTGGTGGCCGGGCAGTTCATTTTCTCGCCTCTGCATCCTGGATCCCGGCCCCAGGGCTGCTGCTCCCGGCAGGAGCCATGGCCCAAGGAACTCTCGACGGTCCGCAGCTGGCGTTCGGCAGTGACCCTTTTTCTCCACTAGAGGGCGCGCGCGACGCCTCGTCCATGCCGCCGGGCTCCACGGAGCCTGAGCTGCGGGCGCTGAGCCGCGGGAAATCCACAGACCCGGGCTGCAGGGAACCTGGCAACTGCAAATGAAGACAATCTGGGGTCTCTGGAACCCAACTCGGTTCTCTGCTCCGTTTTATTCCCCCGCATAGTTGGCTGTTAGCTTGAGGATGGCATTGAAAATGCATACAATTCAATAATTAATTCCAGACTGGATCTGAGGAAGCACAGTTAAGTTAACCAATGCGGACCGCGGACTCCACACCATCAAGGAGGGCTGCCCAGAGGTGGCAATGGGCAGCCCATGGGTCAGATTTTGCCCCCAGATATCCTTTGTTCAGCCTTCATGGTGTCTGAAAAAACAGAATGCAGAGAGTTTAACACTGAGTTTTTTAAACTTGGGAGAGTTCATATAACACCCAGATTCCTGTTGGTTTTTTTCTTACAAAATAAGGTAAAAGACACCCACATCCCCCCATGACAACACCTCCCTCTCTCTAGAGCTGTGGAGCCAGCCATTGCTCCCCCTGGACTGGGCATACACTCTCCAGCTCACCACAGTCCTCACCCTGGCACCACCTCACTGGGTTATGTCTCCTGCCTGGCCCTGCAGGCATCTGGCTTTGCCACCTAGACCACAGGAAAACCTAAATTATCCAGATGCCCTGAGAATGGGCCAGTTCCCATCAATTACATTTTCTGGTCAACTACCATTTTTAAGAAAAAATCCTTGAGATTGCAAGGCTTTCTGGGAATAAATTTTTAAAAAATTATGTAAAATGTTGCCTGCCTCCCTGTCATCATTACAACCACTGTGGAAAAGGAGGCATATGCTTGAGGCTGTGTGACCTTAAACAGTCACCCAACCTTTCTGTGCCTGTTCTCTTGCTTGTAAAATGAGGACTTTAATAGCCTCATCAAATGCTTTGAGAATGAGGAAGACACTCCATGTCAAAGCACTTAGCAGAGCCCCTGGCACATAGCAAGAGCCAAATAAGCGTTTACTATTATTAGTAGTAATTACAGGTTGAGCATCCCTAATCTGAAAATCCAAAGCCTGAAACACTTCAGGTCCCAAGCCTTTCAGATAAGGTATACTCAGCCTGTATTAATCACATAGGGTAGCTGAGTACACGGGGAAACTAGGCCATAGTTCTTAAACTTGGGTGCATATCAGAGTCACCTGAAGGTCATGTGGGCACAGAGATTGCTGGGCCCACCTCAGAGTTTCTGATTCAGCAGGTGTGGGCTGAAGCCTGAGAATGTGCATTTTTATCAAGTGCACAGGTGGCTGTTGATATGCTATTTGCATGAGCACACTGACTGTCTTAGTCCATGTTGTATTGCTGTAGAGTGATACCTGAGCCTGGGTATTTACCAAGAAAAAAGCTTTCTTCGGCTCATGATTCTGATGTCTGGAGAAGTTCACAGTTGGGCATCTGCATCTGGGGAGGGCCATGGGCTCCTTCCATTCATGGCGGAAGGTGAAGGGGAGTTGGTATGCAGAGAAAACGTAGTGAGAGAGGAAGTGAGTGGGGAGCCGGATGCCAGGCTCTTTAACAACCAGTTCTAGAAGGAATTAGCCAAGCAAGAATTCACTCCAAGGGAGGGCATTAATCTATTCAAGAGGGATCTGCCCCCATGACCTAAACTCCTCCCATTCACCCCACCTCCAATATTGGGGATCAAATTTCAACATGGGGTCTGGAGGGGACAGACATCCAAACCATGGCACTTACTAATTTCAAAAGTGTACCTACACATTGACTTGATTATCTGCAAAAAAGTCAAGGTAAGTATTTAAAGAGTAGACATGTATAAAGTACTTAGTACAGTGTCTAGCAAATAAGTGTTATAATTATTATTCATAAAATTGGGGATAATCAGGAAAAATCTGAAAACGAAAACTAAAGAGAAGGTTGTAGGGAGAAGCAGCTTTGGGCTTTTGGGCTAAGCGGTTGCAGGGGTCACCCTGTTTTAATCCCCTCTACAAGCCTATGGAGGAAGAACATGTAGGGAAAAGAGTTCTCAGAAATGAAGAGCCCATGCTAGGTTGCCCAGGTATGAGGTACCAGTGACCTCCCCAAACCCAGGTCTTTCTGCCTACATAGGGGCTGAGGTCTTCCCACTCCTCCATGTTCGTCTGAGCTATGGCTAATTTGAGTTTCAACACTTGATCTGGAAGTTCCTCTGTCTGGAGTATTCTACAAAAGGCCTGCACGCCCTGGGGTCCAAGAGCAGAATTCAGGGTCATGATGCAGTCACGGAAGGACGGCCGTGAGGGCCTCACGGGACAGGAAGGAAAGGAGGTGTGCAGGAGAGCCGAGGCCGCAGGTGGCATGTCACGAAGGAAGGCGACTGGGCCAGGAGCTGCACAACTGCAGCTGACCCTGTTCTGGGGCAGGTTCCCCGCATCACGTGTGTCCCTGACCCGCCCCAGCCCTTCACCTCCAGGGTTAGCGGAGGGCAGAGGCTGAATGGGCAAATAACCCCAAGTCATCCCCAAATCTAAATGGACCCAGGGTTTTGGAGGAGCTCATCCTAGACCCCCAAAGGCTCAAGCCTATTTCCAGGGACCGCAGGATCGGATGTGCCCCAGGTTTGTTCTGCCGCCTGGCCAAGGATGGGTGTTCACAGCAGGTAAAAACAGAGCCTGGGTGTCACACACCATGCAAGGGTCCCTCACAGCATGTGATGCAGCCAGCATGAGAAGAGAAGTGGGCTGCCCTTGGCCGAGATGACCCTCCCCACGGGGCCACGTTCCAACCAGAGATTCAAGACGTCTAACAACTTGGAATTTGAACCTGGCCTTCCCGATGGTTGGAAAGGCACATTTGTTAAGGGAGCCCTTAAGACCTATTTTACTTAACAGCTGTTAGCTCGATTTGAACTCTGAACTGTTGAGACCTGTGATATGTGGTCCCCTCTTTGTACTCCTGCCCGTGCCCTGCATTTGCAGGGACAGAGCTTCCCACCAGCACCAAGAACACTGCTGGCATTCAGATATTCAGAAGATATTCACCGAACAGAGGAACTTGGGGGGCTGGGGTTGGGGGATGGAGGGGCTGGGGCTGGTGGCTGTGAAGTGCAGGGTTTCTGCCCAGGGTCATGAAAATGTTCTAGAGTTGATTCTGATGATGGCTGCGCAGCTCTGAATACACTAAAGGTCACCAAATTGTACACTTTAAGGGGGTGAATTGTATGGTATGTGAATGAGAGCTGAATAAATTATTAACAAAACACGACAACTCCAGAAGCCTCAGAAGTGTGCTGCCACACCATGATAGCGCCATTTAATGTCCAGTGCTGCATGCGATTCCTCCTGTCACATATACCTCTGATCCTTGTGACAGCTCTGTGATGCAGGTACTCTCCTCTTCACCTTTTAAAAGGGGGATCTGAGGCCCACGGTGCTGGCTGACTTGCCCGGGCTTGCCCAGGAAGCTCAGCAGCGGGGCTAGATCCAACCCAAGTACCTGTGGCAACGTGCTGCCTCATGGGGACATCTGGATGGGAAGGTTGTCCCCATGCTCAGCCAGGAAGAAGCCAGATGGTGAATTTTCACGAAGCTCCAGAATGTCTCAACCCCACAGGAGGAAGGCTGTCATCTTTACATCCCGCCACAAAACCATGGATATGGTTTTGCACTGATTAAATTTACAGATAGAATTCTGTAACGAGGCTACTGCCCTGGGGAGAGTCCGGAGTATCCTGGGAACGGGCTCAGTGGCCTGTCAGCCCTCTGGGAAGATGTTTACCTGGTGCCTGGGTGGGATGGCTGGGACACAGGTGTGCTTGTCACGTGTCAGTGAACCAGCATTCACACCAGACCCTCATTGCTAAGGAGTGGGGGGCCCCCTGGGCAGGTGCATCTGAGGATGCTGTCTGTTTGGATCTGGCTGGATCCTCTTTCTCTTCCAGCATCCAGATTCAACTGAACCTAACCTTCTTCCCTCTACCCCCTCCCTGGGTTTTCCAGAGCTCTTGCTGCTAATTGTAGAGGATTCTGGGCATCAACAGTGTCTCCTTGTGCTCATTTTAAAATCACAGAGTACTCAACTATCGATTTCTAAATAAGCTCCATTTTCCTGCAATAGTCTTTGCAAAATGCCTGCCCAGATCTATTATAATTGCCTGGAAGGCTACTTTTCTGTATTTGCAAGGCCCTGTTGCTCTTGTACCCTCTCTGAGATCTCCTGAAAATTACTCCAGATTCTCATTAAGTATGATCAAGGATGCTCCTTTAAACAAGAATAGCCAGTAAAGCGTCCCGTTACCCTTTCCTCCTTCCTCCATTCTACAGCCAGGAATGCATAAGAGACAGCTGGAGCTCTAGCAGCCATCTTGAGCCATGAGGCAAACTAGAGGATGGAAGCAAAGGCTAAGCCTGGTGAAGCAGAAATCGTGGAGGAACACAATGCCCCAGTGACCATGGAGCCATGACACCAGCCCTGGACTAACTACTTGTGGAACCGTTTTAAATGAGAGAAAAATCAGCACAATTGTGTACATCTGCTGCTCTTTTAGGCACTGCAATTTGTTTTGCTTGTTTTTAAACCTCTCATAAATGGAATCACGCTGTGTGCCCTTTTTTGCATCTGGCTTCTTTCACTCATTTTCATGTTTGTGGATTCTTCATGTTGCTGCGTATAGTTCTTGATGGACACATGGGTTGTTTCCAGCTTGAAGTTATTATAAACAATGCTGCCTTGAACATTTTCACATGTTTCTTGATGCACAGATGTACACATTTCTTCTGGGAATATACCTAAGAATAAATAGCCAGATCATGGGACAGGCATAGGTGCAACCTTAGTAGATACTGCAAAGAATTTTCCAAAGTTTAGTCATTTGACATTCCCACTTGCACAATATGAGAATTCCCATTGCTCCACTTCCTCGTCAACACTTAGTATTATTTGCCTGTTTTATTTTAGCCATTTTGGAAACTATGCTGTGGTATCACCTTATGTTCATTGGCCATTCAGATATCAACCTTTGCAAAGGGCCTACTCAAGTCTTCTGGCCAGTTCTCTATTGAGTTGTAGGCTTTTTCTCTTACTAATTTGTAGCTCTCTTCTGGCTATGACTTCTTTGATGAATATATGGTTTGCAAATACTTTCTCTCATTCTGTGACTTGTCTTTTCACTCTCATAAGAGTGTCATTTGATGGGTCAATTTTCAAGTAATAAAATCCATCAACCATTTCTTTATGGTTAATAAGTTTTAGTCCTGTCTAAGTCATCTTTGCCTACTCCTTTGTGTCTTTCTAGAAACGTTGCAAACGTCATAATTTTACCTTTCGTATTTTGATGTGCAATCCATCTCCCAAATACTTTTGAATGATCCATCGGACACCCATGTAGGTGAGAAACCTGTTTATAATTGTCTGACTAGAGTCCAACTCAGCCTTACACATAAACACCAAGTCGTTTTTGCACTGTTTAATACACACTGAGTTTCCCAGAATGTAACTCCTGTGTAAATTTAGAGAAGATCACATTTTGTTTTATTTGGAACTTTACCAAGATTTGAATCACCATTTCAGAAAAAATACCACTGACAAGGAAGCTGCCCGAGGCACATGAGTCCCCAATAACATGCCTGTGCCCGGCCGCATCCTAGGGAATTCTGTGCTTTATGTGCACACACACTTCACTGGCTCTCAAACTGTTAACTATTAAGGAAAAGATGCAACAATCTTCAACTGATTTGTGTCTAACTTCTCTTCAATCCCAACACATTCTTTGTAACTTGGAGCATGTATCTGATCACTTTAAATATACCCTCTCAGGTGGTCCTGCCCAGTGCCTAGGTATTGGCACACATATTATTTTATGATAAATCACCTTACTTTAATGTCTCTTTCCTATTACAACCTGGGAATTATATGAATTTGGGAAGGGATTATATGTATAAATACATTTTATTTAGTGGCAAGATGGTAAGGGGATTTTACAAAATATTTGCTATATGAAGGAGCCACGTGGTCCATGTCATCAGCTTTGCCCAGAGGGCCTCACTTTCCAAGTCAAATGAGCACATGGAGGTGTTTTCCTAGCCACAAGAGTAGTTTTTTTCCAAAGTGGAGTTCCCCTGGGGCCAACAGTATTTCTTCTCATTAAATTTGTCTCCCACAACCCCAGGACAAAAAACAGGTGAGTGCTCAAAGCCACTTTTCCTGGGTCCCCCATCTACCTGCCTGAAATCACAGGTGGGCCTGCTCTGCTTCTTCATTGGGTTTAGTTTCACAGTTACAAAGGTCTGAGATCAAGTCCCAGCTCTGCCTCAATCTAGCCATGTGGCTTTGGGTGGTGTGTCAACCCTTTGCCAGCCCATAGCATACACTTATTAAATGAGTCAAAGAAAACATATATGGCATAGTTATGAAAGTCACAAGGTAGGAACAAGCGCGGATGCGTGCTGAGTGCTTCCTATAAGCCAACTCCTGCACCAGTGCCTCAGAAGGAGAATCTACTTCACCCTCACAACTCTGCCATGAGTGCAGGGACCACGATTCATCCCCATTTTACAGATGAGGAAAGCAGAGGGACAGAGAGGATCAGTAAACTGCCCCGGGCTACACAGTTGGTAAATGGCACAGCGAGAGGCGAACCCAGGCAATCTGACTATCTCCCATTAAATGATAGCTTGGGCCGGGCGTGGTGGCTCATGCCTGTAATCCCAGCACTTTGGGAGGCCGAGGCGGGTGGATCACTTGAAGTCAGGAGTTCAAGACCAGTCTGGCCAATGTGGTGAAACCCAGTCTCTACTACAAATACAAAAATTAGCTGGGTGTGGTGGTGGGTGCCTGTAATCCCAGCTACTTAGGAGGCTGAGGCAGGAGAATCGCTTGAACCCAGGAGATGGAGGTTGCAGTGAGCCAAGATCACGTCATTGCACTCCAGCCTGAGCGACAAGAGCAAAACTCCATCTCAAAAAAATATATAAATAAATAAAAATAAAAATAAATGATAGCTTGTAGGGGAAGAAGTGCCCAGAACAGGCAAGACACTCAGAGAATGGCAGCTCTTGGCTGCTATTATATGCTCATTAGTTGCATAGTTCTGAACACCTACATGGATGGGTCCTCCCACCGCCCACCAAAAACTAGTTACATGCCCTTGACCTAACTGCATTTAATATACACCACAGTGGCTGTTAAACTAGTTGCTTTCTAATATCCCAACTACCTAAATTGGGCAGTGTTTGTCAATAGAACAAACACTAGTGAATGTGATGTTAATTTTAATGTCCTTGCCTGTGCTATAGGCAAGTCTGTGTTTGCATTGGAATGCATGCTGATATTTACCTAAAATATCCAATCCCATAAACAACAAAAAGCATACTATGCTGAAAATATTTCCAAGCCCCAGGCCACTTATGCCTGCAAATACTTGACACAATGAAGCACGTCTGCCCCCTTGAAGGCTGGTTGTAACGGTCTCTAGATCCTGAAGAATGTTGTCTGATGTAGACCAAGGTCAGGTATGGTAAATATAGTGGCTTCCAGCACAAAATAGACTCCACTTCCCAGCAGGTGTGGCTGCTGAAACTTTCCATTTTTGAAAATGGTTGCGGGCTGGGAGAATTTTAGGGAGGTTTGTGTGAGGTGGTGTCATGGTGGCCATCCAGAAAGCAGCAGGACCCTGGAATTTAAAGCTGACTTTCAAGTTGAGCCTCTGCTATCACAAAGTAGGCAAGAGGCCTCAGGCCCTTGAGCTTTTGCTTCCTTATCTGTCAAAGGAGAAGGTTGTACTAAGAGAATCCCTAAAGCACCCTCAGGTCTGGACTTCCAGGATGCCACAGCAGCCAAGAAGTGTCATGCTCCCCACGATTTTAAATCGGTTGGAGCTGGATCTCATTGTGAACAAGTCAGAACTTGCTTCTCTCCTGAGTGAGTTAGGTCCATCACTGCACTTCTCTGAGCCTCAGTTTCCTCCTTCGTATGATTAGGAGTAAAAATGCCATTCTCACAGGGTTGTTGTAGAGGTAACATTGGAAAGGCCTAAACATAAAATAGATGCTCAAAAAATGTCAGTTTCTTGCTGCCATGCATTTGCCCACCTTCTATTTTCTCCATGTTCCCCACTCTGCAGTCAGACCAACCCCACCTGTACCCCATGCCTGCCCATCCTTTCTTTCCCTAGAAGTCTGGAGAATCTAGATGTTCGCTTCCTCTACCCCAAACCAGCATCCAGTCCTGCACCAACGGCCACAATGGAAGCCACCTGATAAATCGATGCAATTACTTGTGTCGCGTTTGCACTAAGAATTCTAACGGTAGTATTTCGGAGCCCAGAACAGAGAGGAATCAGTCATTTAAAGATGGCAAGGTTGAATGAAAAATTTCATTCTTTGATGATGCTAGAAAAAGAAGTGTTCACAATGGTTTCTCTTCTCAATGTGCGTCATGCAAATGAGTAGCTGGTCCCTCCATGTGACTTGTTTGGTTCCATGATCTGTCTCTTTTTTCTCGTGGCAAAATAACCCACTTTATTAGATCCATCTCAGGAGCTTTACCAGTGGGTAAAGTCTTAGAGCCGGGATTCTTGTTTGCTTTCTCCTGTCAGCCACCCCAAATTCTTTTGGGAAGTAGGTGGAGTATAAATGAAAAATTGGTAAACAAAATTCTTTCTTTGGTCTCCTATGGACAGACCTCGGTCTCTTTGGGCTACTTCATGGCTCCCAAGCTGTAATTATTGGTTGCTTTTTTCAGTGTCCCTCTGAACTGAGTCTTTAGTTGTTCTAAATTCATTTGGGCTCCTTCTGGACCCAGGAATTAAAGGTGACTCTTTATTCCTGTAAGTCAGAGACGGCCTCATCTAAGGAAACATTCCAGGGCTGTTTGCACCGCGTGTGGCGAGGAGGGCCAATTAAAGCTACCCCCAGCATCCTCTGAGTGAAGTTTGAGATGGCCTTGGGAGACAGGAAGCTTCTTTATGAGTCCCATCTTCAGCCTGGAGTACTTTTCCTTCCTGTAGCCCTGAGCCCTGGGGCCCTGGAGTCATGAAGATTAAGACAGAGCCCATTGGGCCAGAAGAATGGGGGTGGTTTTATTGGCCACCAAGTACCCCTAACATCATGGGATTTGGATAATGCCCTGAACTACTCTGGACTTCTGAAAGCAAGAGAGCCTTTCTCCAAAGACTCCACAAGCTCTACTTTATCATAGTTGATTCTCAAACCCCTTTCACAATTCCTACCTTTCCAGCACACTACCTTCTGGGGAATTGAGTGGAGTGAGAGTCCGATTGAGAGACATTGCAATCTTTGCTCTTTAAGAATAATAATGATAACAAATAATATCTATTGAGCACTTTGCACGCATTACTTCACTTCCTCCTCACAACAACTCTCTGAGGTCAATACCATTATTATTCTCACTTCACAGAGGAGGGGACCAAGGCTGAGAAGGGGGAAAATAAGTTCCTCAGGGTCAGTAAATGACGGACATTCACACCCAGACCTGACTGGCCCCAGAAGCCTCACTTTTAACAATCGCATGAGTTTTCTGCCTGCTTTGTGCTAACACTGAAAGGCTGATACTTCAGATCCTGGTACCCACGTCAAACCTGGAAGACCTTAAGTGCATTGGCCAGATGGGAGGAGACACAGAGACCCCAGTGGCTAGAAAGGCAGGCTCTGGGGCCAAATGGCTCAGGTGGAAGTTAGCCCCAATACTTACCAACCGTGTGGCCGTGGGCAAGTTACTTCATCTTCTGTGCCTTTGTGTTCCTGGCATGCATAAGAAGAATCATCTCTTATCAGATTGTCATGGCGATGGAATGAGTTATACAGATAAAGCACACAGACAGCATTTGGCCCATTGGACGAGCTCCATGAACACTGGGTGTTTTCGTTGACTCTACCATCTCTATCCCCCACCCCCTCAGCACACCTACCTGGATATCCAGTAGGCAACGCAAATTTGGCAGAGCCAAAGCTGAACTCCAGATCTTCCCTTCCAAGCCTGCTTTTCTCCCAGTCTTGCCCATCTCAGCACCTGACAACTGTATCCTTCCAGTGGCTGAAGTCAAGAATTTTGGAATCTTCCTGGATATGTCTCTTTCCCTCACACCTCGTATCTAACTTATCTGCAATTCTTTTCAGCTTTACCTTTAAATATATCCGAAGTCCAACCCTATCTCACCACCTCCACTGATACCATTTGGTCCAAGCCAACACCATCGAGAGAAATATCTCCCCTGGATTCTTCCAGAAGCCCTGTCTGGCTGTGCTCTCTGCTTCTGCTCTTGCATGTGACACAAGAGGCATCATGTCACCCTACTCAAGACCCCATGTGGCTCCCCATCTCACCCAGAGAAAATGTCAACGGTCCAATCATGCCCACCTGCCAACAGCCAATCCCCTACCACGCCCCCTCTTGTTTATTCCTCTCCAGCCCCATGGGTCTCCTGCTTTCCCTCCTAGAGACTTTGGCACTGTCTTTCTTACTCCTGAAAACTCTTCCCCAGATATCTGCATGCCTCATTCCTTTACCTACTGTGGTCTCAGCTCACACAGCATTGCATCAAAACAGGTTTCCCTGCCCATCTTAAGGGAAACAAGCCCGAAGTTGTCTTTTGACTGTGTGTGTCACAAACCAATGAATAATCAAACCTCCCCCCACCCCGACTCTGCTTTCTTCACTTCTTCCCGGTATTACCTGTGGAACGGGCCGTCCTCAGATCAAACGCAGGAGAGGTAGAAAGGAGTGGCAGAGTGCTTGAGAAACACATCTGATGGAAATATGGTTCCTTTGGTAATATAGGAAGACATTATATAGATAAATATGTTGTATGGCTTTTGCTGAATAGCACATGATTGGTCAGGTCCAAATGCTGTTTTGGACCAAGTAATGCTGAGAAAGGCATTTTAGAACAAACTCGAGAAGTGCTCAACCTCCTTTCCAAAATAACACCCGAGATAAGGTTGGAAATGCAAACTAGGAGCTCTGAAGGAAGAGGTCAGATTGAACGCAAACATTTGGTTGCAGTTCCCCAGGAAAACTTGCTACAACCATCACGATGGGATTTTCTTTAAAGACATAAACTTACAAGAAAAAATGAAAGAGGTGAAAACAACAAAACTTTGGGAGCTGGAAAGCTCATGGATGAGAAGTAACTGACTGAGCAGCCCTAACAAAGGTGAATCCCAACCCAACAGGCAGGAAAATCCATGAACCCTGGATTTCAAGCAACCTTCATTATTTTATACTCTTTCCCCACAGCTTTGCTCTCAGTCCCAGCAGTACCTGTGGCCACAGATTCCTGGGTTTTTCTGAGCATTCACTGCATAAACCCACTGGCTTCAGAAGAACTCAGGAGTCTGTGGCAACAGGTACTTCTGGAACTGAGAGCAAAGCTGTGGGGAAAGAGTATAAAATAATGGAGGTTGGTTGAAATTTGTTTAGAAGTAATTAAATGCCTGGATCCCCACCTCAACTCCAAACTGCTAGGTGTCTGCTCCTTCTCCACCCTTCAAAAGACTGACCATTTGCTTTCCAAGGAGGGTAAAACATAGGAAATCTGGACTGTGTGACATCAGATCTAGTTGAGACCAGGGATATCATACATATTGGAAACAGGAGTATTCAGTGAGTATGGACATACCAGATGTTGAGACGCCTCCTTCCTCCACTCTCCCTCCCCTGTTGGACTTCCGGAATGCTTGCAGCCTTGCCTCTGCCCTCTAGACAGTAGGTTGGAAGGATCTTCTCTGCAAAGTCTGGAAAGCCCAAGTAGAAAGATCTGAAGATAATCACTGAGACTCCCCTCAAAACTGGCACAATGTAACACCCTATGAAGCTCACAGTCAAGAAACTCCACCCATTCAGACAATCACAGATGAATAAACATCTTAGGAAAACCTCTGTTAGGAAAGTCAGAGAACAAAACAAACAAATAAGAGCAACTTGGGAGAAACAGAAATTATGCAAGAAGAAAACTTCTAAGAATAATCACTGATAACATTTGGGAGGTAAGAAAAGACATTGTATTCATGAAAGGAAAACAGAACGCTATAAAACAAGAACACGTAAGGAACAAAAACTATTTGCTGAAAATTAAAAATGTAAAAAGAGCAAAAAACCTTATAAAAAAGATTGAAAGATAAAACTGAGGAACATTTTCAGAAAGGAAGTCAGAAAGAGGCCGGGTTGCGGTGGCTCATGCCTGTAATCTCAGCACTTTGGGAGGCCAAGGCAGGTGGATCACAAGGTCAGGAGTTCAAGACAAGCCTGGCCAAGATAGTGAAACCCCATCTCTACTAAAAATACAAAAATTAGCGGGCACCTATAACCCCAGCTACTCAGGAGGCTGAGGCAGGGAATTGCTTGAACCCAGGAAGCAGAGGCGTCAATGAGTCAAGATCGCACCACTGCAATCCAGCCTGGGTAACAGAGCAAGTCTCTGTCTAAAAAAATAAAAAAAAAAGGAAGTCAGAAAAACAAAGGGATGGAAAGAAAAGGAAAGAGAAAATAACTTGAAGATTAGCCCAAGAAGTCCAACATGCACATAAGAAGAGTATTAAAAAGAAAGAATAGTGAACATAGGGCAGAAGGGAGATTCATCAAAAACAACAACAACAAAACAAGAGTATTCCCACATTTGAAGAAGATGAATCTGCAGATTGAATGGGAACTGTAAGATTGCAGCATACTGGATGAAAATATACTCACACCAAGGTACAATATTATATAAAACTTCCAGAACACTGGGATTACAGAAAAGACCCTACCAAGTTTCTGAAGGGAAGGAGAAAAACAAGTCACATGCCACAGTCAGGAATTAGAATGAATTCAGAAGTCTCAATAGCACACAGGGAGAAAATCCCACAAAAAAGCAAACAAAAAACAGGACAGTGACTTCAACATTTTAAAGAAAAAATATTTCCAACCTAGAATTCTATATCCAGCCCAATTATCACTCATATGTAAGAGCAGAATAAACGCAATTCAGACACGCAAACTCTCAAACAAAATTTTGACTTCTACATGCTTTTTCCAAGAAAGCTATTGCAGGGTGTGCTCTACCAAATGAGGGAAGAAACCAAGGAGGAAAAAAGGAAGAGAATGCCATATGTGTTAATTTCCTAGGGTTTTGTTGTTTTCCACAACAAAGTCCGACAAACTGAGTGGTTTAAAACAACTCAGTTTTAAACAGATTCTAGTCCAGAGACTAGAAATCTGAAATCGTGGTAGCAGCAAGTCCACACTCCATCTGTGGCTTCTAGGGAAAGATCCTTTCTTGCCTCTTTCATCTTCTGTGGGGCCCACGCATTCCTTGGCTTATGGCAACAGAACTGCAGTCCCTGCCTTCTCTCTTCACATGGCTGATGGCTGTCTTCCGTCTGTGTCTTCACATGGTGTTCCCTCTGTGTGTATCTGGCTCTGTGTCTCTTTTCTTCTTGTAAGGACACCAATCATATTGGATTAAGGGCCCACCCTACAACTGCATGACCTCATTTTATTTAATTACATTGACAATGATCTTATTTCCAAATAATGTCACATTCTGAGCTTCTGGGAAGGATATGAGTTCTTGGGAGACAATATTCACCCACTACAACGTACAGAAACAAGAGGTGAGAGGAAGTGCTGGGTTAAGGGTGAAGCATTAGCCCAGGCTGACAGCTGTACAGGGGTGGAGATGAACTAGCCCAGACCGAGCAGGTGAGATTTCTTCAGGAAGGTGAAATTGAAAGAATTTATGAGAATGGGAACACGGAAAGGAGCTTTAGGAGATGAATTCTTAAGTACAGAGAAAACTGAGCAAAAAAAAAAAAATAGTAACAATAACAAGGCAATTTTTAATTCCAGGGAAAATAAAAGATTGGCTCAGGCATAGTTCTGCCAAGCATATATAAAGCTCTGTAAGAAACAATGAATACTGGCCGGGCGCGGTGGCTCACGCCTGTAATCCCAGCACTTTGGGAGGCCGAGGCGGGTGGATCACGAGGTCAGGAGATCAAGACCATCCTGGCCAACACAGTGAAACCCCATCTCTACTAAAAATACAAAAAATTAGCTGGGCATGGTGGCGGGCGCCTGTAGTCCCAGCTACTCAGGAGGCTGAGACAGGAGAATGGCGTGAACTGAGGCGGCGGAGGTTGCAGTGAGCTGAGATTGTGCCACTGCACTCCAGCCTGGGCAACAGAGCGAGACTCTGTCTCAAAAAAAAAAAAAAAAAAAAAAAAAAAACAAAGAATACTTCTCAAGCCAAAATTACAATATAAATATAAGGAGAAAGTGGGGGGATGGGAAGTCTTAAGGTAGAAGTGGAAGGAGGAGTGATAAGCCCTGTCTTCCACAGTGGCAAGTTAATGGGTAATACCAAAAATGAAAAAGCGGGAAACAGCAATTCAACCATATATAGAGATAGGGAGTGAACACTAAAAGAGTCGTAAACATTGTTCCTGGAGATGGGAAAATGGGAGGGAGGAAAACTGAGGAATGTAATTTGTCTTAACAAACCTTGTAAAACTAGTTGAACTACACATATTAGACAAAAGCAAAATGAGAATAAAAGGCACACACTGGACCAAATTATAGACAGCATTGTGCATTATAGCCTACGCCATAAGTACATATTCTTATTAAAATATTCTGTGGTGAAACTCTAAAGTCGGCTAACATGGTTCTCAGTCAAAGGCAATTTTGCCACTGCCTTCCTCCCACCCCTGACTCAGGGCACATTTGCTGATGTCTAGAGGCATTCTTCATAGTCACAGCTGGGGATGGGGGTGCTACTGGTGTCTAGTGGGTAGAGACCAGGGACACTGCTAACCATCTTACAAGGCACAGGACAGCCCCCCACAATAAAGAATTAAGTGCACAAAATGTCAATAGTGCCAAACTTGAGAAACTCCTGCTTAATGGGTGTGTGCCCTGCAGACTGCTGGGAAGATAAACCTTAAAATCCTGAAAGTGAAGACATCATGGGAAGGCTGACTAACCTAGATTTTGGGGTGGCTTTAAAATGCCTACAGATTCTTTGATACTCCTCTCCTCAAAAGATGGGTTCTAATTTCACTCTCCTCCAGTGTGGGCTAGGCTTAGTAACTTACTCTTTTTTTTTTTTTTTTTTTGTGATCAGTCTCACTCTGTCGCCCAGGCTGGAGTGCGGTGGCGTGATCTCGGCTCACTGCAACATCCATCTCCTGGGTTCAAGCGATTCTCCTGCCTCAGCCTCCCAAGTAGCTGAGATTACAGGTGCGCGCCACCACACCCAGCTAATTTTTGTATTTTTTGTAGAGACGGGGTTTCACCATGTTGGCCAGGCTGGTCCTGAACTCCTGACCTCAGGTGATCCTCCTACCTCAGCCTCCCAAAGTGCTGGGATTACAGGTGTGAGCCACTGCGCCTGGCCAAGACTTAGTAACTTATTTCCAATAAACAGAGTAAAGTGGGACTGATCATGCAGACCTCAGGGACTAGGTGCTGAAAAGCCAGGTGAGGCCGATTTCAAAATCCACACTAATGACCCTGCGCCACCCCGCATCTCTTTGTAGAACATTTATTTACATTCCTTGAGATTGCTTGAATTCTTTCCCCTCTGTCTTCTCACTAAGAACTCTGCCAGTGCTCCCCCTGCCCCCCATACACACACATGCTTTTAAAAATGCCCTTTATTATTGTTCTTTCCTGAAACTTAGTGTCTACATATTTCACTAGGGAGACTCAGAAAGCCCTTAGAGGAGTTGAATGCAGGAACTGTGAATTTAAAGTTTCTTCAAGACTCTTCCTCGTTCTCTTTCCCCTGGGTCTAGATGTGCAGCGATTCTGCCTGGCGACCTTCCTTCTCTCTCCGCATTCCCCGCCCCTCCGGAGCTCCATCTCTTCTGGCCAGAGTCCCGCATTCTCTCAGCCCCATTCCCCCTGGAAAGTGTGGAGTCTCCCTTGATATTGACACCCGTCATGGGGCTGTGCAGCTGTTCCCATGCAGCCAGCCTGAAGGCCTTCCAGACAGTGCTTGCATTCACCCACCCTCTGCATGGCACAGCCTGGCAGCTCCACAGGGCCTGGCACCCCAGGACTGTGGCTGAGGGTGGGGGTGCAAACTGGCATCTATGCTTCTTCTCCACCCCCACTCCTGACTCCCTAAATGTCTAGTAATTGAGAGTTAATAGCTAAGAAAGACAAGTACTTCCTTCCTGTGATCTAGAATGAACTGGGGGTGGGAGTGGGAAGATATTACATCTTTTTTTTTTCTTTGTGGTTGTAGATAACTATTCTCATCATATTATTTAGGTCTCATTTTGTTTGAGTGGCATAAATCCAATTCCGATTGGATTTGGCAGAAAGGGGAGTTTAATAACAGGGTATCAGGGTAAGCTCTAAGTAAGCTGAAGAAAGAGCAGGGATGCTGCCAGATGGGGTCGCCATGTACAGTTGTGCAGGCTGCATGCTGCACAACCCCAATGGCCACTATCTCACAGTGGCCAGATGAAGGGCACTTCCTGGAGCTATGCAGGATACAACTTGTCTAGCTATTCTGTGTCTCTACTCCAGGCTTCAGAAATAACTGAAAGCAGGGTCTCAAATGCTACCAAGACCCTGTCTGCATCTCTGAAATCAGCTTCTCCCTGGGTACTGGCGAAATCCCTCTCCCTGAAGAATGGTTTCATTTGGCTTAGCCTGAATCCAATTCCCATCCTGGACCCATTGTCTCTGCCTAGCAGGAGGCAAGAGATTTAAGAGCCTGGCCTCTGGGAATTTAAAGCTTTCAACCTCTACTTACTTGTCTTTATTTTCGGAACCTCCAGAGCCTTTCAGGCGCTAAGTAGCCAACAGTAGATGGGATGATGTGGAAGTAAAATTGCTACAACTCAGGAGTGGGTGTGAATTCAGCTAACCTCCTCCAGGACGTTCATCTGATGGGGCCTGAAGAGTTTTGGCAAAGTGGGAGCTACTCACCTATTTTGAGTATTCGGGGGGACCTTGTGATCCTTGCGCAGACATCTCCCAAGCTCCCTGTCTTGAAAGCAAAAGACACCAATTATCCCAAAGTAAGTGCCCAAGTAAGTGAGAGATGCTTGGGAACTGCCTCTCTCAAGGGGTCAGAGAGAAGAAACAACACTCTGGTTATGGTAAAGTTCTCTTTCTTCTGCCCGCTCCTGTTTTGTTTCTCCCCCAAGACAAGTTAGGCCGATGCACCCCTCTTGCCCTTTCTAGCCCCGATAGGACCCTCTTCATTCCTTTTAGAACCCCCAGCCTTTCACCCCAACTCCGATCAGCCACCGTGGCTCAGTAGTTTGAACATTAAAGCCAGGGAGAGACTCTCTGGGTGTCATGAAATCAAGGGGTTACCCTGAAAGGGCCAGGGGCGGGAGGTGTGTGGAATGAGGGAAAACAAATACAGCTGCCACGTGCCCTAAATGTTCTTGGATCATTTAATCCACACCTAACAAGGGAGTGCACGACTATTAATGACCAAAATAAATAGTAATCAATTATGATGATGGTAATTATGCTTTTGAAATTAGTCTGGGAAAGGATGACCGAGGCAATTTTTTATTCCAGCTCGGGAAAATGGGACGCCAGCTGGGGCTAATAAGAGCTTTCATTAAGACACTGAGATTCATCCAGGGCTGCGAAGAAAGCCCTCTCTGTCCCGAGGCCCGGCCTGGCCCTGACATGCCTTCTGCTTTTTAACAAGAACTGAAAGGTGGCGAGACAGTTCTTGCCTTGGCAGGGGGCGAAGTCGGCCTCTGAAAAGGCAGTGATTATTCTCCACGGCGCAGCGTGGGGAGTTTCGTTTCTTTGGCCTCCGGTCTCCACACGCTGGGGTTCCAGCACGGGTGATGTGTGCCTGGAGCCGATGGCGCCCGCGGGCTGCGGATGACCCCGGGCAGAGGGTCTGGCAAGGCAGGACGCGCCGGGCAGTTCGCAGGGACTGGCTGGGCAGGGAGACAGAGGGAGGAAAAAAAATGTGGTTTCTGTAAAAGGGGCTGTGTGTCCTTCCTCGCCTCGGGTTGCCCCAAGAGCTGCTGCCGAGATGGTCACTAATATTTACCTGCCAGCCCTTCCATCCCAGAGAGCATATTTACCCAGGCACAGGCAGCCCCGCCTCTTCACTCTGCTCCTGCATGCCCGGCGCCCTTGGGTCTTTCATGGAAGTCCTCTGCTGCTGGCTCCTGCCTCAGTTTCCCTCTCTGCCTCACTCTTTTTCTCTCTCTGTCTCTCTGCCTCTTTCTCTGCTTCTCTCTTGCTATTTAGAAACTAAAGAAGGCTTCTCACTTAGCCACCCAGTAGCACAGTCAACAGTTGTAGGGTTGGTGGGAGTAAAATCCCCTTCTCCCTCTTTTTAGTCCTGATAGAGACAATGAACAGGAGGCTCACCATCTAAACATAGATCCCAGTCTCAGCTTAATTCGAAGGCTCTCAGTCAAGAGTGAGTCCCCTTCCTTGGTCCCCCTACCCCAGGGACGTGGGAATTTTGCTTGTCATAACTGGGGTGGCAGATGCTACTGGCATCTAGTGGATAGAGAGGGATGCTGCTAGACACCCCACGATGCACACAACGAAGTATTAGCCCACGCAGAATGTCAATAGTGCAGGCTTAAGGGCTAAGTAAGCATCTAATCACCCCCTCACAGGCTGGCCTCCTGGAAGACTGTGTTGGGGGTGTGAGATCCTGAAGGCAACGTCCATAGCAGAGATCTCAGGAAGAAAACAGGGCCAGCCAGAGGCCTGGCCGCAGCCAGCGAAGTCAGCCAAGACAGTGACTCTGTCCCCTGGGAACAACACTGGCCAGTCAGATTAGCAGCTCCAGAGAAACTAAGGCATGTTTCCAGGGAAACTAAGGTAACAAGAGAAGATTGCAGAAGCTCTCTTCCTAACACCTCTGCAGGAGGTAGGAAGCTCCTCTTGTGTGGAAGAGAAGGACTTAGGGAGAGGAGAAAAGGGGGTTCCTTTCTAAGCCAGTTCAGGCTGATGTATGCTCAGAGTCTGGTGGACTCAGGAGACCCTCCCACGTGGCTCAGCGATGGCCTGGAGCTGGGAACAATCCTGAAAACATTGCCCTGTTCTCAACATTTATTTGGCAGCGGTATGTAAGGCTTGTGCCAGGTGGTCTGCCAGCTCTAATTCCATCCATAGGACAGGCTGCAAGATTTTCATTTCCACTTTACAGATGAGGCAACCATGGCTCAGGAAGATTAAGTGTCTTGACTTGAGGCCATTCGGCAAGCTGTGGGGGAGGTGGGGTAGGAACTGAGTCTCACATGAGATCACTCGGAGCCTCCCTGTAATCTGTATCTAAGGACTAGAGACCCAGAGGGGACTAGAGACAACAACATTGGTGGGTGGACTGAAGTGTGAGGCAGCAAAGTGAGCTCTAAAAGAGCCTAGGTGCTCTGGTCCAGGAAGATCTCGGCTGAGAGCAGCGAGGTCCAAGGTCTGAACTACATGAGGATCGTGGAGAGAGTGGACACAAACTCCATCACCAAATCTCCCATATCACAAATCTAAGTTGCACCCTTTGAATCTTTGACTAGGTCTCTGAGAGAGTAATCTTGTAGAACTCTTCAACTCAAAATCACTGTCAAAAATAGAGCTTATTGGCCGGGCGCAGTGGCTCACGCATGTAATCCCAGCACTTTTGGAGGCCAAGGCCAGCGGATCACCTGAGCTCAGGAGTTCGAGAGCAACCTGACCAACCTGGTGAAACCCTGTCTCTATTAAAAATACAAAAATGAGCTGGCTGTGCTGGCAGGTGCCTGTAATCCCAGCTACTTGGGAGGCTGAGGCAGAAGAATCGCTTGAACCTGGGAGGCAGAGGTTGCACTAAGCCAAGATCGCGCCACTGCACTCCAGCCTGGGCGACAAGAGTAAAACTCCATCTCAAAAAAAAAAAAAATTGAGTTTATTTAGACTGCACTTAAATCCTAGAGATTTGGGTGATGAGGGCAGGGATGATCCTGTACTGAGTGCCAACTATGCGGGAGGTGCTCTATAGACCTACACACAGATGAATTCATTACCTCTTCCCAGAATCCTACGAGGTACTGTGAGCCCCAGTTTTTCAGACCAGGGAACTGAGCTTCATAGAAGTTATATAATTTGTCCAGTGTTCCCCAGCCAGGTACGTAGCTGGTGACACTGGCATGTACCTGAGCATAATCCCCTGGTGCTAGGTGGTGTCCATCATTATCAAGCGGTACTGGGCTATAATGGAGACAAAGCCCCATTGGAGCTTCTGTCAGGGAAGATCCTCGAAGGATCCCACGACACTCCCCCTCCAACCCTGTGTGCTTCTGTCAGAGACAAAATCCTGAGGTACACACCCAGTAAGCCCTATTAGTAAGGCAGATGTTGGCTTCTAAAAAGCCCACACACACCAGGGTGACGCTGCTCTCCGTTTGGTGGACTCAGAAGAAAGGTCTGTCCTATTTTGTTTTCCACATTGACCCATTCCAGGGTCAGGAATTCTTCCATATAGACACCCTCAGGCTAAGCCAATTTTTTCTCTCCTGTACAGAGTGGAGATGGAGAACAGCTGGTGGCCACCGTCCCTAAAAATCTTTTATAAACCTGAAGACTCATATAATCAGTCTTCTCCAAGTGAAATCATCTCAGTTATTTTAAACTTTTCTCAGGGATTATATATTCTCCAAGTTCCCTTTACAAATGAGTTGAAGTTCTCTCTGTTCCTCTTAAGGAGCAGAGACCACAGTCAGCCGTAATGTCCAGCCTGTCACTCTGCAGAACAAGTGTTTTCTCACAAATGTTGGCAGAGTGGGGATTTCCTAATAAAGACAACACGGAAGAAACCGTGATGGGGTGAAAACCTCAAAGAGGCCTGAGTTCAAATCCTGACTCCCCCACTCCTCATACTAGCTCTGTGAATTCAGGACAATAAGCTGGGCTTGCAAGACCTTCATTTGTGTATCTCCAAAACAGAGGGAATGACCTTCCTTAAGACCCTAATGACATAATATAAGTTAAATGCTTGACACCTACCAGGAATCCTGTACCCAGTAGCTATTGTGACTTTACTATGACTTTACTTTTACACCCTCCATTCCCCACCATGAAGTATATAGTTGCTTCATTATTTACAATCCTTCAGAATCAAACAAGCAAACCCAATACTGGAAGTTCCTCCATGGCCCTGTTTGCATCCTAAAGAAGTGAGCCTTCCCTTCTGGAAGTGTTTGAACAAGACTGCTCATACCTCCAAGGGGTGTCTGGGAAAGGGTTCCTAATTTTATCGGGGATGGGCTTGGTAGCCTCTTAAAATTCCTTTCAACTCCGAGATTCTATTTAGAATCCAAGTCAACCCAGGCTCTTATCTCTAATCCATTTTTCCACAAAGAAATTCAAGCGGATTTTCCATGAGGGAAATGCAGGAGATGTTACTCTGTATCCCCCATAGAACAGTTCCTCCAGTTCTTATTAGACATGCCTAGTGCCCAAGCTCCCCTCTCTCATGCTTCCTCTGATGATATTCCTCTTCCAAGCTTCCCCACAAATGCTCCGTCTCCTTTCTGTTGGGTCAAGCAATGCAGCCTTTCCCCAAAACATGTCTTCCCCATCCTGGTTAACCGTGGCTAGCTAACAGAATACACATCCTTAGCAGGCAGTCTAGAGACTGGAGAATGGCCTTTGGGGTCTGACTGTACAACCACAGAGACGTATCTGTGAATTCATGTCCTCAACACACACAGTTGTTTTTAGAGAAATTTCTCTAAGACAGTTTCCTCCATCTTCTTGCAGACAAGTAATGACTCCTGTCTCCACTTCCAAGAGCTTTCATCTCCCCCCTGTAAAAAAATTATGTTACCAAATATCTATATTTGTATAATATTTTTGAAATTTTCTTGCACTTTTTATCTATTGACTTTATGATACTTTTTGTCTGGACATTTGTAACATCTAATGTCAATGCTGTAGCATTACAGTTGGCCCATAGTTGCCACCAGCTTATACAGTTTTTGATAAATCAGCATGAAACATATTTTAAGATTGAGGTTTCAGTTTATGAGGAATGAATTAGCTGCATACTTCTCTGCTTTGAGAAACTCAAAATTTACTGAATATCCTGCCAGTAAGAGAGTAGCTGAACTAGACTCCCTCTTTCCAAGGCTCTAGTTGACAACACACTTTCACAGTTGACTTACAATGTGAGGATTTCTCAAAGAGATCCCTTCCCCACAGCACAGTTCGGCCTCATTCAGTTATTTCCACCAGGTTGTAGTCAGCAAATGTTCCCAACTCCTCTTGGGTCACATCTCAGGGAAACCTCCAAGGGCAGCGAGACCCTGGATGCAGCAATTTTGTTATTAAAGTGCAGGTGTGGCCCTCTGTTGAAGGAAGTTGGCCTCCTGACTTGGGAACGCAGCATGATTCCTTCTCAGCCAGGAGACAACTGCCTGAGCCGGACGTTGCCCTCTGGTGTTGTCCAGGTAGGGAAACTCCTGGCTCCTTGTAAATCCTCTTCAGGGTTAGATTTCTTAACAGCAATTGCAAAGCAGCTTTGGGGCGAGTCAAGTAAACTGGCATTGGACGGCACTTGAAAAGTCATCCTGGCTAACATACTGCTTCCACTCAGGACTGAGACTTAAATGAAAGTGGGTGGATTTCACCAGGAGCAATTTCTTCCCCAATCCTGGCAGCTGGGTGGAGAGGTGGGCTGTAGTGACTTAGAGGGGAGAGTTTGTGAACAGCCTTTTTAGTGCACTTTGTTAGTGGCCTCATAAAGCTGCTACACAGAACTTCATTTTGGTAGAAAATACCATGATACAACATAGCTTGCTGAGTGTTCAAATCCCTTCCTTTCATATTTCCTTTCTGCATACCCTTCACCTTTACCCACTTGCATTAGCAGGCAATCTTCTCATTCCTACCAAATTTCTCAGTCAAATCAGAGAAGTTAGTCTGTGAGCGGAAATCATGTCAGAGGCCCCTTGAAAAAGAGATACTGTTTCATGGTTCTGGAGTATCCAGGTACCACAAAAGCTTTGGTGCCCCGTGTGTTTACGTAGTCACACAGTAAGAGGATGGAAGGGGTCCCCGAAGGAAACCAAACCCACATATGAACAGAGTTTAAAGGTTCATACTGGGTAGGTCACGGCATCTCATATCTGTAATAGCAGCTGCTAAGGAAGCCAAGGCAGATGGATCGCTTGAGGCCAGCAGTTTGAGACCAGCCTGGGCACCATAACAAGACACCCATCTCTATAAAAAATAAATAATGAAATAAAATTAATAAAATATAAAACATAAAGGTGCATGCTGATTCATTCCAATATTCCCTCCCCATTTACTCAACTGCTGTTATTGAGCCCCTGCTTGGTTTCAGGCTTGTTGCTGTAGGCTGAGGACTCTGACGTGGGGAGCACCCAGTTGCTGTGTTTCAGATACCAATTGCTGCATAACAAACTACGCCAACACTTAGCGGCTGAAAACAATCATTTCATTATGTTCCTATGTTCCCTGGGTCTGGAATTTAGACAGGGTACTGCAGGGTTGGCTCCTAGATGTCTGGAACCTCACTTGGGAAGACTTGAAGCCTGGAGGAGAGTTGACAGCTATAAACTGGAATTTTCTAAAAGTCTGCATTGGAATGACCTAAAGCTAAGCCTGCAGAACACAGCACCTGCACGCAGTTGCTCCATACGGCTTGGCTTTCCTTTAATGTGGTAACCCAGGGTTCAAAGGATGAATGTCCCAAAATGAGGAAGCCGTATTATCCTTTGGTCAGTAATCGCTTCACTGTATTCTATCGGTCAAAGCCATCACAAGCTTACATACACACATACAAGGGGACATGGACACCACCTCCCCATGAAAGGAGAGTCAAGGTCACATTATGGAAGAGCATGTGTGATGAAACATCTTGGCACAGCCACCATTGAAAAATAAGACTTGCCACCCACTGTTCATGGCCACAGTCAGAAGTGCCCCTGGGTGCATCACACCCTTGTGTGCAATCGTCACCATTCATTCATTCATTCACTCACTCGCTTCTGTGTAACCCAGGAGGCAGCCACAGCCTCATCAATTTTTGAAATCACAATAGAACTACCTACAGTTCCACAGCCCTGGAAAGCCTGAGCCTCTCCAAGATTCCTGCAATCTTCCCTTCTCCCTTGCTAAGCAGGAGTGGGACTGTGCAAATGGAGGTGTGAAACAACCATTGGTGGTGGAGGGTGAGAAAGAGTGGATTTCCATTGCATACTTCATGCAAACAGCTTTAAAACTCATATGAGGTTGATGATGTTCTCCATCATCCTTTCCCAAATCCCCCACAACACACACACACCCCACATGGGACTTCTCCCCATTTCCACCTGGCCAGCAGCCCCCAGCATCTGTGGCTTCTCTTCCCATTGTCCAATCCCCAATCCCCACAAGCCACACTGGGGGTTCCTCGCTTTCTTCACCTCTGTTTGCAGAACTCTGCCTCTTCTCCCAGATGTGCTCGCAGAAGCTTTTCAACATGCTGAGCAGAGCTAACATCTTTCTAAGACTGCAGCCCACCCATCTGAGAGAGCATTTCAATCTTATCGAGTGCTGCTAACTGATACTCATTTAACAGACATTGGTTGGGCACCTACTGTGCACCCAGCACTGGATGGTGTAGTGGACATAGGATTATACTATATACCTCTCTGAATTATATGGTGAAATGGCTGCTTTTACCTTATTGTTAGAAGGATGTCTGGAAATATTATTAATGTTATGTTGTTATTATTATTATACTTTTTGCCTTGACAGAACGCTTTCACTTCTGCAAGAGATGTTGCCATAGGCTATGAGCTCTACTCCCCTGGCTTCAGTCATTTGCAAGTCAGCTTTATGATTTTTGCTGTACATGTGTACCACCTGCATTTTATTAGCTTTATGTAAGTCTTTAAAATGACTCACTTTCTCTACTTACAATTTTAAAAATTTTACATCATTACCGTAAATGGAAAACTATAATTCCTCACCATAAATGGAAGGCAACCCTAACATTAAATTCCATTTTAAAACTACCCTATGAAATTTTAGCTAAATACAGACACTTGAACCTGTGCCTGCTCTCTCTTTGTTAAAAAGGGAGCATAGGACGTATTGGAAAAGCATGAAAGACAACCTAGCACCACACTGAAACATACTCCTTGGTGTAATCCACATAGCTATAAAGGGAAGAGTGTTCTCTCTGAGGAATATAGTATAATTTAATGTCACCTCTGTGCACCATCTACCATCGTCTCAGGTAACATCAGTGATTTTCACCTAAATCAGTTACAATGGCCAGGTTCTGCTGCAGTAACAAACAACCGTCAAACCTCAGTAGCTTAAAACACAAAAATTATCTCTTTTCCATAGCCACTGTGGGTTGGCAAGGTTCCAGCTCATTCTTGTTGCCCCAGATCCCAGGATGGCAACCACAGTCCTGAATGCTGAGGTTCACTATGTCAGAGGGAAAGGAGAGTGTCATGAAGCATTGCACTGCCTCTGAATGCTTCTGCCCGGTAGTGAATACACACTCCTGCTCACTCTTCCATGGCAAGGGTGAGTCACATTGCTAGTCCTGACTTTACTTGAGCAGGAAGTACAACCTACCACATCCCAGGACAGACAGCTGGCATATCTTGTAAACAGCCACACTGACTTCCATCCCACCCCATGCACTGAAAACACTACCGCAACTAGTTGGGCCCCAGCCTCTCCAGGGACAGCGATCTCTACACAGCCCCCATACCCAGACAAACCAGACCACTCCTCATTCCCTGGTCAGACCCTGCACTGGCCTTCTCCCCACCTCTATCCACTGCCTGCCCCATCTCGACCAGAACGCCCTCTCCCTGCCTCCCATTCTACTTACGCTTCCAGGTTCCACCTGCTCCTGAGGCTTTGGAAGCCCCCAAAACTGAAAGCCATCCAAGCTGGAAGGGTTGGGCCCCCTCATTTTAGAGCAGGGTTTTTCTCCTCAACACTGCTGACATTTGGGGCTGGATAATTCTTTGTTGTAGGGGGCTGCCCTGTACATTGCAGTAGGTCTAGCAGCATCCCTGGCCTTTGCCCACTAGATGCCCATGGCAGCTCCTCCCTCCAACTGACCAACTGTGACAACCAGAAATGCCTCAAGACATTGAACGTTTGCAGAGGGGACAGGATTTCCCTCAGTCAAGAACCATTGTTTTACAAAGTAACCAAGAGAAACTAAATACTAAATACTGTGTCCAAGGTGACATGGTGAGTTAATGACCAAAGGGACTAAAGGAATCTGAGCTCTGGTGCCTGGAGGGCAGGCTGGGCAAATAAATGAGGAAAATGGGCTGGCTCATATTCTTTTGACACATTTGTTGTGTCTATTAAACACTTCCAGAAAGACATATTCTCTTTCATTAAAAAAAAAAAAAGGCCGGGCGCGGTGGCTCACGCCTGTAATCCCAGCACTTTGGGAGGCCGAGGCGGGTGGATCACGAGGTCAGGAGATCGAGACCATCCCGGCTAAAATGGTGAAACCCCGTCTCTACTAAAAATACAAAAAATTAGCCGGGCGTAGTGGCGGGCGCCTGTAGTCCCAGCTACTTGGGAGGCTGAGGCAGGAGAATGGCGTGAACCCGGGAGGCGGAGCTTGCAGTGAGCCGAGATCCCGCCACTGCACTCCAGCCTGGGCGACAGAGCGAGACTCCGTCTCAAAAAAAAAAAAAAAAAAAAAAGTAATGACCTAGACTTCTTGGTCTGTCTTTCATTTTTCAGCTTTTGATATAAACAAGAGGATAAGAAATATCTCATTTTCCTGGAGTTCTATCATAAGAAAGAGAGTGATGTCAATCCACTGACAACAGGGCTACTGGCAATGTAAAGAGAGAGAGGCTAGAGAATGGTGAGACTGTAAAACTGAGAGCAGGTGCCCCATCTGATAGGCCAAGTATTGTAGCTAGTTGTCCGGATCTTTCTAATGAGGCGAAATCCGGATTTGAATGAGAGATCCCTTGATTTTCAGAAGCTGGAAAATAATTTCTTTTTTTAAAATCTCCAAGCCCAAACTATGGATCATGCAAAATACCAGGCTCAACACTTGGATCATCCAGGTCGGCCACCTCTACATTACACAAGCAACCGTGTTGTTTACTGGTGCAGACATCTGTCACAGCCACAGCTCACACCCTGCCCTGGGTGTCAGAGGCATCTAAGGGGCTTTGAACACTCCTGAGACATAGGCCTGTTGAACTGAAAGCACCCAGTGTGGGCCCCAGGGACCCGTGTCTTTGAAAACCTCCCAGATGATTCTGCTATACAGGTTTGGAAACCACTTCTCCCACTCCCTTCCACTCTCCTCCCCAGACCATGAGCTCCTTGTGGGAAGAGGGGAGGGGGGCAGCATCTCATTCATTCATGTTCAGCACCAGCATGAACCTGGCACAGAGGAGATGCTCCTTAAAACTTCACTCATTCAAACCGAATCACTGGGAAGTTTGAAGGAGTCATTGCTTCCAGGCTTTTTTCTTGAATCTCATTAGAAAAAAAAAAAAAATCTCTTTGGTATTTGGTTGCCACATTCTTGTATCAACACCAAGGTTCGTCGGAAGAAAGATGGTCATGGCGGGCAGGAAAGGTGATGGTGAGCAAGTGGTGTTATTGCCATTACAATAACTTAAAAGGAGAAAGTATTTTTAAAAATTACATATATATATATTTGAGATGGAGTCTCACTCTGTCACCCAGGCTGGAGTGCAGTGGCACCGTGTCGGCTCATTGCAACCTCCGTCTCCCGGGTTCACGCAATTCTCCTGCCTCAGCCTCCTGAGTAGCTGGGATTACAGGCGCCCGCCACCAAGCCCTGCTAGTTTTTATATTTTTAGTAGAGATGAGGTTTCACCATGTTGGCCAGGCTGCTCTCGAACTCCTGACCTCAGGTGATCCACCCACCTCGGCTTCCCAAAGTGCTAGGATTACAGGTGTGAGCCACCACACCCGGCCTAAATATTTTTAAAGATTTGAAAAGGAGAAGTAATTTTAAAAGGGGAAAGTCTATGAAGTGGCTTCAGTTCCAGGAAGGCTGGATGGACTTACCTCTGGCCAAGCCCTCAGTCCCGGACAAGACTTCCTCTGGCTCCTTAGAGGGCAAACAAGTTGTGGCTACTTCTCACGTGGGCCTCTGTGGGGAGAGACACTCCTTCAGCATCATTTATTGAATCCAGCAAATTTTAAACCCATCCAACCACAGTTCCAGCAGTTCCATACCTGGAACTTCCTTTTGAGATATGTTAAGATAAAGGTACGAAGACGTAGGCACAAGAATGTCTGTTGTGCAGCATTATTTGAAGTAGCACAGCCGTGGACAAGAGCTGGGTGTCCATCAATGGGGCATTGGGTGAAACTGACTACAGTCCACCAGTATGACTGGAGACTGGCCAACCTTTACCAGAGCTGGGCAGAAGTCACCCGGTCAGCCCTGCTAGTCTCTGTCACTGAAACTCACTCACGTCTCCCACAGCCCTTGCTACCATCTGCATTTGCCAACATATTCGCCTCTTTACCTGGTCACCGTTTCTTTTCAGTCTCAAACTCTAGATTATAATTTTCACAGACACAAGCACCATGCTCGCTTTGTGAGCATATCTGAAGGTACTAATATGAGACCTGTAGAAAGGTGGGAAAATGGTGTCGTGTTGGGGCCAGGCACCATGCTGAGGCTGGAGTAAAGGAATCAATGGAGCTGTGGAGCACCCAGGAAGCAGTGACCTCAGGAGGCCCCTGCCATGCCTCAGCCTCAGGGGCCTGGGGAAGGGAAAAGTTTCCCGGAGTCCAGTGGGAGCTGGAGCTGTGGCCTCCGGGGAGTCCCACCACTTTGAGAACCACAGGCAGCTAGGGAAGAAGCAGGAGGGAAAGGAGGCAGAGTACATACCTTGGCCTCTCTCACCACCTGCCCTTCCATCCCCCAGCAGTGCCTCCCACCAGCCAACCCACCCAGAAGCCAGAGGCCATGGGGGCAGGGTGCTGCCACCTGTAGGGGTTGGCCTCCCAGACACAGAGCAGGGCAGGAAGGAAAGACAGAGAATAGTTCCCGGGCCAGGGGAGGGGAGGCAAAGGGAGAAAGACCACTGTAAGTGTGGTTTCTGTAAAAAATACATATGTGTCTTTTCATGGTCTTGAAAACATCTGGAGACACACAGCAAACCACCCATCTCCAGCAGCTTCCTCTGGGGAGTGGAATTTGGAGGTGGAGGAGGTGTGAGAAGGAGAGGCGGATGTGACTTTGTGCACTTTTGTACTCTGGGAATCTCTAACAATGAGCACATACCTTTAGAATAAAAAGTGTCATCCTCGACTCTGCAGTGCTAGCCCCTGGAAATGCCAAGGAATGGACTCCTTTGCTGACTTTGTAGACCAGGCAGAGTCCCTCTGTGAGCTGCTCCCAGAGCTGGTGGGGAGAACCGCCGGGGCACAGGTGTGGAGGCTGGAAGGGGGTGTGGTGTCTGGGAAGGGCCAGCAGAGTGTCATGGCTGTGCTGCAGACATGAGGGCAGGGCAGGGGCTGAGGCCAGATGGGGAGGTCAGCACATTCCCCTGAAGGGCCCTGAACACCAGGAGGAGGAGAAGATTCATTCTGGTTTAGAAGGTCCTGTACTTCTGAATTCAGACAGTCGGGAGCTTCGTTCCCAGCTCTGCCACTTGGCTGCAGCCCTTGGGCAATTCATATCACTTTTCTGAGCCTCAGCTTCCTCACCAGGAAGATCTCTACCTTGCAGAATTGCTATAGGATTAAGTGAGATATACGCATGTACCTAGTACCTAACTGACCTTCACTAGATCACTGGCATTGCTGTTACTGTCATTGCTGTTACCATAGGCCAGGGTCACAGTGGATGCTAACCTGAAGTCCATCTGCTCAACTGGGATCCCAGGGAGACAGATGTAAAGGCCCCAGGGTGAGGCAGTTGAAGTTGTGCATTCTATGGTCACATAGTGTCCCCTCACCGCAGCCAGCTGTCTTTCAGCCTGTAAACAGATGGCGGGCGGGGTGACCAGTGAGGTTGTGCAGATGGCACTGAGCAAATCAAGCTACACTTTTGGGAAAACAAGTCAGAGGCAGGGCTTGCTGATGAGGGCCCTGTGGACAGCACCGTCTATGACAGACAGCACATCCGGCGATGCCTCCAAGGAAAATCATGAGACGTACCAGATCATGGCGTGCCTCGCCAAGAACTATCTCCACCCTCAATTTCCATGGCCCATTGCCATGGAGACATTGCAGATGGTTGGAAGTCACCCTGCCAGGGTTCATAGTGTAGACTGTGTAGGCCCTCAAGGTCTGGAATCTCAAAAAGCATTGTCTTCTCCACTCCCCTCCCTGAGTTCTTGCCTGGATTCAAGCCTCCTTCATTGCTTCCTTCATTTGTATGCCCCCCACTTCCAAGGACCTTGGGAGAGATGTAGAGCCAGGAAGACATGGATGTTTGGACATGGAGCTGCTGCTCACGTGATGTGGCTGGGAGGATGGAGGGTGGGTCCACCCATGGCAGCATGTCCAAGAGGGCCTTGTGCTGAGAAGCCAGACTCTGGCTTGGACCACCTTTACAGCACTCTCCTGCCACTTCCTCTACACTCCCTGCCTCTGCTCCCTCTGAACTTGTTCCTTGAACAAGCCAAGTTCTGCCAAGACCATGCCTTGGCACTTCTCTCTCTTCTTTACCCAGATGATTCCTTCCTATCTGCCAAGAGCTAATGCAGAGGTCACATCCTCTGAAAGCTTTCTCTGCTCTTTAACAGAGGTAACAATTCCCTCCTGTGTGCTGCACTGTACTGGGTACAGACCTGCTCTATAGCACTTACCATATTCTTCAGCCATGTCTGAAACTACTCACACCTCTGCAACACACACACACACATGCACACATGCACATACACACAGGCACGCACGTATTCACACATGTGCACACACGTGCACACACACGTGCACACACAGCAACTTTCTCCACCTTCCACTCTAAGACTGGCTCCAAAGCTTTTACTAAAAAGGTGGGCACTCTTGATTTTCACCAAGAGCTTGCAGGGCCATTCAAAACCTAGGCTTATACTAATACTTATGCTAATATTAATATTCATATTAACACCTCTCAATTTCTAAAAACAAAAACCAACATATATATCCATGGAGGAAGCATCGTCGCTTGCATTATCTCTAATGATGGGAATAATTCCACTGGGTATCCACTATTATTATCCTTATTTTACAGATAAGAAATCTGCAGGCCAGAGAGGAAAGGTGACTTTCTCAGTCACCCAGCTCGTGATGGCTGATCTGGCTCCAAGGGTTGACATCAGCCCCCAAGTACCTCTCTTTCTTTCTTCCTTTTTCTTTCTTTCTTTTCTTTCTTCCTTCCTTTCTTCCTTTCTTCCTTTCTCTTTCTTTCTTTTCTTCCTTCTTTCTTTTCTTTCTCTCCCTTCCTTCCTTTCTTTCTTCCTTTCTTCTTTCTTCTTTCTTTCTTTCTTTCTTTCTTTCTTTCTTTCTTTCTTTCTTTCTTTTTTTCTTTCAGGTGCCCTTCCTGCTCCTGGCCATGCCCACACCTTACCTGCTGAGCTTACACAAAGCCAGTGCCCCCCATCTTGTGTGATGGAGCAAGAACTTCTCTGAGAAGTTTGTTTCCCATGATAGAAACTTCCTCAGTCTTCCTACTTCTGCTGCTCACTTCTGCTGCTTTAAATGCTTATAGCAATTTATTTTCACAGGGACGTTCCGCATGTCCACGTCTCTGTGGTCATCCAGGCCTTCAGTGCACATGGGCCCAGCGGTCTCTCAGTGTCTTCTTGAAACCTTCAGCATCTGTGCAGGGCCCTGCTAACCTTGCTTCCATCCTACTGCACCCGGTAGGCATGGATGCAGAAGGAAATGAGCAAGTTGGGTATGAGATTTTTTACCTAGCATCTCCCCATCCCCACCCCCAGTTCCTGGTAACTACCATTGTACTGTCTGCTCCCACGAGTTCGATTTATTTTAGATTCCACAAGTAAGTGAAATCATGCAGTATTTGTCTTTCTGTGTCTGGCTTATTTCACTTAACATAATGTCCCCCAGATTCATCCATGTTGTCACAAACGACAGCATTTCCTTTTTTTGTGTCTGAATAGGATTCCATTGTGTATACGTATACCACATTTTCTTTATCCGTTCATCTCTCAATGGACACTTAGGTCGTTTCTGTATCTTGGCTATTGTTAATAATGCTGCAATAAACATGGGAGTGCAGACATCTGTCAAGATACTGATTTTATTTCCTTTGAATATTGCATTAGTCCATTCTCACACTGCTATAAAGAACTACCCAAGACTGGGTCATTTATAAAGGTAAGGTGTTTAATTGGCTCATGATTTTGCAGGCTGTACAGGTAGCATGGCTGGGGAGGCCTCAGAAAACTTTCAATGGTGGTGGAAGGCAAAGACGAAGCAGGCACATTTTACATGAGCAGAGCAGGAGGAAGAAAGAGTGAAGGAAGAGGTGCTGCACACTTTTAAACAACCAGATCTCATGAGAACTCACTCACTGTCATGAGAACAACGAGGGGAAGGTCAGCCCCCAAGATCCAGTCGCCTCCCACCAGGACCCTCCTCTAACATTGGGGTTTGCAATTCAACATGAGATTTGAGTGGAGACACAAATTCAAACCATACCAGACATATATCCAGAAGTGGATTTCTGGATGATGTGATAGTTCTATTTTCAATTTTTTGAGGAACTTCCATACTGTTCTCTATAATGGCTGTACTAATTTATGCTATCCCATTATCAATGTAACGAGGGTTCCCTTTTCTCTACATTTTCTCCAACATTAGTTTTCTCTCTCTTTTTTTTAATAAAAGCTATTCTTACAGGTGTGAGGTGATCTCATTATAATTTTAATTTGCTTTTCCCTGATAATCAATGATGTTGAGCATTTCTTCATAGACTGTACCTGTTGGCCATTTGTGTGTCTTCCTTTGGGAAATGTCTCTTCAGATCCTTTGCCCATTTTTTCATTGGGTTATTTGTTTTCTTGCTATTTGTGTTCCTTACATGTTTTGGATAGTAACTCCCTATTGGATGTATGGTTTGCAAAGGGTCTGAGATTCTGCGCAGTGCCTCTGAACTCTGGCTTCCTGGGTTGAAGCTCAGCTCTGCTGCCTGCCACCCTACTAACCTTGGGCAAGTATATTCTCTCTGTGACTCTCACTTCTCTCCTCCACACATTAGGGATAATAATATGCCCTGCACCTTAGCATTTTTGTCATGAAAAAAAGAGGCAAATACAGAGATCTTGGTACAGGCTGTCTGATGTATTAAGTGTTCATTAAATGCTAGCTTATCATATTTTAAGAAGTGTTTATGTGCCAGGCAGTCTTCACAGTAGGTTGGAGGCAGGAGGCCCAGAACCACAATTAGATCATTTTGATGTGGTGTCAGTGCCAGGATGGGAAACCTGCTGGGATGGAGTGGCTTTCACCCATCGCAGGTTTCAGATGAGGCTATCCAGAGGAGAGGGCACCAACTGAGACCAAAGGAGGGAGTACCTGCTTCACACTGTGCAGTGTTTTGAGTTATTCTGAAATTGTTTCTCCCATGGATTTTTTTAATTTTACTCTAAGTTCTGGGATACATGTGCAGAAGGTGCAGGTTTGTTACATGGGTATACATGTGCCATGGTGATTTGCTGCACCTATCAACCTGTCATTTAGGTTTTAATCCCTGCATGCATTAGGTATTTGTCCTAATGCTCTCCCTACCCTTGCCCCCCACCCCCCGGCAGGCCCCGTTGTGTGTTGTTCGCCTTCCTGTGTCCATGTGTTCTCATTGTTCAACTCCCACTTATGAGTGAGAACATGTGGTGTTTGGTTTTCTGTTCCTGTGTTAGTTTGCTGAGAATGATGGCTTCCAGCTTCATCCATGTCCCTGCAAAGGACATGAACTCATTCTTTTTTTATGGCTGCACAGTATTCCATGGTGTATATGTGCCACATTTTCTTTATCCAGTCTATCATAGATGGGTATTTGGGTTGGTTCCACATCTTTGCTATTATAAATAGTGCTGCAATAAACATACGTGTGCATGTGTCTTTATAGTAGAATGATTTATGGATTTATTTTATCTTTTCCAACTTGAAGTCTTGAAGCCATCTCAATTACAGGTGTTCACTGTGTCTTACTCCTTTGCTTTCTCACTGCAGCCCACCATTAGGGGTAACGTTGCATCACTGATAGCTATGCTTTATTGTATTCAGCTAAAGGCCTATTTTTCCTTTGATATTTAGAAGAGAAAGAAGGAGGAAGAGATCAAGCTTCACTTGAAGGAGCACCTGCAAGTGCCAGGCATCTCAGCTATGTCAGTTTCAAGCCACATGGTAGGTCTCCAAGATAACCATGCTATCATCTCCATTTTACAGATGAGAAAACTGAGAGTCAGAGAGGAAATGCACCCAAGTTGACATAACCAGAGACGACACAGCTGGGGCCAGTTCTCAGGTTCATCTTAGCCCTAGGCATCCCACAAATGCCAAAAACACCATTTCACATCATTATGAAATTTAAAAAGAAGACCATGCTACATCACAGAGGAAAATTAGGTTCAGCCCACAGTGGTTTCTACAATCATTTTCATCTAACTCAGTTCCCTGTCATCCCTCTGATCATCTCTGATCTCAATAATCAGTCAGTATGTTAATGGCACCCTTTCCATGTGCCAAAATGGCATTATATTTGCTTCTCTAAGTTCCATTCAAGAAGTTGAACTTCATTTGCTTCCCTTTATCTTTCCCTCTTTGGTTTGTCTCTGGCCTGGATGTAGTGCTTGAGTGCTGGAAGTCATTCCACAGCTCCTGGCAGCACCTCCACCTTGGCCTTCCCAAGACCCTTCTCACCTGGCATCTGCCAAACCAGGGATGTGCACCCAAAGGGGCAGAACGGACTGGTCGGCCCCACCAGGCCCAAGTCAATAGAACACAGAGCCCAAGGCTTAATTTAGAACCCCCTCCCCACAACCATGTGCCTTGACACACATGTTTGTGGCTATCTTTCTGGTGTGGGGATCTCTGCCAAGGTTATTTTCATGCTGACTGACACCTCTGTCTATTCCGGGAGAATATCTCAGGAGAGAAGCGGCTCGTGCCCAGGTCCCAAGACCTCTGGAATGTAATATTGGACCATCTATGGCACGCTGGTTTTCTGGGTGGGAGCCTCTCTGTTGTGTACTCTGTAAAGACCTGGAGGAGTTTTCTGCCTGTCACATGTTAGCAGGACCTTGATGCTCCCAGCTTCTGCTGACCCACATTTTGAACCAGTTGATCCATCAACACAAACTATAAAAAGGAATGAGGGCTGGGCGCAGTGGCTCACGTGTGTAATCCCATCACTTTGCGAGTCTGAGGTGGGTGGATCACTTGAGGTCAGGAGTTTGAGACCAGCCCGGCCAACATGGTGAAACCCCGTCTCTACTATAATACAAAAATTAGCCGGGTGTGGTGGCACACGCCTGTAATCCCAGCTACTCGGGAGGCTGAGGTGGGAGAATTGCTTGAACCCAGGAGGTAGAGGTTGCAGTGAGCTGAGGTTGCGCCACTGCACTCCAGACTGGGTGACAGAGTAAGACTCTATCTCAAAAAAAAAAAAAAAAAAAGGAATGAAATACTGATGCATGCTACAATATGAATGAACCTCAAAACATTATGCCAAATGAAAGAAGCTAGACACAGAAGGCCACGTATTATATATTCCATTTAGATAAAATATCCAGAATAGGCAAATCTATAGAAACAATGCCTGCAGATTGATGGTTGCAGGTGCTGGGGAAGAGGGGAATAGGGAGTGACTGCTTAAGCGGTTCAGGGTTTTCCTGTGGGGTGATGAAAATGTTTTGAAACTAGATAGAGGTGGTGGTTTCATAGCATTGTGAATGCACGAAATGTCACTGAATTATCTACCTTAAAATGGCTCATTTTATGTTATGTGGATTTCACTGCAATTTAAAAAGTACCTGAATCACTGCAGAAAAAAATTTGATATGGCCAACGGTGTTACATACGTGCATCAGGATGTGGAATAATTACAGTAAGAAATCAGAATAAAAGGAGAATGGGGGTAAAAAAGGAAAATGAATCCTGGGTGTGGTTAATGCCCAAGCTGGAAGCCTTTAGCTCTTATTCGGTTGTAAGAAGCGGCTACAAATCCAACTTGAGATTCCCAGCAGCTGAAGCAAAACAGAAAATATAAGTTTTTCCAAAATTTGCAGTGTCTAAAAATAAAATGTGTTGGGTGTTCAGAAAATGCTCTATTAAAGGTTGGGATAATTTTCTCCCGGGGTGCCCAAAGGTCCCCTGTGGAGTGTGAGAGGTCCAGGCTCCTGCTGACGATGGGGCCTCTTGCAGACTCCTGTGTCTGGCCACTCACACGCCAAGGCTGGAAAAAAAACAACCCTCTCTGGGAAGAAGCAGCCTTGGCCATCGTTTCCAGTCCACTCCTTCCAAACCCATGAAGGAGGCGATCTCATTCAGAAAATTGGGGGATCCGTGGACCCCCGAAATAACAAAAAATGTTGTCTAGAGCCCATCATGCATCAGTCCCTTCACCAAATATCTGATGGGTAACTATGGGTGTGCTCAGCTCCACTGAGACCCCCGGGATGAGGGGCCCCCGGGATGAGGCTCCCTTCATGAGGCAAAGCACACCTCATGAAGCTTCCCTCCTAGGAATGAGAGGTAGACATTATTTTTTAAAGATCACTAAAGTATATCGTTGTTAATAGTGTGTGGTAGGAAGAAAAAGCAGAGGAAGCTATACAAAGGAGTGACTCATCATGGCAGTGCTTAGAGAAGGCTTCTCTTAGGAGCCTGACATTGGAAATGAGACCTGAAGGAAGAGTGAGACCATCAAAGAGAAGGGAAGGCTTCCAGACACAAGGGAGGAGCCCTGAGGGTGCCAGGAAGTAAAGGAGGGGCAGTGTTCTTAAGACACTAAGTGACAGAAAGAGTGAAGGGAAAAAAAGCTAAAGAGGTGAGCAGGGACCAGGTTAAGGTGGATTGAAGAGGAGGAGAGGAATGTGGGGTCACAGGAATGTCACATCCACCCACCCTGGAGTGCAGATTATTCAGACAGATGGCCACCAGGATGGGGAAGGAAGCCAGCTTCAAGGACCAAGGAATGTTGGGATGTTGGTTCATGCATCAGCCCCCAGGTATAGGAAGGAAGATTCCAGAATGAACCAGCCCCTTGTTCCACTGGTAACATCGGCCTGGAGAGTTCTTACTCTCACCTGGGAACCTTTCCTGGCTATATCTCTATGCACCTTTGGAATGTGTACCCAAAGGGATGTTAACTTTTCTTTAATGTTTACCTCCAATATCTGTAGGATCTGTCCTTACATCCAAGGCAGCCTGGAGAATGCTGTTGGCTTCCATAGCGACCATTTACTGAGCCTTTGATACATGTTTGAGCCTTGAGACATCACAAGTACTGTGTGAGATAGGTATTATTAGCCACATTTTAAAGATGAGAAACCTGAGGCTGAAAGAGTCTAGAGTGTTTGCTTATGTGACTCAGGTATGTGAAAAATCCAGATTTGAGCCCAGGTCTTCTTGACCCCTCAAATTGTTGCCTGTCAACCACAGTTCACTGACCATCTATCTGATGACCCCTGAGGTCTCCCATGGTATACCTTCAAGAACTCTCAATCTTAGGTCCCATCTACCCCTCCAACCAGCTAGGAAACCTTAAGAAAGGAACCAGATGATTATTTCTTTTTAAAATGAATGAGTGTCTGACTTTGGGCATCCAAAACACATTCCTCCACACTTTAGCCCCTTGAGGTTCTCCATGAGAAAGAAATCCCATGGTCAAATCCACTGGGGCAAGCCTGCATACTCAGTCTCTATCTTGGTGATTCACAAGTGGTTAAGGCTTTGAGAAACCTGGCAGTAGAGACCTGTGGCCTTGTGCACTCTGGCATTCTCTACATCTGTTTGACCATGGAATCCTATTGGTGTGCAGTTTCTGCAGTCTTCCTAGGAAACCACATTCCCATGCACACACTTTGAGCATCACTAAGTTTGAACATTTAAGTCCTGATTTCTGTCTTCTGTGTACCACACTGGGCTCTGGAAAAAAATCTAAGTGGTCATGATAAATTGATCTTGTCCTGAAGGAAATCCTGTTCTGCTGGGTGAAATAAATGTGTCTACAATGAATAACAGTATCATGTGCTAACAACTGCCTATCCTGCTATTCCAAGGAACAAGCACTTCTTGGATGAAGGAGAGCTAGAAAAGATGTCAGAGTAGAGTTCTGATATGACCTAGGGGAAGGAGCAATACATCCTGTGTGGGTGGGGACACATGGGGGTGATCAGGAGGACCTGACAGAAGAGGTCACCAAGTAGGGTCTTGAAGGATGAGCCAAAAAGGGGAGTGGAAGAAGGGATGATGAAAGCTTTGGAGACAAGCGGATGGCTTAGCCAAGGCACAAAATGTTCAGGAAATGGTGAGTAATGTAACATAGCTTGACATAGCCGAATGGGAACCCAAGGAGGGGAGGAGAGATGAGGATCTGGGTGGTCTCTGAGGACATCCTCCCCTGAAAAGCTGCAAATGTATGACACAGGGACCCTCACTGCTTTTTCTAGATGTGTCTTGTCTGTGACCTATCCAAACTTCCTGATCTAGATTTTCTGGATATACTCTGCTGCTTTCCAAGGGTGATTTAGCCAATCTCTAACTCGGAAGGAGTGGAAAGACCATGATCAAAGAGGAAAATCCAGCCCTGAATTTACTCCCCAGTTTGCCCTACCTCGGTTTTCAAAGGTTACATCCAGCTCTGCTTACCACTTAGAAATACTTCAAGCTGCAAGTAATAAAAAAATCCAACTAAAGTGACTTAAACAAGTTTTTCCCCAGTGGGACATGAAAGGCCCAGGGTGAGGTGGGATGCTCATATCTAGGGGTTCCCCCTGCCCCACAATGGCCTCACTTCATGTATCTGCCCCAGAGCAGTTCAGCCATCTAGGCAACCCAACTCCCACCGCAGCCTGGAGGGAGTTTGTTTTTCTCACATTATCATACAGCTGGAAGCAGGAAGTGCTGGGATAGTCCAGCAGCTCAGGGATGTCAGGACAACTTATTTTCCATTCTCTTCAGCTTTTCATAGTCTTTTCAAGATGGCAGCTTTGGTTCCACACCTCATGTCTGTGTTCAAGGTAGAAATAAGGGAGAAGGGAGAAAGTGCACACCTTCCAAAGAGCTCCCAAAGCTCTCCGATGTGCACATCTCCTTGTCCACCAGGTGTTACGAGACTGCCCCTAGTTCTAAGGGTGTCTGGGAAAGTGAGTCTGCCACTGGAAACTGAGTTTGTTGCTGCTCTAAACAAAATCAGGGTGCTGTCAGCAAGGGCCATGGATACTGTATCGCTGTCCTTGGGCAATATAATTCTGCTGCCCTCTTGGGTGGAATTCTTGGTGATGTAGACTCAAAAACAGAGTTCAGCCCCGGGAAAATGATTGATTCTTAGAGACATTTCTACAAACCACTCAGTTCCCTTAAGGTTAATGCAAAAAGAATTTACTGTTTAGCTGATTTAAAGAGACTCTGTGGGAATTTAAGAATTTTTTTAAGACCTCAGGAAAAAGGCACAACTAATTATGTGCCTTAAACATAACACACAGCAAACTGTGACCAGGGTACTTAGAGTTCAGGACAGCCCATGCTCTTGGCAATGGGATGCTCTGCCTTTCTCAGAAGAAGCTGGACATCACAGCATCTTTAGAATCTCTCACATGTCCCTCGGGGCGAAGTGGGGAAGGGACTTCTTGCTTTATTTGAGAAAAGGTTAGATACATTTAGAAGGAAGGGTCAAAATAGATAAACAAAGAAGAAGAACACAAAGGCCAGGGAGGGCCTGCTGCGTGTCAAATTATAGTTGGGTCTTCCTTTATTTGACTTTTGCCTTTCTGTGTCCTAGAATATTTTCATAATGAGGGCTTGCTTCCCCACCCTTGTTTTGCCCTCTGTCTGGAGCCTTCAGGATAGGATGATAAGGCTCCCCTCTGCTCAGTGCTTATTGTATAGCAGATGTGATGCTACGAGCTCTATATGCTCCATCTCAGGCCCTGAAGAATAAGAACTATCATGGCCCCATCTGCAGATGACAAAACAGGCTCAGAAGGTCAAACTAACTTGCCCAGGACTATCCCGTAGCGGGTGCCAAGCTCCTCACCATCAAATGCTCAGCTCTGGCAGGTTCCTGTTCAAGCCTAAGAAAACAAAAGCTACTCAGAGGAGTGTTGAAGGCCCATATCTCAGGGGAATCAGCCTAAACCTGGCACAGGTGCTTGTGGGAGCTGGGCCTCTCTGAGCTCCCTGCCAGCTCTGATCCTCAGTACCCGCAGCCATGGTCTACTGTTCTGACTTCTCTACTCAGCAGATGGGCATATGGCAAGGGAACTAGTGAGCATGGAGCCGCATCTCAGGTCACGCCTGTAGCCAGGCTCCTTAAACAGTAACATCTGACATTTGCAAGGGTTCAACAGAAAACCTAGGAGACTCTCAGTACAATGGTCAGCCCTGCAGTCTGGTGGATTTGAATCCTGCCAGCTGTGTGACCTTGGGCCACTTTCCTAATGGCTCTGAGCCTCATTTGCTCTTCTGTAAAACAGTGCCTATGTCATAGGAATCTTGTGAATACTGAATTAAATAATTCACAGGAGTAGTTTAGCACAGTGGCTGAAGCTCTCAATCAATAACAGCTACCTCAGTCAATAACCATCTACTAGTAGCTATCTGATTGCTACTCTAGAGGGTATGCTCCATTCACCCTATTTCAAGGTTAGAGAAAACAAGGCGGTTTGCCGAGGTCACATAGCTCACAGTGACAGAGCCAGAATTGGAACCCAGGCCTGAGTTGGCTCTGCTCATGAGCTCTGACGTGTCCTTCAACAGGGAACGCCCACGGTGCCCCTTTATTGGAGCCGCAGCAGTGCTGGAGGGAAGCAGCGTGTGCAGCCAGGAGAGGACTTGCTCTTTCCTTTGAATGCCAAAATCTCAAGGAATGGGCCTGGGCATGGCCTGAGCCTGGGCAAAGGTGACTCTTCACAGATTTCCTTTTTGTTCTAAGCAGCAGGCATAGGAGGAGTCTGCATTCCCGGAGCGTGAAAAAGAGAAAGCCATAAACTCACATGCTTCGGAGATGGCACTTGGCGCTCCCTGTGACATCTCCTCGAGGTGTCAGCACATCATAAAGCATTCCTTCTTGGCCAGGAGAACCTGCTCCTAATTTTTCCAAAGGTTCAGAAGCAACAAGACACGTGGGTCTGCCGCGGACTATTCCTGTTCAACTCTAGGGAGCTTCCAAGGCCTCCATCAGAAAATATTCAGGGACATTTTTCCAGGCCAGTGAAAATGTGATTCCGGGAGACTTTTTCCAAGTCCTCCTGCCTTCTTCAAATGGGCCAAGTGTCCCCATGCCCCTTTGAGCACCAGAAGAATACAGCATGTATTGCACATAGTAGGTTGGGGTGGCCAGATGGTTTGGTTGTGAATTTTTCATTAGAATATTGAAATAGATGAACAGGCACTGGCAAAATAATCCTTTACAGATGCAAAGAGCCTGTACACATGAGGTGACAAACATGGCATTCTAATCCACGTTCTCCAGAGAGGCCATCAGGCTCAAGGGGGGACAAGGGACTTGGCTGCAGCTACAAAAACCAGGATTGGACCCAGCTCTTCTTTCCCAGATTCCATGTTATTTCTGCCACAACCAGTTGCTTTCTCTCCACATCCTGGGTGGGACCAGGACCGTCCTCCCGGGCCTCTGAGTGGCATGTCTGGTATCTGACTCCAGGAAGAGGGCACCTCATGCTGATGGTGTGTGTCCTGGGCCCCATGGCAGAATAGAGGATTCTCTGCCATAGCGCTGACATTCAGTGGAGAGACAGCATGTGCTTGGCAGGGCTTTTGTGGTGTGTTTTATGAATCCCCGTCTATGCTGCTTCTCTTTGCCTACTCGCCGGTTGCATCTCATGCCGCTTCCCCTTGCTCCCCCATCCCCAGCCGATCTGACTTTCTGAGCTTTGGCCATACTCAGCTCGTCCCCACCTCAGGGCCTTTGAACATCTTGTTTCTTCTTCCTAGTTTGTTGTGAATTGCTCCCTCTCCCCATCACTTTGGCTTCTCTCAACTTAAGAGTCACCTGCTCAGAGAGGGTTTCCATGGTCTCCTGTGTAAGGCAGCCCCCTGTGTTTCTTACACAGATCCTAAAACATCTGAGCATGTTTTCCTTAATTGTTCACTTGCTGTTTGTCTAGTCACTCGTCTGTGAGCTCCATGAGCGCAGGAGCAATATCTGCCTGTGCTCACCATCAAATCGCTTGCCCATATAGTTCCTGGAATGTGGTAGGTACTCCATAAGTACTTCTCTTTCTTTAGCCCCTCCCCTCGGCACTTAGCCTTCATTCCTGCTGTGGGTTGACAATGAATGTAAGTGCAGTTCCTACTGAATGCTGAGGGCCCCTGGTGGCAGCAGGGTGGAGGGGAGAAATTCAGGGAGCCAGTGGTTCTCAAAGGGTGGTCCCTGGACCAGCAGATCAGCATCCCCTGGGAGCTTGTCAGAAATGCAAATTATTGGGCTGTTCCCCAGATGTACTGAATCAGAATCTTTGACAGTGAGGACCAACCATCTATTCATAACAAGCCCCCTAAGGGATTGTGATGATGAGTTGAAAACGATTTATCTGGGTCATGGTGGCAGCTACTTATGCTCAGTGTAACAAGTACCTATGTGGACCTCTAAGGCCTCTTAGAAATGCTCACTGTGACTTCATTCACTGCGGGCTCCAGCTGAGAGGTCCTCCATTCAAGCCAGACCTGCTGAGAAGCTGGGACTCAAATTGATAGACCATTAGGAGCTGCCGCCAACTCTGGATAAGGGAAGTGATGTGATTGAGGTCTTATTGCAGAAAGAGAATTTTGCTACCTATATAGAATGGATTTTAAAGGGTTAGAGGCAGGCATGGTCATATTAGCCTGGATACCCTGTGCAGCAGTTAGAATACTTCCAGCTACAAGTAATGGATTATCAAATGGAGGGTGGTTAGAATAATATAGACCCTTATAAGGTCACTTTGCAAGAAGCCCAGAGGCAGGCAGGGCTGTACAGAGGTAGACCTATGATGCTAAGGTCTCAGGACTTCCCATCTGAACACAGGCCGTCCTTCATGGTCACGAGGTGCCTGTTGCAGCCTCAAATACCACATGCTCACTTGCAGCAGCCTAAGCGTGAAGGAAATGCATGGAACAAAAGGCCCTCTCTTTTATGAGGCCTGGACTCCATCTTGTTATTAGGGAGAAAAAAAAAATTCCTGAAGTCTTCTAACAGACTTCTCACATCTCATTGATCAGATTTGGGAAGCACACCTGCCCCCAGACCAATCAGTGACAAAGGAGGATAGGATTGCCCTGATTACCTTTGAACCATCATCAACAAAATTGGAGTTCTTAGTGGAGGGGGAGGAGGAGGGAGAGAATGAGGGCAGTGAATCTGATAGCAACTTTGAGGAAATTTCTTTAGAAAGGAATGAGCTCAATGTGAAGTGAAACAGCCGGGCACAGAAAGACAAAGATTGCATGTCCTCACTCATATGTTGGAGCTAAAAATAATAATAAAATAAGTGGATCTCATGGAAGTAGAGAATAGAATGGTTAGCAGAGGCCAGGAACAGAGGAGGTGTGAGGGGGTGAAGAGAAATTAGTTAATGGGTACAAAAATACAATTAGATAGCACTAGTTCATAGTATGTGATAGAACAGTAGGGAAATCATAGTTAACAATAATTTAGGTCAGGCGCAGTGGCTCACGCCTGTAATCCTACCACTTTGGGAGGCCGAGGTGGGCAGATCACCTGAAGTCAGGAGTTCAAGACCAGCCTGGCCAACATGGTGAAACCCCATCTCTACTAAAAATACAAAAATTAGTCTGGTGTGGTGGTGGGTACCTGTAATCCCAGCTACTCGGGAGACTGAGGCAGGAGAATCACTTGAACCCAGGAGGCAGAGGTTGCAGTAAGCTGAGATCGCACCATTGCACTCCAGCCTGGGTGACAGAGCAAGACTCTGTAAAATAAATAAATAAATAAAAATAATAATAATAATTTATTGTATATTTCAAAATAGCTAGAGGAGAAGAATTCAAATGTTCCCAACACAAAGAAAAGATAATAGTTTGATGTGATGGGGATCCCAATTAGCCTGATTTGATCCTTACATATTGTATATATTAATCATTAATCAAAATATCACATGTATCCCCCAAAATACGTACAACTTTTTTTTTTGAGACGGAGTTTTTGGGGAGGGCCCTCTTTATGGTTAGGAGACAGCCACCTGCTTGTGTGCCCTCAGATGGCAGAGAGAGATCATCTCTTTGTCATCTTTTCTTATAAGGGTACTAATACCATTCCTAAGGGCTCCATCCTTATGACCTCCCAAAGTCCCCACCTCCTAATACTGTCACCTTAGGAATTAGGTTCCAGCATATGGATTTTGAAGGGATGCAAACATGCAGTCCACAGCACTCCCTTTCCAGCATGTGACTCCATGGCTGCGAGCACTCTGTTTCCTATATAGCAGCAAGGTGGCTTTCACCCCCACTTCCTGGATGTGCACACATCCAGCTAGGTGGGCTTCGCCTGCAGGGCAAGTGGTGAGCAGGCACTCAGGGCCCAAAGAGGAGAGAGCCCAGGCTGGGAGTGGGCTGGGAGGAAGTCAGGCTTGCAGATACCCTCCACCCCAACCCTGCCCACCTCATCATGGCCTCCACTCAAGAGGAAATGGATTCCAGAGAGGCTAGGGGTGGAGACCTGCTGGGATCCATGAGGAGGACAGCAGGAAAAGAGGGTCCCCAAGGAGAAAGGTTGCCTCCCACAGTGACTCAAAGGGGGTGGTTGAGGGAAGGTTCCAGCCCCTGACCTGTGAACCAGCTTCAAGTCAGGGAAACAGGGTGAAGCCACTGGGCCTGGGGCCCCTGTCCTGGGAGTGTTAAATGGGGGGTGGGACCACACAAATAAGTTCTGTGGCGAGAGGGCTAAGAGGCTGTTCCGTAGGGCAGGGTGCTTTTCCCTTCACCATCCACAGGCTTGTACTGGAGTTACAGAAGTGTCTGCCAGGACGAAGAGAAGAGGAGAGGATTTTTAGCAAGCCGAGGACAGGACAAGTTCTATGCAACCTTCTACGAACTGGAGTTCCGTTCTGCTGGCAGCCTTTCTCCTGAAGTCCTGTGCCTGCAGGATTTACTGTTCTACAGGGTCTGTGTCAGCAGGGCCCCCTGCTCTGCTCCCAAGGCCCTGGAACAGCCCCAGTCAACAGCTGCCGGCATGAGCCCCCTGGGTGCATCTCCCTGCAGCAGGGCAGCCCTGTGGATGAATGGGCAGCCGGCCTAGCCTCTGAGCACCCCAGACAGTGCCTCTCTCTTCCTGCCACTCTGCCTGCCCAGATACCTCGAGGCTCAGCCGTGGCTGCCACTGCCCAGCATCCTCCCGCACTGCCCAGCCTCTCATCATCACTTACAGAGAAGGCCTGGAGCCCTGACGCAGCACGCAGAACCTTTCCACTTAGAAATCACAAGTCCAAGGTGTCACCTGCCTTTTTTAACATTCATTGAGTAGTTTTTTATGATCCTCTTTTAGCCCTCTTGCTGGATTATTAGCTCTGACTCTGTTTTTAACTATTTGTGATGGTCATACATTTACAATAAATGTATCATAGTCTACCTTCAAGTGATATTATACTATGTCACATACAGTGTATACTTACAAAAGTATACTTCCATTTCTCTCCTCCTGACCTTTATGCTACTAATATTAGACATTTTACTTTTCCAGGTGTCATAAACAGAATAACTTGTTATTATAATTTTTCTGTAAATGCTCCATTATCTTCTAAAAGACTTAAATAATAAGAAAAAGAATCTTTAGTTTTTACACATGTAATTACCACATTTGCTGCTCATCAATCCTTTATGTTGATCTAGGTTTCCACCTTCTATCATTTTACCGCCTGAAGAACTTCCTTCCGCATTTTTTTGTGGTACACATCTGCTGGTGATGAACTCTACCTTTTAATGTCTGGGAAAGTCTTTTGCTTATTTTTTTTCAACAAGAATCTCATTGAAAGTCCAGTGTACTTACTGTTTCCATTTTTTTCTGGTTGCTTTTTAACATTTTCTCTTTTACACTGAATTTAAGCAACTTGCAGCAACACGGTGTCATTTTCTTCATGTTTCCTGTGCTTGGGGTTCACTGGACTTTGGATCTGTTGGTTTCCAGTTTTTGTCACATATGACAAACTTATTTCTTCAAATATTATTTATGTCCCTCCTTCTTTTTCAGACACTCCAACACCAAGAGCCTCTTGAGGTGGCTCACAGTTCACTGATGCTCTATTGACTTTTTTTTCAGTTTTATTTTTCTGTATGTTTCATTTTGCCCAATTTATTGTTGTGCCTTCAAGTTCATTCATCTTTTCTCCTGCAATATCTAATCTGCCAATAACCCCATCCAGTGTATTTTCCATTTTATGGTATGACCTGCATTTGAAAGTATCAGTCTGGCTGCTGGATGGAGAATAAACTATAGGAAGATTAGTTTAGAGCAATTAGTGTCAGCATCCATTGCTGGGAAGCAAGGTTTTCCAAAATTTAGCAGCTTGAAACAATAATATACATTTATTATGTCTTCCAGTTACTATGGGTCAGGAATTTTGGAGTGGCTTAGCTTAACGGATCCGGCTTGGGTATTTCATAAGGTTGAAATACGTAACCTTATGATGTTACACTCTCAGAAGAAACAGACTTTACCAGGGTTGGAGGATTTGCCTCCAAAATCGCTCACTTATGACTGACAAATCAGTGCTGGTGTTGACTGGGAAGTTTCTGTTTCTTGCCACGTGGATCTCTCCACGGGACTGCTAGAATGTTCTCACAACATGGTGGCTGGCTTCCACAGCATGAGTGATTCAAAAGTGCAAGGCAGAAGAGCTTATATCTTTTATGACCTAACCTCGGAAGTCACACACCATCACTTCCATATTCTATTGGCCCCACAGACCAGCTCAGATTGGGCATGGGAAGAAATTATAGAAGAGCATGAATGCCAGGAAATAAGGACCTTTGGAGGCCATCTTGCAAGCCGGCTTCTACAATAGGTGAGAGATGATGGTGACTAGACCATTTAGACCAGACTGGTGAAGATGGTGAAAAGGTGTCGTATTTGGCATATATTTTGAAAGTATAGCTGACAGGATTTAGACTTAGATTATAAGTGAGTTGGGGAAAAAAAACAGGGAATTAAGGATGACTCCAAGGTTTTTGGTCTGAGCAGCTAGAGGGATGAAGTTGTATTTACTAAAATGGCAACAAGCATGGGAAAAGGATTCAGGAAAAATCAGGAACTCAGTTTTGGTGTTAAGGAGACACATCAGGCAGGCAGTTGGACATAGAAACCATTAGTACAGGAGAGAGGCTATGAATAGTACTGAAGCTATGAGCTTGAGAAAACCAGGTCCCGAGTATACTTAGAAAAGGAGAAGAGGCTAGGCTTTAAGTCATGGGACATTCTTCCGGAGACTAAAAGAGTCACCCAATGGTGGAGGCAGAACTTCAGAAGAGGAGACCAAGAGGGAAAGTGTTTCTGGGGGAGTGGTCAGCTGGGGAAAGTGCTGCTTGCAGCCTAACAGACAAGGACTGAGCATTGATGGATGGAGTTAGCAACATTGAGGCCAAGGGCGAAATGGACAAAGTGATTTTGGTGGTGTAATGAGGTGCAAAAGCCTGATTGGAGGGGCTAAAAGGGAATATGAGAAGCGAAAGTAGATATTAGGAGTGTATTAGTCCATTTTCACACTGTTATAAAGAGCTTCCCTGAGACTGGGTAATTTATAAAGAAAAGAGGGTTAATTGACAAACAATTCCACATGGCTGGGGAGGCCTCAGCAAACTTAGAATCATGCCGGAAGGTGAAGGAGAAGCAAGCACTTTCTTCACAAGGTGACAGGAGAGAGAAGAGCTCAGGGGAAACAGTCCTTTATAAAACCATCAGATCTCGGGAGACTTACTCACTATCATGAGGATAGCAAGGAGAAAACCGCCCCCATGCTCCAATCACCTCCCACTACACCTGGAGATTACAATTTGGATTACAATTCAAGATGAGATTTGGGTGGGGACACAGAGCCAAATCATATCAGGGAGTTTTGAGTTTTGTTTTATAGAGGATCAGAGATATAGGACAGAAGCTAAGTGGGGATCAGAGGCCAAATGCAATTTGCTTTAAGATGGGAGAGGAGCAACATGTTTAGATACCGATGTGATGTATGTTCACTGTTTCCATTTAAAGTTATTTAGCTCATTGCCTTGACTACTCCAGAACATATGTTTAGTCCTTTTTCCTTGCTTTATCAACTCTAAATAATATCTCTTAACCCTAATATAAAAGATGAACATGTGTCTCAATTCTACTACCCTTTTGCTGTCCCTCTCTGCCTCCCAAAGTTTGATTGTGTGTGTGTGTGTGTGTGTGTGTGTATTTTATCAATGGAGCACTTTTACAACTTTAAATAACTGACTTAAACCTCTTTTTCTTGTCTCATCTCTTCTCATTTACATCTCAACTACCCACTTTGTAAGTTGAGGCTGTTAATAGTCTTCTCTTTCCCCAGGCTTTGCTTTTGCACTTCCCATTCCAACTTCAATTCGCTCTACAACATTTACCTTAACATGATTATATTAATATTATTCGTGTTGGCCAAAGTAGTGTACTAAAATTAAATTGTCTTCTCTAGAAGTCATTCATCCACTTATTGACTTATTTATTTATTTATTCAACAGTTACTCACTGAGTGCTGCCACCTGCCAGGCACTGTTCTAGCCACTAGAGATACAGCATAATGAAGAAGACAGCTGATATCTTTGCCCTGTAGAGCTGACACTCTAGTAGGGAGGCAGACAGCAAACACATGAACACACATAACTTGAGGTGGGGATAAGTACCACAAAGGAAAATAAAGCAAGGTAGGAATTTAGACAGTAACAGACGAGGAGAATTTCAGATTGAGTGGTCAGAGTTTCTGAGCAGAGACTCACTCTGGAGTGTGAAGGAAAAAGTCATCCACTGGCTGTTGATTTAAGTACCTTACATCGCAACCCTTGAGATGCCAGAAGGAAATAGCCACAAACACCATGGTCAAATGGATTTTCTTTTCATGTTTACCTTATTTTTTTCTGTACAATTGAACCATGACATAGCATTTTAGATATTCCTATCTTCCTCCAACCCAGAATCATGACATCTCTTAACAAAAAGTGTTGCAAAGATAAGTTCCCAATGGCAGAACATCAAAAAAATTAAATGCCAAGAAGTTTCATTGCCACTCACTAAATTTCATAGGTAAATATTTAAATGGTAATAATAATATCTGATCTTTATCAAAATTTTTTTTCTGTTATGGCCAAAAACTAAAGGTGGGGGACCCCTGTCCCTCTTAACACACTCAAGAAACAGGAAAATGTCTCCATTTGAAAAAAAAGTTCAGGATGTTCCATCCCTCTAAAAGACTCTTACTTTGACAAGTTTAATATAGTCCTGGTTGTCTGTGATAACATTGGGGTAAAGTAGCGCACTCAGTGAGAGCAGACAGGCCTTGATGAATGAAGACCTCCAGAAGCCCTGGGTAATGGAATCAGTGTGCAGCAGTGAGGTGGAACTGCTGGGTTTCTCATAGATTGATTGGGTCTGCAGACTACCATGATGAGAAAGACTCCAGGTCTTCTGAAACGGTTTCCACTTCCAAAGAACTTTTCAAGCTTTTTCTAGTTAGCTCCAAGCCTATCTGAAAAGAAGATGAGGTAAACTGAAGCACGCAATGCCACTGAATCAATCTAGTATTCTGTATACAAGATTGTCTCCACTACCACCATTGTGCAGTGCTTAAGATGAGAAACGGACATTCTGGAGGTCCCCCCGTCCTAGGCGGAAGAACCTGGTGCCTGAGTACTCACTGATTAGGATAGAAGTTTCATGCAATGGAGCAGACAGCAGAGTAGTGAGGGGGACAGGGGATGATTTCTCTCTTACACACCAAGTTTATTGAAGAGCCAATGGTCTTTAAAAACAGAACGCACCTGTAAATTCTCACTTCCACAGTTCAGTAATGATAGAAAAATGTTTCAAGGATTTTATCATAATGATTTTTGTTTGGGCAGTAAGATTTAGCAGGCGTCAGAGAAAAAGTTTTCACTTTTAATTTTATTAACTTCCACTTATTTCAAGGTTTTTACAGTGGTTCTGTAGTCCTTATGTCATTTAAAAACTTTTAAAACTAGTTTAGTTTGTATTATTAAAGTAAATTCTAAGATCAGAAATCTGTCTCCTTCTCAGGATAAAACTTCATTAGAACATTCATTGGCCTGGAACTATATCTCCCTCAGGGCCCCATGCAATCATTGTACTTTGGAAATGCTTTTAAAATGCTAAAATGATTAAAACAAGTAGTTAAAGTAAAAGGCCTGATGTGTCCTCTTTTCTCACTTTTGAAGTATTTATGAACATTGTGAACTCACTCTGACCATCAGGGGCTTTACAACTCAACATAACCCAAGAGTTGAACAGTAATCCAGATAGAATAGGAATCCAAAGAATAAAATATGCATGAATAGACTTTTACTCCTGGCCATGAGGCGGGGAAGGGGACCAGATTAACCTTCTTGCCTGGAACAACTACAAAACTGGACAAAATATATGAAACAATGGCTTTTAAGACATTGCACACTGTCTCAGTCTTTTTCTGCTACTATAATAAAATGCCTTAGACTGGGTAATTTATGAATATTAGAAATTTATTTCTCACAGTTCTGGAGGCTGGGAAGTCCAATATCCCTTAGGTGCCAGCAGATCTGGTGTCTGCTGAAGGCTCACTCTCTGCTTCATAGATGGTGCCTCTTACTGCGTTCTCACATGGAAGAGGGCAAAAAGGACCCAAAAGACTTCCTCAAGCCCTTTTATAAGGGAATTCATCCCATTCATAAGAGTTCTTATGACCTAATCATCTCCTAAAAACTCCACCGCTTAATACTATTGCACTGAGGATTAAGTTTCAACATGAATTTTGGAGGAGCACAAACATTCAAATCATAGAAGACACCGCGCAATAAATGACAGTGACCCCTGCAAGACTGAAAACACAGGGGTCTAGCTCTATATTTCCTCACCCTATTGCCTCGAGAGCATTTCCAGGATATGACATAGTTGTGGGGAGAACAAGGCAGAGCCTAGAGGACTCCCTGAGTTGAGGAGATAAAGCCAAGAGCCTATGGAGATGAAGGCAGCTAGAGTTTGCAGGGCACAATACAACACAGGAGAAAACTGCCCAGAGAAAACTCCAGGGATCTGTAGAAGGTCTCTTTAAGTATTTAGCAGAATATTAATCAGGGTATGTGTGTGAAGAAACTACACAAGTCTGGGGAAAGAACCATTCAAAAAATTAGTGGGAACAATGCCTATTATAATTAGACACACTGGAAAATCTCATATTTCATGGGGCATTGGTTACAGCACTAGGAAGGATTTTACCTAAGTGGTGAAGTATTAGTCCTAGACAAAATGCTTCTCTAGTCTAACCTAAAAAAAAATTAAAGCAAGACCTTAAAGGATCAAACTGTGTCCAGATAACTTCATCTCAAAGTAAAGTTCAAAAATACATATAGAATATAAAAATATCTATCAACCAAGGTGGTAAAATTCATGTCTGATATCTGATCACAAATTATCAGGCATGGAAAGGAGCAGAAAAACATGGCACTTAAGGAGTAGAAAAATCAATTTAAACTGACTCAGAAATGACACAGATGCTAGAAATATTAGATAAGAACATGTCACCGGACGCGGTGGCTCACACCTGTAATCCCAGCACTTTGGCAGGCTGAGGTGGGTGGATCATGAGGTCAGGAGATCGAGACCATCCTGGCTAACAAGGTGAAACCCCATCTCTACTAAAAATACAAAAATTAGCCAGGCATGGTGGCAGGCACCTGTAGTCCCAGCTACTCAGGAGGCTGAGGCAGGAGAATGGCATGAACCCGGGAGGCAGAGCTTGCAGTGAGCCGAGATTGCACCACTGAACTCCAGCCTGGGCAACAGAGTGAGACTCCATCTCAAAAAAAAAAAAAGGACATGTCAATGGTTATTATAATTGTGTTCCATGTATTCAAATACTATAAGTAACATTAAATATGTTAAGTAGAGACACAGAAAACATAAAAAAGACACAAACATCAAGAGATGAAAACTACAACGTCTGAAATAAAAAATATACTGAATAGAATTAATGGCAGTTTAGACACTGCAAAAAAGAAAGTTAGTGAACTTGAAGATACAACAATAGAAATTATGCAAAATGAAACACAGAAGTAAAAATATTTTTAAAAATCAGAGAGGATTTTCTACTTGAACAACTTAAAGTAGCCTATGTGTCATTTGAATTCTAATAGAGGAGGATGAGGACAGAAAACAATATGAGAAAATAATGGTTAAAAATTTTCCAAATTTGATTAAAACTGAAACTCACAAATCTAAGAAACACAACAAACCCCAAGCACAAGAAATATGAAGAAAACTTTAAGGTGCTTCATATGTAGATTTTCTTTTTTATTATGGTGAGTTACATTTATTTTATTTATATATAATATTGGATTCAATTTGTTAATATTTCATTGAGCATTATTTCATCTATATTCATGAGAGCTATTAGTCTCTAGTTTTCTTTATTGTAATGTCTCTGGTTTTGTATCAGGGTAAATCTGGCTTCATATTATGATGCTCAAAAAAGTTATGCTGAGTGAAAAAAACTACAAAAATAGGGTATATACTGTATTATTTCATTCATATAAAACTCTAGAAAGTGCAAACTAATGTATGGTGACAGAAAGCAGATGAGTAGTTCCCTGGTGATGGGGGAGAGGAAGGTGTGGAGAGGTCGGGAGGGGTGTGAGGGTGGAATTCCAAAGGGCATAAGGAAATTTTTAGTAGAAGCATGCATGTTCATTATCTTGATCATGGTGATAGTTTCACAGGTGTATACATGTGCCAAAGCTTATCAAAGTATACATTTCATATATACATAGTTTATTATGCACTGATTATACTTCAACAAAACTGTTCAAATATGCAAGTTGGTTTTTTATTCTAATACATTTTTTCTTGAATCATCAAAAGCATTTTAGCTCTTGAAATGTAACTTTATACAATTACCCACACAAGAAAAAGGGATGTAAACTCTGTACGACACATATACACATGTATGCAAAACACCCTCGTCCACAATTATTTGATTTTGAGATATGTTATGGTAATAACTGTCAACTCTTTGACTAGGTGTATCCCTTTTTAATGCCAAAACATTTGAAGACTTCACTCAGGATGATTATTTTTATGTTACTTTGAATTATTTGAGAAATACATAATAACAATAAGCTTATAGGACTTTAATAGCACTTATAGATAAATATGTATTTTCCTAATCTCAAAGCATAACATATATTTGTAAGATGAGAGTACATCTATTTTTTTCTAGTCTTTTCTCTCACATTGATCCTTCTCTCTGTCTAGGCACTAAGACTACAAGCATTCTCTCCAGCCAGGTAGTGTTGACCAGCAATGAAGAAATTAATTCTTAGTTTATGCGTTTCAAAGGAGATTCAGACCCTTCCAGTAAAAGGGCCACAGAAAGGACTCAGAACACAAATTCAGAAATTGCATAATGATGGAAAAGCCCAGCACAGCAAGGTTTCCAATTATAGAACGAGGCAGCATGCCTGGATTGGGGTTAAGGACTCAGAAAGAGACATTGGATGAAGCTAGGTGTGAAAGAAGAGGCTCTTCGCCCTGCCCACCACCCAGGGTGAGTCCAGAAACAAGGTTGAGAAAACTGTTTGACGAGTGGGTTTCATGATCTGAGAGCTCAGGGTACCTGTGCCCCCTTCCCTATTGAAGAGCCCAGCAGCTGGCAGGACCCTAAGGCAGCCCTTGCCAGCATGGAGCTGGAGCTGAAGAGGTATCTGAGTGTGTAGATCTAGGTAGAGGAGTTCAAGATCATATCATGCAGTTTCTCACAGCCCAGAGGGACGAAGGAGTGTTATCTAACTCCTAGGTCCCCAAGAGGGGCATGGAAATATTCCACATTGCTGGCATGTGGGAACAGGCTGTGTGGGATAAACCAAGAGACTGCATGATGACTGCATGAACTGACAGCCAAGGAGCGGGTAGGGATGACCTTGTCTCTGAGGCTGCTGCATGGTACAGGAGCGCCGAGGGCTGTTCTCCTCTTGACGCCAGGGCACAACCTCAGCTCCTCAGAATGAGATGCGACCCTGGGAGAGCCAGAGGGAGACCCCAAAATGACTAAGATTGTTTCTAATCCTAATAAAATAGAATAGGAACATCTTTAAAAGAGATCAAGTCATTATAGGAAAACAGCCACATGTCTTTCCCAACTGATTCTGTGGGTTGAGAAATAGAAAAATGCTACCCTTAAGTGTTGACGTGGGTTATTTAGAAATAATCTGTGCACGTATGGAATTACAAACTTCTTAAAATAATGCCAGCTCTATCCTGTAAGTTGGGAAGAGTTACATCCTAATTTGGGTGAAGACACAGCACAGCAGTTGCTGAAATACATGACAGAGCTATGTATACATGAGAGACCCAAAGACCAGTAGAACGGAATAGAGAGTCCGGAAATAGACCTATGCAAATACGGCCAATTGATTTGTAAGAAAGATGCAAAGGGAATTTATTAAAGAAAAGATCATCTTTTTAAACAAATGTTACTAAAACAATTGAACATTCACGTGTCAAAAAAAGAAAATAAGAAATTTGACTCCTACTTCACACCTGTTCAAAAGTTAAAATAAATCATAGACCTAAATGCAAAACCTAAAACAATAAAACTTCAAGAAGATATTCTAGGAAAAAATCTTTGGGATCTTGGATTGGGCAGAGTCCTTAAATTTGACACCAAAAGCACAATCCATGCAGAAAAAAATAATACATTGGACTTCCTCACATTTAAAAACTTTTGCTCTTCCAAGTCAGACACTCTCTCTCTACAGAGAGAGTGATAGTGGTGGTTCCACATTTCTCTCTCTCTCTCTCTCCCTATTGGTTCTCTTTCTCTGGGAAACCTTGACTCAAATGTGTTTCAGCTGGCAAATAAACAAACTATGGTACATCCAATAATGGAATACTACTCAATGGTATAACAACAAAACAATGGACTACTGCCACACACAACATGGATGAATCTACCATGCATTATGCTAAGTGAAAGAAGCCAGACTCGAAGGTTACACACAGTGTGATTCCACTTATATGACATTCTTGAGAAGGCAAAGCTATAGAGATGCAAAACAGATTAGTGGCTGCTGGCAGGGGGGAGGGTTAATACAAAGGTAGTTATTTGTGGATGACGGGATAGTTCTGTATTTTGATGGCGGTGGTGATGGTTACACATCTCTATGCACTTGTCAAAAGTAATAAAACACCAAAAAAGTGAATTTTACTGTATATTAAAATAAGATAAAATGGAGTGTGAGCCTTGGACTAATACAAGGGGGCAGGAACCTAGAACAAAGGTACTCTCCCTGTCACAAGGACGCTTCATATCTCCCCCACCTCACCAATCCCAGAATCGTTCTGCCTCAAGCAGCACTGCCCAGCAGAAATATAATGCAAGCTCCATATTTAATTTTAAGCTTTATATTGGTTAAATTAGAAGGTATAAAGAAACAAGCAAAAATAATTTTATATTTTTGTTTAACTCAATATTCCAGAATATTATAATTTTAGCATGTACTCAATATGAAGAAATTAGTGAGATAGTCCTGGTTTTTGGGCAAATTCCTTGCAAGCAGTCTGAGGCCATCACCAGAAGCAGATGCTGGCGCCACGCTTCTTGTACAGCCTACAGAACCCCAAATAAGCCCCTTTTCTTTATAAATTTCCCAGCCTCCGGTATTACATGATAGCAACACAAAACTGACTACTACACTGAGGGATGAAGAGAGTTACAGAAAGAAAGAAAAGAAAAGAAAAGAAAGAAAGAAAGAAAGAAAGAAAGAAAGAAAGAAAGAAAGAAAGAAAGAAAGAAAGAAAGAAAGAAAAGAAAGAAAGAAAGAAGAAAGAAGAAAGAAAGAAAGAGAAAGAAAGAAAGAAAAAGAAAGAAGGAAAGAAAGAAAGAAAGGGAGAAAGAAAGAAAGAGAGAGAGAGAGAAAGAAAGAGAGAAAGAAAAGGAGATTGTTGGTTTCGGATGCTAGATCAACCTATACCTGAAGTAAGCCCTACCTCTGGACTGATCAGTAATATGAACCAATAAGGTCCTTTTATTGTTCTAGTCAGTTTAAATTTTCTATAAATTATTACTGAAATATTCACAACAGATGCATTGCCCAAGAAAGACTTTCCTGCTACCATCTTCACAAGTAACTCTCTAATCAGTCTTCGATAATATGGGACAATGTAGGCAATCAGAGTCAGGGGTTCAGCTTCCAGTCTAATGCTGCCACTTATCTCAAGCTGCACAATAACTGTAACAACAGTAACTACAAGAGACTCTTTTTTTTTTTTTTTTTTTTTTTGAGACGGAGTCTCGCTCTGTCGCCCAGGCTGGAGTGTGGTGGTGCAATCTCGGCTCACTGCAAGCTCCGCCTCCCGGGTTCACGCTATTCTCCTGCCTCAGCCTTCCGAATAGCTGGGACTACAAGTGCCTGCCACCACGCCCAGCTAATTTTTTTGTATTTTTAGTAGAGACAGGGTTTCGTGGTGTTAACCAGGATGGTCTCGATCTCCTGACCTCATGATCCACCCGCCTCAGCCTCCCAAAGTGCTGGGATTACAGGCGTGAGCCACTGCGCCTGGCAAGAGACTCTTCATTAACTGTAAGGTGCTCTACATATAACATTTTAATCTACAACAAGGAAAACAGAGACTTGTTTCTTATTTTACAGAGGAAAAATGAGGCTCATGGCGGTAAACATAACTTGGACAAATTCTCAGTTAATAAGCTAGTTACTTTTCTTCATAGCACAGATGTGATCATATTTATTTCTTTGTTTAGCTGTTTATTGTTGATCCCCTGCGCTAAAATGAAAGCATCAGGAGAGCAGACCCTTTGTCTTTTTCAAGCCTGGATCCTGGGTGCCTAGAACAGTTGCTGGCACAGAGGAAGCCCTTAATAAAGACTGGTTGAGTATTAAATGAACAAGATTCAAACCTAGGTTTGCCTCCAAAACCATCTCTTTTCACAGCTCCAGGTTGTCCCTCATTATCCTCTTGTAAAATAAATGGTGGACCCTTTCACATGCTTAAAAACAAGTGTTGTTTGTTTATGTGTTGCTTTTCATGTGCTGCTGTGGAATGAGCCTCCTCTAAGCTAGTGGAATGTCTTGAGTAACTTTTTGGTCTTTCTTCATAGGACCTATCATGTAAGCCCTTCATTAGTCATCCTGGGTCTACTCAAGGCATTTAATGATACATTTTGTCAGTACCATGAGTAAACAAACATTTAATCAAAACCATCTTGGTGGCAGAGACAGAGCTAGATTCTTTACAGGACCTTAATCACCTCATGCAGTCCTTACCGTGCCTCTGAAACACAGGAAGCAGCACCTCTGTTTGGCAAATCAGACTTCAGGTCCAGAAGATGACATGCTTTTAAGGTGGCAAACAGAGTAAGGATTATCTGACTCCAAAGATTTTACATCTTTCTTTAAAAGTCACATGTTATAATTATTCTAATTAAGATTGTGAAACTTAGAATTGGATTTGGGGTTTTCTATGTCAAAAAGGAAAAATGGACATTTGGTCATGATCATTTCAATATACACATTTGAGCACCTACTACAGTGCTAGGTGCCATGCTAGGCACTGGGGACACTGTAGAACAAAACAGGCCTCACCTCTTCTCTCTTGGTTCTTGTAAAATGGCTGGTACCTGTTCAGTGCAGTGTCAGAGCTAATGCTCTCAAATTTTGGTGTTGGGTCTATTTGAACACTCGGTGCATTAGTTAAAGTAGGCTAATATGCAGCAGTAAATAGACCTCGTATTAGTCACGGTGGGCTAACTGCATTAGAAATAACCTTAAATATCAGAAGCTAAAACTAATAAAAACTGATTTATCTTTATGAAAAGCCTGATGTTGTATTCCTAAGTGGCTCTTCTCCAAGCACTAATCCAGGGACACAGACTCCCTTCACATTGTGTCTCTGCCATCTTGTGGCTTCAGACTTGCCCTGGTACCAACTGGCTAGAGAATAAATGGCTTTACATAGGAGACTTTTATGGCATAGGCTTTGAAGTATCATCTGTCTTTTTTCCCACGACCTATTTGCCCGAACTGAGTCACCTGACCAGCTTAACTGCAAGGGAGGCTGGGAAATGTAGAGGAGCTCATAGTATTTAGTGCATACCAAGAGTCTCTTTCATAGACTCCAAAAAGTCTATGGAATTTTTAAAAAGAATTTCAAAACTTCCAAATTTCTAAATGTAAGCCTTTCTGGGTAGCAGGGATTCAGGTCAGCAACAACTCTACTCCATACAGTCATTCTGGGAGCCAGGCTAGTGGCAGTTCTGCCATATTAAAAAGTTCTCACAAGAGGTTTTAAGGTCCAGACCTGAAGTTGCACTCATCACCTCCCCTCACATTCTATTGGTTAGAACTCATGCACATGACCATATCTTACTGCAAAGGAAGCTAAGAAATGTAGTTTATATCCCAAGCACAAGGAAAGAAGGATGGATTTTTCTAGATAGCTAGAAGATGATAGTTCACCTGGATTTTTTTAACTAGACCTGCCAAATACCAGTTACTGTGCATGTCTCTCACTGATATCCTTTTCTTTTCCTTTTTTTTTTTTTTTTAGACAGAGTCTCACTCTGTTGCTCAGGCTGGAGTGCAGTGACATGATCTCGGCTCACTGCAACTTCTGCCTCCTGGGTTCAAGCAATTCTCCTGCCTCAGCTTCCTGAGTAGCTGGGATTACAGGTGCATGCCACCACGCCCGGCTAATTTTTGTATTTTTAGTAGAGATGGGGGTTCACTATGTTGGCCAGACTGGTCTCGAACTCTTGACTTCAGGTGATCCACCCACCTCAGCCTCCCAAAGTGCTAGGATTACAGGCATGAGCCACCACGCCCAGCCCTGATATCCTTTTCTAACCTTCTTTTTCTGTGACTTCGCATGTGTATATCTAGCTATGTCTCCAACCTGACATACCATATGGTTTCCTAATTCTGGCCTCTAAATAGAAGTCCTTTATCTTAACAAGGAAGTAATCTGAGAAATTATTGAATGTGCTTTCCACAGCAAATGCCATGTTCTTTTGAAATTCATTCATCCAGTGATAACTCACTTAGACTTTATTTTTCTCCACTAGAGGAGGGCAAGGCCCTGTCTGTTTTGCTCAGCACTCTATTCCCAGTGCTTAGCACAGTATTCCTGATACATCACAAGTAACCCAATAAATATTTTCTAAATGACTGTATAAATTTTTCTTTTATCTCAGAATCTTAAAAAGGTCATATTTGATATTGGGGTAAAAAAATATTCCCTGTTGATTTGTTATATATGATGACACCTCCCAGAACCCTGGGAGGGCATCCCTGACCACAAAGCTCAGCTCTTCCTAACTCATTCACTCAGATCCCACTTGTTTTTTTAACCATAGCAAACTCTGAAGAAACCACATACATTGAAAGGTCTTTAATTTTTTTTTCTTTTTAGGGATTGCTGATCTATGTGGAAACTGGAACAAAAGAAATGTCAGAGTCTGCCTGATCCTCACTTTACAATTTTTGTCATCATTGGCTATCAATGTGGAATCCACCATGGCTGAGAAATGTGTAGCTGTGAAATGAGCCCGTAACTGAGCTGAAAAGATTTGTTTGACTTCCAGCTAAGCCACTTAACAGATGTGTGGTTTCTATAAATCAGTCAAGGCTCTGAGTTTCGGCTTCCTCTTCAGGAAGCAGAAAACAGCACCTTCCCTGTCAATATCACAGGATTGCTGTAAAAATGCCTTTTGTTTATTTAATAGATATTTATTGGTGGCTAACTATATGCCAGATATTGACCTAGGTTCTGGAGATACATCAGTGAATAAAACAAAGTTTATGTGACTCAGAGCTTATGCTGAAGGGCAACAGTGTAAATAAATCAATCAATGAGCATGTAATATACCAGGGGTTGATAGGGTTTTGGGGGAAAATCACACAGAGCAAAACAGACGAGAGCCACGGAGGAAAGGAGCTTTGATATTTTATATAAGATGGTTCAGACTGGGACATTAGAACAGACACCTGAAGGAAGTGAGTGAGTGTGTCATGCAAAGATATGAAGGAGGAGGAGGCACAGCATGGTCAAGGGCCCTGAGGTGACAGTATGCTTGGTGTTTATGAGGAATCGCAAGGAGAGCAGTTGGCTTAAGCAGGGTGAATGGGGGATGGGCAGATGCTAAGATCAGAAAGGTAGCACAAAGCTAGATCAATCAGGGCTCCATAGGCCATTGTAGAGACTTCAGCCTTTACTTTGATTGAGATAGAAAGCCATTTCTGTGTTGAGCATAGAAGTGATGCCTTGTGCCATATGTCCTTTAAAGAACATTTCAGCAGCTGTGTGGAAAAAAGGCTGCACGGAAGCTAGACTGGAGGCAAAGTTGCCAGTTAGGAAGCCACTGCAATACAGCAGGTGAGAGATGGCAGTGGCTAGGCTCAAGCCAACAGCAAAGGAAGTGGTGGAAAGTGGTCATATTACGAATATATTCTGAAGATAGCATAAACAAGTCTTCCTGATGGATTGGATGTTGCTGTAAGAGTAAAAAAGAGTAATCAAAAATGACCTTAAAGTTTTGGCCTGATGAGTGGGAAAACGGAGTTGCTCCTTCTTGAGATGGGGAAGACTTCAGGAAGAACACAGAAGCTCTCACTATGCTAAGACCTCTGTTTTTGAAACATTAGTTTGAGATGCCTGTGGACGTAGGCTTCCCAAAATGGCGCTGTATGGTGGTGGCTATATGTATCTGAAATTCTGGGAAGAGGTCCAGGGTGGAGCCATCACCTTGGGAGTTGGCAGCCTATTTAAATCCTTAAGAAGGGGTGAGATCACTTAAAGAGTGAGTGAAGAAGAAATAATTGTGAGGACTGAGAGGAAACTTCAATATTTAGAAGTCCAGGAAAAGAGAGAGGCACAGCAAAAAAGAAAAAAAAAACAAACTAAGGTAAGAAGAAGCCAATGAGGCAGGAAAAGGAACGAGATAGAGGAGAGTGAAGAAAGTGGGACCGGAAGGAGGGACTGACTCATTTCCATTTATGATGCAGTAGTTTGGCCAAATAGCATGATGGTAGATACACACCCAAATATATCAGTAATCGCATTAAATGTAAATCGATTAAATAGTTCAATTAAACATCTATAATTATCAAACTAGATTAAAAAACAAAATCTAACTATATGCTGTTTACTAGAGATACACCTCAAATATAAGGATATAAAGTAATTAAAAATTAAGAGATGATATAAGATTTACCATGCAAACAATATCCAAAAGAAAGCTGGTATAGGTATACTGGTAGCAAAATAGACTTAAGGCAAAAAGCCTGATTAAGATCAAAAGTTTCAAGTTTCATAACAATAAAAGCGTTAATCCCCCAAGAAATTCTCAATTTATATGTATGTAAAAAACACAACTTCAAAATATAAAAAACAAAAGTTGACAGAATTATAAGAAAGTCTAGGCAAATCCACACTCATAATAATGAGAGACTTTAACAAACTTTTCTCAATAAAATATATAACAAGAAAGAAAAAAATCAGTAAGAATATGTAAGATCTAAACAACACAATTAACAAATTTGATATATTGACATGTACAGAACACTGTGTCCAAAAAAGTATACTGTTTTTTCAAGTGTACATGGAACGTTTATGCTGGCCATAAACGAAGTTTCAACAAACTTCAAAGGATTGAAATCATACAAAATATGTTCTCTGACCATGGAAGAATTAAGTTGGAAATCAATAACAAAATAAGTAGGAATTCTTCAAATACTTGGAAATTAAGCAATATATTTTTAAATGGGTCAAAGAAAAAATTTCAGTGGAAACTGGAAAATATCATTAACTAAATGATAATGAAAATATGACATATCAAAATATGGAGGATGTGGTTAAACCTCTGCTTAGAGAGAAATTATAGCCTTAAATACATAAATTTAAAAGAAAAAATATGTAAATCAGTAAGCTAGTTATCTATGTCAAAAAAAAGAATAGAAAATTATGTCTAAGGAAACCAGAAAAAAGAAAAAAAACTAGTAGCACAAATTAATAAAATACAAAACAGACATTCAAGATAGAAAATCAATATGTCCAAAAGTTGGCACTCATAAAAGTAAAATAAATGTTAGCTTTCTGGGAAGTCTTATAACAAAGTAATAGCAAAGTAATAGAGGAGACAAAAATTACCAGTTTTGATGAAAAAGAAAACATCATTCCATATCCTGCACATGTTAAAAATATAGTTACAACTTACTATTAACAATTGAATGTTAATAAATTAAAAATTTTAGATAAAATGGAAAATCCTTAGAAAAACAAAATTAACAAAAGCTGATGTAAGAAGAAATAGAAAATCTGAAATAGTCCTATTTCTATTAGAGATATTAAAGCTGAAGATAACAAAGAAATCTCTAGACATAGATGGCTTTCCTCCAAATAAATTACAAATGAATTTCTCCAAATATTTATGGAAGAAATCACACCAAACTTATATAAACATTTGCGTAGACTAGAAAAAATATTTTCTATTTTGTTTAATTAGGCCATTGTAATCTTGACATCAAAAACTGACCTTGACATAAAGCAAAATTATGGGCCAATCAGTCCTATGAACAGAGATGCAAAAATACCAAACTAGCAAATTGGATTTAGTAAAATATAAAAATAATAATGAAGAATGAGAAAGTTGCATTTGTTCCCAGAATGAAAGGTTGGCTTCATATTTTAAAATTACTATAATTTACATTAACAGAATAAAAAGAAAATCATCTGACCATCTCAGTAGACACAGAAATAGCTTTTGATAAAATTCAACACACGTTTATGATTTTAAAAAACTTGAAATCCCCTCTGCAGACAGGAACAAAAGGGAACCTCTTTAGTCCCATAAAGAGTGTTTAAGAAAAAAAAAAAGCCCTACAGAAAGTATTATACTTAACGGCAAATATTGAAAGCTTTCTGCCTGAGAATGAGAATGAGCAAGAATGCCTGTTTTCACCACTTCTATTAAATATTGAACCACAGTTTCTAGCCAGTGCAAAAATAAAAGGAAAGAGGGGATAAAAAGATATAAAATTTGGGGAAAAAATCATTATTTGCAAAAAAAAATTACTTTGTTCACAGTAAATACAAAAGGACCTAAAGAAAAACTATTATCATTAATAAGTGAATTTTGGAAGGTCATTGGATAAGAAGGTCAATTGTATGTAAAACTCAATCGTATTTCCATATAAATGCAAAAAACTGACAAACTTTAAAAGAATATTGTTTATATTAGCATAAAACAAACATTAGTGAAATAAATGGAGATCTAAATAAATCAAGGAACATACCATATTCATGGATTAGAAGACTCAATACTGTAAAGATATCAATTTAACTCAAAGTTAAATATAGATTCAATGCAATTCAAACCAACATCCTGAAAGGTTTTTTTTGTGGAACTTAATGAGTCAACTATTAAATTCATACTGAAATAGGACATAAATGCCAAAGCAATTCTGAAGAGAAAGAACAAAGCTGGGAGTCTTCAACCATCAAATAACAAGACCTATTGCAAACGCGGTATGTTAATAGCTAAAGGATATAAAAATAGATCCATGAAATACAATACTGAGGTCAAAAAAAAGACCCATACTATGCAGTCACCTGATTTATGACAAAGGTGCCACTGAAGTACAGTGGAGGAGGGAGAGAACAACGGTCTGACTTAATAATCATATTGAGTCAATTAGATATCCATATGGAAAAAATAAATTTTGACCCCTGATTCACACCACACAATTCCAGATGCAGATCTAACTGCAAAAAGTATAATTATAAACCTTCTAGAAGAAAATATAGGAGAAGATCTTTACAACCGAAGATTTCTTAGACACCTGCACACACACACACACACACACACACACACACACACAAGCATTAACCATTTAAGAAATAATTGATAAACTGGAACTATTAAAATTAAAAACTCACATTTATATAAACAGCATTCAGAGACTGAAAAGACAAATCAAAGTAAGAAGAGATATATGTGTCATATATATGTCAATATATATTATTGTCTTGCAGGAAATTTTATATATTCTATATTTGAGTCCTTCAGCTAATACACACATATGCAATATATAAGAAAATGAAAACGACCCAACAGAAAAATGAACAAAAGACGTGAATTAAGCACTTCTCAAAAGAAGATATCTTAATAGCCAATATAAAAAGGTGCTCAACCTCATTAGCCATCAGAGAATGCAAATTAAAACCACAGTGAAAATATCAACTCCAATGCTCACTCATCAAAATGGCTGTAATTTTTAAAATCTCCATAATACTATTCACTGAAGTAGGTATATCACCAGACAACCACTTTGGAAAATTAGTGATATCAACTAAAGTTGAATATATACATATACATATACTCTATGACACAGAAATTCCACTCCAAGATATGTGTGTGTGTCTGTGTGTGTATATGATATATATACATATGATATATATACACATATACATATATGAGATACATACACATGATATATATACATGTGTGTATATGATATATATATATCATATACACACACAGACACACACACATATATCCTCAAAAGCCATATACAAAAATATTCCTAACAGCACTATTCATAATAGCTAACAACTATTGGCATAATGTTATATTTGCATTGAAAACATATAGGAATAAATCTAACAAGTAATGTGTAGGACCTCTACACATACAAACATTAATGAGAAAAATTAATAAAGACTTAAATCAATGGAAGAACACATCTAGAAATAAATTTAATGATACCCATCAAAAATAGAATGGAAAAATAAATTGTGTTATATTCAAACATTTGAATAATATACAGCAATGAGAACGTATAACGTATAACCTCACACAACATCCCGGATGAATTTCACAAACTAAGGTTGAGCAAAAGAAGTTAAACACAGAAGTACACATATTGTATGATTCTATTAAAGTTCAAAACCAGACAGAACCAATTTTTGGGGGTAAATCCGAGAGAATAGTGGGGAGGGTAATGCCTGGGTAGGGGACATGGGGCCTCAGACACTGCAACAGTCTCTCCTTTGATCTGCGTACTAGGTACCTGGGTGAACTCAGTTTGTGAAAATTCACGGAAGCATGTCCTTATAGTTTGTATGTTTTGTATATTTAGGCTCTAATATCAAAAAGATTTACTAAAAAATAAAAGGGGGGCAGATTAGCTCTGTCACTTAGGACAAGTGTCACTTAGGACCTCAGTGTCCTGAGGCCTTTGGCTTTCGAACATAAGCAACTATTTATGTACTCACCCATGTATTCCATTTCCAGCAAATATTCACTAGGCACCTACAGCAGTGAGCAAATCCATGACACCACTAGCCTTGTGGAGCTGATATTTCAGTGGAAGGAGATTGACAGTAGACCAGGATAGATAGTTCATATGTTCCCTCGCTCTCTGACTTCTGGAGGCCTTGGCCAAGGGAGGATTGGCAGGAGTCCAGAGCTGGGGATGGAGAAGATTAGTATATTCATTCCCCCAGCTCCCTCCCTGTGGGGTGGCCACAGGCTGACCATGTCCCCTTACGGAGGCCCCGGCTTCCACCTGGCCATCCCTCCACCCAGCCTCCCTCTCTGGGTACTGATAACTGTCCCCTCCACTTGCCCCTTCAAGCTCGGGGCGGTGTCAGCTCCCAGCTGAGGCCAGGATCCTATAGCATCTCTATTGCTTCCCTAAACTCCTCCCCACCTTTATAAACAGCCCTTTTTAAACGTCTCAAGTCATCTATTTTGAGTGTCACTTGTTTCCTATGAGAACCCTGATAGATACCCAGGATTAATTCCAGCCAAGGAGAAAAAAATATGAAAGAAAATAAAGGAAAATAAAGCAAAATGACGTGATGGGGAGTAACTGGTTGGGAGGGGGTTATTTTAGAGAGAGTAGTCAGGAAAGGCCTCACTGAGAACAGACACATTGGAACTGGGAGCTGAATGACAAACAGGAGCTGGTCATAGAAGATCCAATTAAATATTTCTATTTGTCCATTGCAATCCTGATCATGCCCCAGGGTTAAACAGGTTCCTTTACTGCAGATCTTCTCAGAGCCTTGAATGTGCTCCTGTGCCCTGTCATTCTCCGGGAAGGGGTAACTAAGCAGCATTTCTCAAACTACACGTTCAACCCAGAACACTTTTCTCTACAGCAGTGCTGTCCCCTAGAAATATAATGGGTCACCTATGTAATTTTAAAAGTTTTAGTAGCCACATTAAAAAAAAATAAAGAGAAGAAGGTGAAATTAACTTTGATAAGGTATTTTATTTAATCCAGTACATCCAAATTTTATCAATTCAACACATAATTAATATAAAATTATTAGTGAGATATTTTACATTCTCTCGAAGACTAGTACTGTATAAGCCTGTACAATGAGTTGTGTTTTGTGTGCTTCCAGCACATCTCAGTCTAGCTACACTTCAAGTGCTCATTAGTCACATATGGCTACAATATTGGACAGTATTGGATGGTATACCTGTAGAGCATTGGATGGGGCTCCTGCTCTGCACGGCACTCTTGCTGACCTGAAAAGGGACCCATGGCCAGAGCCTCCCCTCAGGCAAAAAGCTAGGGCACGATGGAACCTGCAGATCCATTGCAAAAGGTGACATCCCAGAATATTTGTGAGGCATTTTGGGAAACATCTCAACCTATGGAAGAATGGATGGGATTGTTAGTCTCAAATACAAGATAAGACATAGGGTCAAATATTTCTGTTTGTACAGTACTGTTTGGGTCATCTTTTATTAGGATAACCAATCATCCTGAAACTTGGAGGCTTAAAACAACACCAATCATTTTTTACTCACGATTTTGCAATTTAGGCAGGGCTTGGTGGCAACTGCTAATTTTTGCTTTATGTGGCATCAGCTGGGGCATTTTGGCCAGGGCTGGCAGATATCATTTCCACGATGATTCACTCACATGGCTGGCAAGTTGGTGCTAGCTGTGGGCTGGAAGTTCAACTGGGCTGTCAGTATATGAAGAAAGTTCGTGAGCTTCTCTACGTGGCTGCTTGGGCTGCCTCACAACATGGCTGCCATGTTCCAGAAGGCAGAAACAGCCAGTCTTGTCAAAGACAAGCCTTGTACTGGCACACATCACTTCTGCCCAGATTCAAGGGGGTGAAGAAACAGAGAGCCAAAGAATCTGTGACCATCTTAAATCCACCACAGATGCTATAGTATTTTTACAACCATATTTTTAGTTGATCCATTGCAGCAACATTTTTTTCAACTTTTATAATTTATGTATTAAAGAAGCTTGAAATAAATATGACATCTTAATTATTTATGTATGCATGGAACAAAAATGTCTGCTATTGTCATCTCAGTGTACTTTTTCCTATTTTCCTTAATTTTTAAAAAATTAATAGACTTTTTGAGAACAGTTTTAGATTTACAGAAAAATTGCATAGAGAATACAGAGTTCCCATCTATACCCCACCCACCCCTCCCACACACACAATTCCCCTATTACTAGCATCTCATATGTGTGGTACATTTGTTATAATTAAAAAACCAAGATTGAAACATTATTATTAACTAAATTCAATGGTTCATTCAGGTTGCCTTAGTTTTAGCCTGATGTCCTTTTCGTGTTCCAGGAACCCATCCAGGATGCCACCTCACATTTAGCTGTCATGTCTCCTGAAGCTCCTCTTTGCTGTGAGTTTCTCAGACTTCCCTTGTTTTTAGCAACCTTGGCAGTTCTGATGAGTACTGGGCAGGTATATTGCAGGCTGCCCTACTATGAGAATTTGTCTGGTGTTTCTCTCATAATTTTACCGAGGGTATGGGTTTGTGGAAGGCAGATCACAGAAGTAAAGCACTATTTTCAGCACATCATATCCAGGGTCATGCTGTCCACATGGTTTATGACTGCTGGTGCTGGCCTTGACCGCCTGGCTGAGGTAGTGTTTGTCAGGTCTCTCCACTCCCCACTGCCCAGTTTTCCCCACTTTGCATGGCGAACTCTTTGGAAGAAACGTGCTATGCACAACCCACGCTTGAGGAGTGATGAGTTATTCTCCACCTCCTTTAAGGTAGAATAGCCTGGCCCAGCGGCTCACACCTGTAATCCCAGCACTTTGGGAGGCTGAGGCAGGCAGATTGCTTGAGCCTAGGCATTCAAGACCAGCCTGGACAATATGGTGAAATCCCGTCTCTACAAAAAATACAAAAATTAGGCGGGCATGGTAGCATGCGTCTGTGGTCCCAGCTACTCAGGAGGCTGAGGCAGGAGGATCCCTTTATCCTGAGGAGGCAGAGGTTGCAGTGAGCCATGATTGTGCCACTGCACTCCAGCCTGGGCAACAGGGTGAGACCTTGTCTCTAAAAACAACAACAACAACAAAAATAGCTACATAAATTACTTGGGATTTTCCCACATAGGATATTTGTTATTTTCTCCTCAATTTATTAACATATCAATCATGTGTTTATATCAAAATGGACTTGTGGTTATTTATTTTATATTTTAGGTTAGAATGCAATACTACTTTATTTTGTTGCTTAAATTGGTCCTGCTTTGTTCCCTGGGAGTTCTTTCATTTACTAGGCAATGTTTTGATTGGATATTATCATCACCATGAGAAGGGTGTTCATTCAAGTGATGTAACAAGCAGAGGGCACAACAGCCCCTCTCTGGCTTCTGACTCTCCTCTGCAGCACACTCAGCACACCTTGGGCCCTTCATTGCTGCCCAGGTCAAGTCCTGGAGGACTGGCTAAAATCACCACACAAACCCTCCAAGAAATCAAAGAGGTCACCGCTGGTTGTAGGAGGTCTTCTTGTGCATGGCCTCTCCATGTTCTGAAAGCTCTTAGTCAAGGAAAAGGTAACTATATACCTCCAGGGATGCACACACAAAGAGAAATCCGAACAGCACCAGGTCATAATGAAGGGGTTCAAGCCTCCATAAATAGTGTTCCCCTAGTCCTTAGCCATCTCAGAAGCAAATTAGAGCTTGCCTCAGTTTCTGGGTGTGAATGAACTCGCTGCCCTGCCTGACCTCCAGCACTCATGGACATCGCAGGAGTGCATTGAGGACACCAGGATGTAGATCCAGGAACACTTACACAGGCCCAGCGTACAAGAGCTGAGCACGCAACAGCTGCTCTCACGACACACGGTCATCCTGGAGCCTCGAAAACAATCCTCGCTTTGGCCCCAGATCCCAAGGAACAAGAGTCCTAGCTACGGGCAGTGATTGCCCAAATACTTCTCTTCTTATTCAGCAGAGAACAATCTTGAGAAATAAACTGGCTTTGGAGGAAAGAATGAAAAATCCCATCACAAAGAGGGCCCTAAAGCAGAATCATCGTTTGAAGAAACCTTCATACAGGGTCAGATACTTCAAAGGTCTACATTGTGTCAATGGATTAAATATGTGGCTTTCTGTGACAGGGGAAGCTATTTCAATCTATATCTCTATGATGTGCTCAAATAGTCATTCAAATACTCAAGAAGAATTTCAATACCCCAGTTCTCATTCACGTAGGGCAAATTCCGTATAGACTGCTTTTAAAAGCTTTCTCAACACAGGAAATTCTTTTTTATTTTATTCTTTTTAAGTCCAACATCTCTTTCCAAGTATTTTTAAAATAAAGCTTTATTATAAGCTTGAGGCCAAGAGTTCAAGGCCAGCCTGGGTAACATAGCAAGACCCTGTCTCTACAAAAAATTAAAAAACCAGCTGGGTGTAGTGGCACATGCCTGTGGTCTCAGCTACTTGGTAGGCTGAGGCAGGAGGATTGCTTGAGCCCAGGAGATTGGGGCTGCAGTGAGCCATGATCGTGCCACTGCACTCTAGCTTGGGCAACAACAGGACACTGTCTCTAAAAAATGACAACAAAAATTCAAAAATTTTATAAATATAAGATATTTCAAACATATAAGCAAGTCGGGAGAATACTAGCACATATCTTGTAAGCTCTAACCAAACTTATTGTCTTATCATGATGCCATTTTTCCCACCAACCTTTTTTTAAAACAAAGAAATAAAACAGGCTAGGCATGGTAGTTCACGCCTGTAACCCCAGTACTTTTGGAGACCAAGGCAAGTGGATCACTTGAGTCCAGGAGTTTGAGACCAGCCAGAGCAACATGGTGAAACCCCATCTCTACTAAAAAAAATACAGACAATTAGCCAGGCGTGGTGGTGCACTGCACTCTGGCCTGGGCGACGGGAGTGAGACCATATCTCAAAAAAGAAATAAAACATTACAGGGCCCCTCACAGCCTCTGTATACATCCCCATTTCTTGCCCCCCGCCTCCTTGCCCTCCCCTAGCTAGAGCTGCTATTTTTGGTCATTCACATGGGGGTCTTTTTTCCTTTCCCACCACACCTTTATCCTCTCCACTGGGAGCCATCACTGGGAAAGCACACTGGGAAATGCATGCAGCAGAGCCCTGCTACGGAACTGCTCAGCCACAGAGCAGGCTGGCGGCTGAGCCAGCCTGGTAGGAAGAGGAGAAGACCAAGGATGAAAATCAGAGGGTGGAACTGGAGGCACAGGGCCTGGGAACCGCACTGGGGACCTCCTAAAGAAGCATTTCTACCTCCGGAAGACACGATAGGCTGCACTAGATAATATGATCTGTTTTGCCTCAACTCTCCTTGTTTTTCCTAAGTCGCGTGCCCGTGAGGAACATGATTCCACATTTTAAAAATCTTATGCTGTCTCTCTTAAAGGACTGGGTGCCCAGGCCGGGGGCGTGGCCCAGAGCTGGAGCACTAGAGAATGGCGCAGCGTTAGGAAACAGTGAGGGTGAGGCCAGTGCTGATTTGGTTGCGCGATACTGTTGAGGTCCAATGATGTACAAAGTGTTATCAGACTTGTAAAAAAAATTTTTTCATAAGCTAGGAAATGTTCTGGCAGGCTAATGGGCTCCAAAAATCAACTTTCAGGGCCTCTGCTGATGTCTTAATTAATGCTGTATGGATGAGTTCTTGCAGGAACATCAGTGAAAATCAAGCCATAAACAAGAAAGAAAAAAAGTCCAGGGCGGGGAGGAGGAACACACTGCTTTGCTAAATTTCCACCCAAGTTCAATTGTGTTATGGAAACTTGAACTGAACCCTTCCAAAGAGTTTTCAAAATATCACTTGCAGACTGGTTAAACTGGAAGCATGTGGAAGCATGTGTCAGTTTTCAACACTATAGACCCAGACCTCAATCCAGACTTTGAATTGCTGCATCCCCTCGAAGCAAAGGAAACCATGAGGACCCTGCTTGATGCCAGGCATTGGAGTGAGTGTTTCGTTTTCTATGGCTTATTTAATCCTCACAAAACCCTCTGAGGATGGCATGAACTCCATTTGATAGATGACACTCACAGAGGTTAAGCAACTGCACGGGTAACACAGCCAGGAAATAGTTTATATACGGGCTGGCCTTGGATGAAACACAACCAAATGTGAGTGCCTATTTTTCTCGGTGGTGTCACCTGTGTTTGGTGTTGGCTGGGCTGTTTCATTTGCCGGGAACAGAGGAGTGCCCGGGTTCTCTCTGGACTTGGGGCTGGACTACGAGAATCCAGAGGAAGTGCAGGAGCCTAGGAAGCAAATGCATTCACAGTAGCCGGACCCAGGCTTCTTGGAGGATCTAACAGTGCTTCTGCTGAGTGAGCAACATGGCCACCGATTCTGCAGACTGCCCCTAACACTCTCACTCTCGCTCGCTCTCTCTTCATCAGAGCTTCTTGCCGCTCTCTGCATCAACCTATTTTCAGGTTTCTGCCTCCTGCTCCATATCTTGACTTCCACCAGATGCCCCTCTGTGTGCATGTGTCTCTTTTTCTCAAAGGACAAGCTGATGAGAAATCTCCCAATCCAGCATGGGCATTGCCATATGTCCAACCAATCCTGGGTCCAACCATGTGTGACCAGGGTGGCAAGGTCACATGACAAAAATGTGGCTAATTATGCAGAAGAATTCACTTTTTCAAAGAAAGGAGGTGTGAGTGTGGCATCTCGGGGGCTTCACTATTTGGTTTGTGTGACTGTGAGTGGCTTCAAACAACAGATATTTACTTTCCCACAGGAAAGGGACACCTTTCACAGTGTCACAGGTCTGCACTCCCTCCGAAGACTCCAGGAGCAACTCCTCCCTGGCCTCCTTGGCTTCTGGCTGCCTCCCTCCAGCCTCTGCCCCTGTCTTCATGTGGCCTCCTTCTCCCTGTGTGGCTGTGTGTCCTCTCCTCTTATTACAAGGACACCAGTCATTGGAGTTCATGCCCACTCAAAATCCAGGACGCTTTTGTCATGAGAACCTTAATGAATTACATCTACAAAGACCCTATTTCCAGATAGGGCCACATCCTGAGCTTCCAAGGGGACATGAATTTGTGAGCTACACTATTTGAACATGACAGTGTATCTCCAAGACACTGTAGCGCCAGCCCCCAAAGTGTACCAAGGACTCGGAGAGAGTGGAGGCCAACCCTTTGCTGTTTCTTTGGGATCTGCCTCAGTATGGCGCCAGGTGCTAAGCAGATGGCTATTGAGTGACCTAGAGTAAACCGGAAATAAATTCAGAAAAATCAATCGGTGCATGATTTCATTAAAGTTCCCTCCATGTATGCAGTTCTGTACCCACCGTTGGCATCCCCTAGTCATCACTGCTGCCTGGTAGCAATGTACGGGGCATCCCACACCACACAGCACTGTTTACAGAGATGTGGACTTGTGACTGTCCTCTCCTCAGGACAGACGTTGGCCCCATAGCTTCTCCAGCCCTACAGTCCACCTAGTGCAACCTCTGCAGACCTAACTGTGTCTTGCAGTGTTCCCCTGACCGAGAGCTCGCTGAGTCCAAAATCCACACAAAGGGCCTCTTCAGGTTCCCTCCTAGTCCTGTTGCAGCTCAGCCTTGTTCCCTAAATGTTCTCTGGTGGGAAAACAAACCAAACCAAACCCCAGAACCCTGGTTTGGTTCTCAGCGATATAAACAATATTTGGATTTGGTTCGAGGTTGAGCAAACGAGTGCAGTTTGTTCCGGTTTTTGGTTCAAGGTTCAGGCCAAGTCTCTGCTCCAGACAGAAAGAATGTCCCTGGAATGAATGCCCCTTCCAACTAGGACTCAACAGCTAAAAGGCCAGGGTGTCCCAACGCAGGCCGCCTGCTCAGAGGACTCCCAGGGACCTCCCTGCAGCTTCCAATCCAGGCCCCCAAGGCCCCGGGGACTGGGCCTGGCAGCACACCTGCCCAATTCTCTGGGCCCATGCCACCTTCCATGGCCTAGAAGCAGAAGGCCATGGCCCCACAGGCTAGGCGCCAGGGCAGCTGAGCAAACACCCTCAGCTCAACTGCCTGGAGGCAGGGGCAGCCGGGGAGTGGGTGCCCCTGCATAAATCCGCCACAGTGGCCACATGGCACAGCACCTGCTCCCTCTCTCTGGTCAGGGTCTAAACTCAAACACTGCCCAGCAGAGAACCCAGATAACGAAATAGAACGTTACACTGAGCAGGAAACAACAGGGAGTGGTGGGTACTGTGGGAGCCACGCAGAGGTATGCACATTCAACCCACCGCAGCCTTAGTTCAGTGCACAAAGCATCCAGCTGCCGCTTGCTGGTCAGAGCAGCCTGCCAGAGGCACACACCACAGCTTCCAGAGCAAGCAGTCCTACATCCAGAGCAGAGTTTCTGGGGGCCATTCTGCTCTCTCCTGCCCCAGACAGGAAGCCAGGCAGGGCCAAGGACAGGGCATCAAAAAGCCTCATCCCTACGGAACAACTGCAGGGGACGGAGCAGCTGGGGGTATTGGGGACACCTGGCAGTGAATCACTCCTGAGGAATGTTGAAAGGAAAACACAGTTGCACTCTGGCCTCCCTCCCACTCGGATCCACGCATCAAAGGGGTCCTCGGATGCAGGGAACTTAGTGGGCTGGGTTGATCGGGCTTGCTCTGAATGTTGGACACCAGAGGGCTGGGATCGAAAAGCAGCTCCTGAGGGACTGCCCCAATTCTGGGTTGTGGGGACAGACGCACCTCCAGCCACCATGGGGGAAACTGAGAAACACTGGCAAGGGAAGCGGAATGAAAGCGCGCAAGAAGGGCTCTAGTCCAAAACACTCCTCTTTCTCAAGGTTATTTTTTTCTAGACTTGCTCTTTAAATCACCATCCAAACGGCAGCCTTATCAAAGGCAACTCAGGTGTCCCCTGACAGCCCAAAGCCTCTGCCCAGGGAAAAGGCCGTTTCTATTCTGCCTTGGATAGAAATCACAGCCTGAGACACAATCCAGAAATATTTCCCTGTGCTGGGCGCCCGGAGAGGATTAGACAGGAGCACATGTGATTTCAGCTTGGGTGTACTCGCCGCTCAACTATGCTTGCTACGTGCTGGATTCAATTATAGGTTTTCTTACACTTATATCTTCATTAGTTCTACATTGCCGAGTGGATGGAATGTGCTGTCAGCTTAAAAAAAAAGTGTTGGTTTTTCTTCCCCCCAAGGATTCAACACTGTCCAGTCCTGTTAAAAAAAGAAAGAAAAAAAAAATCTTGGCTCACGCGTACATTGCTAATGGGTATGGAATTGATTCACAAGTCCCCAACTCTAGTTATATAAAAGTAATTACTGCAACCTAGAGTAATTGGTTCCATATCCAATATTCACAGAAGGCTGCATATGTGTATGTCTGCGTGTGTGTGTGTGTGTGTGTGTGTGTGTGTGTGTGTGTATTTAGGATTGAGAGATTAAAAAATTTTAAATGAAAAAAAACATATTCAAGAACATTTAAACTACCCATACATAAACTCCTAAAAAAATTATTTAACTGTGATAAAGATCTTGAAACAAACAAAAACGGCAGAGCTCACAAAAGATCAGAGCCCTTATGATCCAAGCATTCCAAGACTGGGGAACGGGCCATCGGGTGCGGGAAGCCACGCAGAACGGGGTCTCCAGCAGCCCGAAGGCCCATCCCACAGCCGGCCACTTGCAACCTGTGGTGGCCACTTCCTGCTCGGTGGCGCAGCCTCCTCCCGGGCACCCATGAAGCCTTTGCCTGACCTCTGTCCATGGAGTTGCTTGTCCTATTTGTGGCTCTGAGAACCACAGTTCTCACTCTGTCCCCCAGGTGGGTCCCAGAGGGCTGGAAGGCATTGTCCTAAGAGGACACAGCAGGGGTAGCGTGGAACATTCCCATACAGCTCCAGGATCACTTTAGGGAGAAAAGGGATCCACGGAAAGGAACCATGGATAAGAAGGAAGCTTTGTGGGAGAACAAAAAGACACCAAGAGTTGGAAACCAGGAAGGAAGTTAAAGTCAGGCCTTCCCCAGCGATGTGGATCAATTCACAGATTTGTGTCATGGATCTAAACGTGACACTTGACATTCATCTCTGTTAGGTGTCACACTTGGTTGGAGCCTAAGACCTTTGGCATTTTCTTTCCATCGTCTATAGCATCACCTTTCTATCCTGGCTTTGTTTCATCTGCAAATGTGATAAGCCTGCCTTCCATATCTTTATTGAGACCATTCATGAAAATGCTGTATAAGGAAAAGCCCTCCCCCGACCCAGAGTCCTCCACACAGATCGGTCTCCATCCATTCATCAAGAAGCGTTGTTCAACAGATGTACATTCACCTACCCGCTCTGCTATCCATCACACAGTTCCCCATTTTACCTGCATGGGGGATTTAGGGGATTGAGAGGAAGTAACAACTCGGAAATCAGGTTGCTAATGATGTCTTCTCTTAGTTTGAGTTCACGAAGAGTTAGAAAATGCAGTGTGCTAAAATGACCTAGTGGAGCATGCGTGCAATGCTGTGGACCCTGGCCCAGGCTACTACTGCAAATTCCACACCAAAACTGGAGAGACTGTTGGTTTCTCCTTGTGTTATCTCTGGCCAGCCTCTGTGGATTCTCAGCCTGGCAACACAGTCCTGTTTAAAAAGTTCTGGCTACTACGCGGGGTCTGTTACACACTGCCTTTGATCCTGGGGTCTGGACTGAAGCTCAAACTGTGTAATTTTTGTTGGATTCTGTTCGTGCCTCCTTCTCACCTTTGGTTTCATCAGTCTGGAAGAGTCAGTCTTCCAGAAGTATGTCCAGGCCACCAGAGTCCTTGCGGGTGTCTCCTTGACATACAATCCATAAAGAGAGGCAGGAGAGGCAGGAGCACTCTCCTCCACCAGGAGGCTCATCCTAAGGACATGAGACATTCTCAAATCAGAGAACGAAAAGGTGTTAAATGTTTGAATATTTAACTAACATTTAAATATTTGAATATTTAAATAACAGGAAATCCAGTTAACTCCCAATCAGGGTACATTTAGTTATTTTTTTAAAAAAACAGTGTGATTTTGGGGGACGCTCCACAGAGGAGAGTTTAGATTCAAAGCAGCTGTAGTCAGAAGAGCCCATCAGCCCCAGAGACCTAGCCTGAGTGGGGCCTAGGGTGACCTCAGTGCTTCTCCCCACAGTGGCGGTGGCAGTGGTTCACGGCTGTCCCAGTGGAGCGGTCAAGCTGCCACGTGTTCCCTTTTCACAAACTGACAGCAGTTATGATAAGAAAGAATTGTGTTGCCTATTTGAGAACAGAGAGTCCAGCAGGACTAGTGAATGAATTTCAGCTCCTTGTCCAGCTGGCTGGGAGGCAGCTGTTTCTTTGGAATGTAAACCAAGGTAGGGGCTGAGAGATTAAAGTGGAAATGTATCTGCCACGGTCTTTCACAGGAGAATGAAAGGACTGTCTAAAGGCAGATTCTTTCAGAGACCTGGCCTCAGTTTCCTTCTCTGTAAAATGCTAGAGGCCTTGGGCAGTTGTGAAGATTTAGGTAATAGTGCAAGTGGGTGCACTATGGGGGGAGAGAAAGCAAAGGAGGAAAGAGAAAGAGAGAGAGAGAGAGGGAAGACATCATCCCACCATCCACTGCTCTGTACTGCCTGAGGCTAAACCAACTCACAGAGAAAGAAAGGCAGAGGTTGAGATAATTGTGTTCATCCAAAAAATATTTATTGTTCCAGATACTTTTCCAGGTGCCTCAATTACATTAGTGAATAAAACAGATGAAAATCTCTCCTTTCATGGAGAGAAGCAATGCTGAAGCCTGATCAAACTGTGCCTGAAGCCCTACAGTCTCTAGACATTTGAATTACAGGAGCCAATACATTCCTGTAACATGTTAGCCAGTTTGAGGAGTTTGTTTGTTTGTATTGGTTTGCTTTATTTTTTATTTTTGTTTGTTATTGTTGTTGTTACTTGCCATGTGTCCTAACTGCTACTGCCATCCTCTAGCCACGGTGGCACCTGAGCGAAACCTTGGGTCTGGTCACATCTCACTCCACATTCAAGTTCAGGAAGGGCACAGAAAACAAAATGTTTCTGTCTCTTTCTGAAAAACCAGTCACCTCTTGGTGGCACACAGCTCTTATAAATAGCCGGGAAGCAGATTCATGCTGAAAATGGAATTTTTAAAATTTCAAAAAAAGATAAAAGGAATGGGGAAAAAAAGGAAAAAGTTCACAGGAAATTGAAGAGGAATTTGGGAGATGATAGAATGTAACAAGCTTCACTGGACCACAGCCAGAACAACTGGCTGGAACAAGCCTCCCTTATTAAAAGCATCAGGAGAGCCTGTGTGTCCAAGAGCATCAGGACCTCCCTTCCCATGTCTCTCATTTGAGAGCAGTTTAATGAATGGAATTTCTGGGTATAATTTGTATACATTGATAAGCAATGTATATAAATTTTTATTCATTTTGTCCACTGAAGAGCACTTGGGAAAGATCATTCTCTGAACTCTAAAACCTTGCAAATGTCTTTTTTAAAAAAAGAATTAGTGTCTTGTTCTCTTTGTAGGGTTTACTAAATAAATAATCCCAGTTGTCTTAAAGTCTCATGGAATATGTCCTCCCATAACTAAGGAGCAGGACTAAGGATTCTGAAAAAATGTTCTAGAAAGATTTGTAAAAGCAACACATATGCCCCTTCCTTCTACTAGCAAGCAATCTAACAGATAATTGTTGCCTTTTAATAAAGCCCTTTCTTCTACTTTGTAAGTTCCCATGGGCATTTGCTGCCTCACCAGCATCTGCACCTCATCTTCTGTTAACAGCACCCAACTTCTCTTGGGAAGCCAATCTTCCTCCTTTTTCAGGCCTGTGGTTCAGCCATATCTGACCCCAGGTCTTGGCTACACGGATGGACATGGGACCCAGACCCAGCCAATCAGAGCACCACATCCTCCCTGCCACCTGGGAATTGGTTTGGGGATGGTCACGTGGCCCAAACCAAGCCAGTGAGAATTAGCCCAACAACTTCTGTTAAATTACTGGGAAAAACATCATTCTTTCTACTGAGGCTGCTTAGTGATAGGGAGCAAGCCAGAGTTAACAGGGTGCTAATGGGAATGTGGCAGAAGGGAGAGATGCAAACCTGATGATACATCTGGGCCTCCAGATCCAGCTGTGCCTGAAGGAGGCAGGCTCTATCTATGAATTCTGTAAATCTATAAAGATACTTGAGTGTAAAAAAAAAAAAAAAAAAAACCTTCTCTCTCTCTGCTTCTTTTTTTTTTTTTTTTTTTTTTTTTTTTCCAGCTTGCTATGATTTGAAGGTGTCCCCTCCAAAATTTCTATGAAATGTAATCCCTCTGGGGTTGTATTAACAGACAAGGCATTCAGGCACTTTGGGAGGTGATTAAGACGTGAGAGCAGAGCCCTCATGAATGGATTCCTGACCTCTCAAAGGGCTGGAGGGAACTAGTTGAAGTCCTTCCTGCCCTTCCTCCTTCTGCCGGCTGGGGACGCGGCAACAAGGCACCACCTAGGAAGCAGAGAGCAGCCCTTACCAGACACCCGTACCAGTGCCTTGATCTTGGACTGCCCAGCCTCCAGAACTGTAAGAAATGAAATTCTCTTCTTTATAAATTACCCAGTCTGGAGTATTTTGTTATAGCAGCACTAATGGATGAAGATATGGCATAAGCCAGTCTGTTATGCTTTTATCATTTTCGTCTTTGTTTTTGTTTGCCTGTTTGTGTGTTTGTTTGTTTGTTTGTTTGCTTGCTTGTTTGAGACAGGGTCTCACTCTGTAGCCCTGATTGGAGTGCAGTAGAGTGATCGTGGCTCACTATAGCCTCAACCTCCTGGGCTCAAGTGATCCTCCTGCCTCAGCCTCCTGGGTAGCTTAAACTACAGGTGTGAACCATCCAACCCAGGTAATTTTTGTATTATTTGTAGAGATGGGGTTTCACCATGTTGCCCAGGCTGGTCTTGAACTTTTGGGCTCAAGCAATCTGTTTGCCTCAGCCTCCCAAAGCACTGGGATTACAGATGTGAGCCGCTGCGCCTAGCCCGGCTTGTAACATTTTCAGCTAAATTTCCTAGCTCATTCATAAGCAAAGGCTGCCTGCACACAATACAATCAATCATGGCAGTTTAGAAATAGCTTGGGTTCCCTGTCTTCAGTCCTCAGGTGCCTTCCAAAGGCTTCCTCTCTTTAGAAAGATGCAGGTTCACAATGCAGCCCTCCCTTCACTCTCTCTCACTACCCATCCCAGTGTTCCCTAAGCTGTGTTTGGAGACCCCACCTACCTCCAGTGACCCCCATCAACCTTTAAATGTGGCACCGTTGCTGAGGCCCAAGCATTTCTTCTGGAGGTACCCAAACTCCTGTTGTTGTAGGAAATATCCTTGTGGAGATAGACAAGTAACCACTAACTGGAGTCCTGGTCACCATGAACTTACCTGGGGCTTTAGATGTGGACGCTCAACTTGACTTCAGAGAAGTTAGGAACCCTCTCAGGAAGAAAGCTGGGAAGAGCACCATGGAAACTCATCAGGCCTTTCATCACAGATGTGTTTGAATTCTTCTCAGACAGGTTGCTGAAACCCAGCTCCCTGAGTCCTACAGCAAGCTCTGGGTGATTTCTACAAAATCTCGTGATCACATCTGTTCATGTGTGTACAGATGTGTACATGATCACATTTCTATGTTCTTTTTGGGAAAGGCTGTTGAAGATCCCTTTTGCGGGGGGCGGGGAGCGGGGGGGGGGCAAATGCATTGAGGAAAAGCCAAATGGTGGCTGCAAGTGGCCCTCAAATTGAGTAGTGTTCACATGCACACAGAGGAAGGCTGGCCTCAGACCCTGAGCACTGCCCATGGCCTTCCAGGGACAGCTGTGGGCTAGGGGTCTACCAAAGTTCAAAGGACATTTGCAACCTCCTGCTCTGAGCGGGGCATGTGCTAGGCTGAATAATGGCTCCCAAAGATGCCCGTATCCGAATTCTTAGGACCTATGAATGTTAGTTATATGGTGAAAGGGACTCTGTGATGTGACTAAGTCAAGGATCTGGAGATGGGGAAATGATTCTGCATTACCCAGGTGGCTCTGTCTCATCATAAGGGAGGCAGGAAGAGTCGAGTCAGAGAAGGCGATGGGGTGACAGAAGCAGAGGCTGCAGTGATGAGCTTTGGAGATGGAGGAAGAGGCCCCAAGCCAAGGAAGGCAGGTGGCCACCAGAAGGTGAAAAGAGAAAAGCAACAGATTCTCCCCTAAAACCTCTGGAACGCCAACACCTTGACTGATTTTGGACTTGTGACCTCCAGCACTGCAAGAGAATAAATCTATGTTGTTCTAAGCTGCTAAGTTTATGATGACAGAAATCTAATATAGGTCCCACGACTCAATGGGCCAGCAGGACCCCCTGTCCTCAGCACAAGCAGACTTCCTAGGGAGGATGCTACACAATGGCCACCCTACTCCACAGAAGCCAAGATACCTTGGCCCCTCAGCTTGGTCCCAGAGCCCTGCTGATCTGACCAAGCCAGCTGGAGCCTGTGAAGGGCAGGGCACTCAACGTTACTCCACCAATCACCGACTTGGCTAGAACCAAATGGCTGTGGCATCTCCCGCTGCCCCTGCAGGAAGCACCATATGCGAAAAAGTCCCCCTGACACATCATGGAAGATATGCATTAAAGTTGTGATGACCAAATGAAAGAAAACCATGTGTATTAGATTCCTGCAGCCACTGTAATGAGTTACCATTAAGTCAGTGGCTTTAAAGAATTAGAAATGTATCCTCTCACAGTTTTAGAGGTCAGAAGTCCAAAATCAGTTTCTTTCATAGAAAACCAATATCTCATTTTCTTACTCAGAAGTGGGAGCTAAACCTTGGGTACACACAAACGTAAAGTTGAGAGCAATAGACACTGGGGACTCCAAAAGGAGGGAGGGAGAGAGGGAGGGAGAGAGGGAGGGAGGTAGAAAGGGAGAGAGGGAGAGAGGGAGGGAGGGAGGGAGGGAGGAGGGGATGGGCTGAAAAACTTTCTACTGGGCACTCTGTTCAATTATCTGGGCGACAGAAGCCAAACCTCAGCATCACACAATATGCTCTTGTAACAAACCTGCACATCTACCCCATGAATCTAAAATTTTTTAAAAATCAGTTTCACTGACCAAAGTTAAGGAATTCGCAGGGCAGATTCCTCCTGGAGCCACTGAGGGGAGAAACCATTTCCTTGCTTTTTTCTGCTTCTAGAGGCTGCCCACAATCCTTAGCTCGTGACCACTTCCTCCCATCACTCCAACTCCTCGCTTCCATCATCGCGTCTCGTACTCACTGTAGTCCTGCAGCCCTCTTATGAAAACTGTCACGACCACACCCAGCCCATCCAGACAATGCAGGATCATCTCCCCATCTCAAGACTCTTCACTTTGTCACGTCTGCCAAGCCTTTTGCCATGTAGGGTCCTGGGGATTAAGACATGGACATTTGAGAGGCCATTACTCAGCCTACCTCTCACCCTGGCACCCCTACCCATTCTTCACCCTCTCTGCCCTGCTCTGTGCCCTGGCAGGCCAACCTCTCACAGCCTGTGTCACCTGCCCCTTGCCCTGTGGTTCCCAGCTTGGTTTGGCCAATAGGAGGCACAGTCCCACTCCCCACCTGCTCCACTGCAGGTCTGGTCATGGCTGTCTGCCCACAGCTTCTGGAAAGCAGAGCCTCTTTCCATGCCCCAGCTGTCTCTGGGGTCCAACAGCACCTGTCCCGCTTTTCCCATTCAGTTTGGGAGTGGTCAGGGCTTCCTGCAAGGGCTGACCCCAGGTGCCTCTCCATTTCTTGCTGGTCCCCTTTGTCCTGCCCTGCACTCTGATGTAACTCTCCTCTGTGTGTGCCACCTGTTTCCTGCAGAGACCTGATAGATGCAAATTGTCAGATGAAAACCCATGTTCCTTATTAGAAGAGCTTTATTCCAAAGGAGACCAGGGGTAGAGGGAGTGTGCAAACAATGACATACAGTCACTTACCAGAGGGGAGGGGGTGGTGGCCTGTCTGCCCATTGACCAGTCAGGGTATCCATCAGAGTAAACCTAGGTTTCAAATGAAATCACCTTGGCTTGTGGTATGGTTTGGCTATGTCCCCATCCAAATCTCATCTTGAATAGAAGCTCCCATAATTCCCACATTTTGTGCGAGGGACCTGGTGGGAGGTAACTGAATCATGGGGGTGGTTTCCTCCATGCCGTTCTTGTGATAGTGAGTGAGTTCTCACAAGATCTGATGGTTTTAGAAGCGTCTGGCATTTCCCCTGCTGGCACTCTTTTCTCTCTCCGGCCACCCTGTGAAAAGGTGCCATCTGCCATGATTGTAAGTTTCCTGAGGCCTCCCCAGCCATGCAGAACTGTGAGTCAATTAAACCTCTTTTCTTTATAAATTACCCAATGTTGAGTATTTCTTCTTTTATAGTTTGACAGACAAGGGTGCCCACCAGGATCAATGACAGTGTCTGAGATGTGGACAGAATCCCAGTGCTCAGAGCAATGGAAGTTGCCTAGAGTGTAAACGAACATCTTTATCGGGTCATGGGGACCAAAACAGAGGCCAAAAGGAAGCACACAGAAGGAAGCACACAGGCTTTGAAATCAAATGTGTCTGGGTTCAAAACTTCCTAGTTGTGTGTCTGTGAACACGTCTTGTCCTCTGAGTCTCAGTTTTGTCGTCTGTAAGATAGGATCATAAAGCCTCCCTAAAGGGCTATGATGAGAACTAAAATTACCAATGATACATAATCGGGCCTGGTCCATGGAAGTCTTCAGTAGCAATCATGTATTGTTGTAACTTTTGCTAACCACAAGAACTAACTAACTTTAAGACTATGCTGGTAATGTTTATTAACTAGTAAATGCTTAAATTGACATACCATGTTCATTGGTGTTTATTTTGAACATCTCACTTCCCCTTACAGATTGTTCATAACAAAGGACAGCACCAGCTTGCCATTTTGACAACCACACTAAGACTCTCAGACTGGGGTTTACTATATTAACTTGTTGACCTTTCAAATTAAATTCAAATTCAAGTTCATCTTTCTGAATTGCTAACCAAACCAAAAATTTCCAAACCTCCATCTGAAGAACACGAAGACAAATTTCACAATGAGGATACACAGATAGCAAATAAACACATGCAAAGGTATTCAACATCACTAGCCACCAGAAAAAGGCAAATTAAGACTGCAGTCAGATATCACTAGACTCCCAGTAGAACAGATAAAATTTTAAAATAGTGGCAACACCAAGTGCTGGTGAGGATGTGAACGGACTGAATACATACACTGCTGATAGGAATGCAAAACAGTACAACCACTCTGGAAAATAGTTTAGCAGTTTCTTTTGAAACTAAACATCTACTCATCAAATAATTCATCAGTTGCACTCCTGGGCATTTCTCCCAGAAAAATGAACATTTACATCCACGCAAAATACTTGTACATAAAGCTTACAGCAGCTTTATTTGTAAGACCCCAAAACTGAAAACAATCAAAATGTCCCTTGATAGGTGAATGGTTAAACAAACTGCATCTATTCATACCCTGGAATACTATGCAACCATAAAAAGGAATGAATAATTTGTTACATGCAGTAACTTGGATGGATTTCAAGGGAATAAGGCTGAGTAAAATAAGAAGCCAATCTTGAAAGATCATATACTTTAGGATTTCATTTATATAACATTCACGAAATAACAAAATTATAGGGATGGGAACAGATTAGTCGTTGCCACAGCTCAGGGATGGGGTGAGCACGACACTGAAGGGGTAGCACCAGGGAGATCTTTGTGGTGATAGAACAGCTCTGTACCTTGATTGGAGTGGTAGCTGCACAAATCTACACATATGATGAATGACATAGAACTATACACATCTGTTGTATTAGTGTCAACTGCTTGTTTTTGACATTATACTATAATTATGTAAGATGTAACCATTGGAAGAAACTGGGTGAAGGATAGGAGGAACCTCTCTGTAATATTTTTGCAACTCCCTATGGAGTTATAATTATTTCAAGTAAAAAAAATTGAAAGCAAATATTAAAAACAAACCTATCTACAGGCCAGGCTGAATTTGTAGCAAGTCCATGCACTTCCTGAGCCCACCTTTCTGGAACAAAAGCAGGTCTCAACCCAGCCTCAGAAGCCAGCATGGGCTGAGTTGCTACTTGTTGCAGCCAAGGCTCTCCCTACCGACCAAACGCTCAACAATGTGGTCACTCCTTCCCTAGTGACAAACCCCCACAGTCAGCCATTGGCTGGGACAACGAAGGGCTGTATGTTTTATGACATCGTTCATGGCCACCAAACTGCCACTTCTACTCCTTGGAAATCAGCCAAAAACTCCAAGCCACCTCCTTTCCCAAACATCTTTCTTCGAGGACAAGGTATATCTTTGATTACCCTTTACTTGTTTTCCTGCCTCTTTGGAATTTGAGGAAGCAGGCTGAGGACCCCCCCACCACTCCCCCGCCGCCACCTGCTTTAGGTTCTGATGGATGAGGGAACCAGAAGAAAAGGAATCCAAAACCGCCTGACACATATGTAAAAGCTGCTCTTCACTGATCAGAGAGTGGGTCTCCATTGGGATGGTTGATTTCATCATCACTGAAAACCATGCAACACTGATACAAGAGATGCGTATAGTTCTATGTCATTCATCACATGTAGATTTGTGCAGCTACCATCCCAGTCAAGGTACAGAGCTGCTCCATCACCACAAAGACCTCTCTGTTACTGACCCTCTATGGTCGTGCTCACTGCCATCCCCAACCCGTGGCAACAACTGATCTGTCCTCCATCCCTATAATTTTGTTATTTTGTGAATGTTATATAAATGAAATCCTAGAGTATATGATCTTTCAAGATTGGCTTATCCTTATTGCACTCAGCCTTTTGCCCTTGAAATCTATCCTACCCACCAGCAAGCAGGTACTCAGAGCTGTAGCCTCCCACTCCCTCCAGGCCATGGGCCTTTGACAGACAAATGCTCTGAACTTCCATCTCTTGGAAACCTGTCCTAGGATATTGTTTCATGACAACCACAGGACATAAGTATTCTTCCTCCTATCAATAATAAGAATCTGAGGTCAACCCACTGGTAACAACTGGAGCCAGGCTTTAGACCTGGTCTATCTGATTCCCAAGAAAGACAAAACCCCAGCTCTGTGTAAATAATGCTGTTTCCATGCAGACTGCAGGGCCGAGTTTAATAAGTTCATATCTGGATCCTACTAACTGGAATGCTCACTATCCAAAGAGTCTCAACTACCTAGGATTTGTTTTAATCAGGTGTGATAAAACACGCAGACACAGAAACAATTTTCAATAATTGTCTCATTTTGTCTCAACGGAGGGAAACTTTACTGTGCTTTTTGTGGGAAGGTATGGGTGAGAGAGGGTAAGCAGGCTCAGAATGGGCTAGTTTGAACAATTTTAGCAGACTCTGAGCTGTGAGGGTGGGTGTCCTGCCCTGGGATAATTGGGGCAGGTGTCCAGTGGCCTAGAGCATAAAAGCCTACATAAAGGCGGTGGTGATGCCAAGGAAGTGGTGGGCTCTGGATTGGTTTGTTTGCATATGAAAGGCACATTTGCAGTCCAGTGTTTTAGTATCTTTAGGAATTGGCCAAGCCCTCCAGCGTCTGCAAGATCTCAACATGACAAAGTGTCTAGTATAGAAACCAGAAAATGTGGTTATTACAAAAGTCAATGAAAATAACTGCAAGCCAAATCAAAACCCACCAAGGAGAGGAATCCATTTTCAATGGGGAGTTCTCTCTGGGAGAAACCAAGCTAGTTTTCTCTGCTCATTCTGTCCTTGGTGCTCGTGCTATCTTGGTGAGAAGTCCAGCAGTGTCCATTCAGGGTAATGTGCTTGTGTGCTCCCCTTCCCCCAGCTGGACCCTTGGCTGAGACTTAAAAATTCTAACTATGCATTCATGCAAGGGAGCTAGGTGGGAAAATGATGGGCTGTGGATAGTCCTCGCTGGTTTTTACCCAATCTAGAAAGCAGCCAAGTGCTCAGGGCTGCCCTCCCCTCCCACAGTCTTTCCTTCTGACCGACAGGACAGAATGTTCCCTGTCCCCACAGACCAAACAAAGGCATAAGAAAATGGCTGCCCCAGGGCATGGCTGTTAATATGCCAACAAACTATGCCTTCTGTCAAGATGTTCTCATGGACAAAAACTTCACACAAAACCTCAAGATACAACTTCTCTCTCTCCCTAACTTAACATCCATACCTAAAGAAAGAGCCTCCCTTGCAGGCCTTCCATCACCATCATCCTACCATGTATACATGCCACTCTGCATGCTGTATCTCATTTCTTCCTTCCAACAACACTTCAATCAAGTATTATGTTTATTCCCCGTCATGCAGATGAGGAAACTGAGGCTTAAGAGATGAAGTAATTGGGCTGAGCTCATTTACGCAATTCAACATAGGTCCTCACGGTCTTTCCAACAACTGTTGTCCGTACATATAGCCCCCATCATTCTCAGCAAACTAACACAAGAACAGAAAACCAAACACCACATGTTCTCACTCATAAGTGGGAGTTGAACAATGAGAACACATGGACACAGGAAGGGGAACATCACACACCAGGGCCCATTGGGGGGTGAGGGGCTAGGGGAGGGATAGCATTAGGAAAAATACCTAATGTAGATGACGGTTTGATGGGTGCAGCAAACCATCATGGCATGTGTATCCCTATGTAACAAACCTGCACGTTCTGCACATGTACCCCAGAACTTAAAGTATAATTTAAAAAATTATTATATTTAAATTTAAAAAGGCCTATTTGCAAAGACAGCACCATAGACTAAGGAATAGCTATGATTAGGAATAGCAAAACTTCCCACTCTCTCCATCCCTTCCCATATATCCAGGTCAAAGTGTCCTAGACTCAGGGGAAGGAAGAGAGATGGAGATGAAGCACAGGAAGAGAAAGGAGTATCCCATCTCCTGCCCCTGGACTTGGCCAAAAGAAGATTCAGAGGGTAGCAGAGACCCTGTGCAGTCTTCCGCAAACTTCAGTCATTTACATATCACCCCGTGTATTTTGGCTGTGACTTTTCACCTGTAGTAGTATTTACTTACTATTTTTCTTCAAATCGACTTTTAAATAATTCTTTTTGAAAACCTCCTCCTAGCCAGTAGTTTTCTTGAAAACATAAACTTGATCTGCTAGTTATATTTTTCTGGTACTCATAAAAATAACTTGTTATAATTTACATTTCTAAATGTTTGAATTGATATTCACCTTGATGGTTGCCCTGCTTGGGAAAATGGTGTGTTCATGTCATCTCTCCCAGGTAACATAGCTACACTTTCAGATCTGAGCCCTGGAGAACGGAGTGTATCACTGGAGGGGGATCTTTTGGAACACCTGGGTAACCAGAAGGAAATGATGGGCCAGCGTGTGGTATGTGTCAAAAATGCCAAGAAGAAGACCAGAGCTGAGAAAAAAAAAATGCAAGGAAAAAAAAGCTGAAAACATTATGTTTAGCCCCAGCTCTCACTAAAACATCATGCCCTGTGAGACCACTGGTTTGTGGCATGCTGGAAAGAAATGCCTGCAAGATATTCCTACGTACCTTCGTGAGTTTACTCTCTGAGAAGACCCTGAGCTTTGAATCTCATAGATAGCAAATGACCGACCTGTGGCTCCCTTTGGAAATGATAGGCACGCACCCCCACAAACTACTTGGTTTTGCTCTGTCTACAAACCCTCATGCCCACAGAGGCCAGGCAGATAGCGAGCGAAGTGTACCTAGTGTCAGAAATGCTACAGTGCATGCAGGATGAGAAATGGCCTCTGACGGTAGCCTCAGGAGGGGAAGGCGTGAGAGGATGGTGAGGACCGAGGGAAACGGCATCAGCTGATTATTTCATGCCCCAGCAGGGATCTACTTTGGCCAAATGTTCAGATATGGTTTAAGGAAGCTGAAAAAGGATACTGTTATGTGTGTGCTCTTAATTTTAAAGTATTGAAAATCCAAATTAAAAAGAAAGAAACTCTATAGAGAACACCACATGGACCAAACTTGGTCTAGAGGTTTCTAGTTGTAGCCTCTGTGTTTGACCTTGGACCATAGCTGCCTTCTCTCTGGAGATAAAACCTTATGCATCTTATCTTATAGTCCCGATAATGCCTGTGAGGAAGGCCTGGTTGTCCCGATGTTAGAGGCAGGGATGTAGCATTGTGGTTATGAGAGCAGGCCCCAGAATCTGAGTGCCTGGGTTCCTCAGCTGTGTGACCTTGGGCAAGTTCCTTCATCTCTCTGTGCCTCAGTTTCCTCATCTATAAAGCAATTAAAAACAATGATAGGATGTTAGGAGGAGTAGTCAAATGAGATTATGAATCTACCTTGTTAAGCATATATTAAGCATCCAAAAAAGTATTGGTTTTTGATATTGATAAGTGGCTCGTTTGAGGTCACACAGCTTCTACATGGCAGAGTCCAGGTCTACTGACTGCAAAGCCACCAGACCATATGTTTCTCTATCATACGAACAGCAAATTAAGTCACCTGCAAACCCACAGCCCAGTTTAGCACCATGCTCAAATCAAACTTCCAAGAAAGTTACTCTGACACGCCTTTAGCGGTATGCACAGTCATTGGGTCACAGCCTGGAAAATTAGGCTCTGCCACACCTTTAGCAGTATGTTACTCTGCCACACCTTTAGCAGTATGCATAGCCATTGTGTCACAGCCTGGGAAATTAGGCTCTGACACACCTTTAGCAGTATGTTACTCTGACACACCTTTAGCAGTATGCACAGTCATTGGGTCACAGCCTGGAAAATTAGGCTCTGACACACCTTTAGCAGTATGTTACTCTGACACACCTTTAGCGGTATGCATAGCCATTGTGTCACAGCCTGGGAAATTAGGCTCTGACACACCTTTAGCAGTATGCATAGTCATTGTGTCACAGCCTGGGAAATTAGGCTCAGGTGAAAGCACTGTGGGGCCGCAGGAGGAACTCCGTGTGTGAAGCCACTCAGGCCTCAATCCAGACCCAAGCTGCATGACCTCCCTCTCTAAGCCTCAGTATCCCAATCTGAGAAATGAGTATAATAGTGTTACTAATAGTTACCTGCTGTAGTGCGGTCTCAATGAAACGACATGAGGGCAAGCTCTTTAGAAACTGAGAAGAACCACACCTGCTAATGTGGTAGCTAATATCTACGATTATTCAACTCTTACATGGTAAGAGAGTCAGCAGTCCTGGGTTTGACAGGACAAGGCCAGACTGCATCAGATGGAACCAGGAAGTGGCTCTGAGCCTCCTGGACCAAGGTTTAGAGCTGGAAGGGAGCAGGGAAGGGGTCTGCATTCATTGCCAGGATGTTGAGAGACCAGACTGGATGTGAATCTGGGTAGGACAGAAATTACTTCTCCTTATTGAGGAATAAAGAAGGCTAAGCCTCCCCTTCCAAATGGAAAAGACAGAGTAGATGAATTAATTATTACTTGAGTAACAAATTAACTGTTAAGTAAGAAAGTGTGGGAATACAGGACTCAAATGGACACAGCAATTTTTAAAAACCAATGTCTATAAATAGGATACCTAAGATTTGTGCATTTTATTGATGTTCAAAAGAAAATAACTGTAAAAAATAATGAACTCTAGTTTACAATATCCATTCTAAAGTAAACTGGCTAGGGGGTGTGTATTGATGTCTGCAACTTACTCTGAAATACACCCCCAAAATTATAGAGGATGGATAGCTAGAAGCAGAGCTAGACAGAAAGTCATAAGATAAGGCTAAGTACACTAAAATGTGAACGCCTGTAGAATCTAGGTGGTAGACATTGGAGTGCTTGCATTAAAATTATTTCAACCTTTCTCCACTGTTTGAAAATCTTTAAGTTCTTAGAAAACTTGATGCTTACAGAATAATTTTAGTGACAAGAACAATAGTCATATTATAACCTTAGCAGGAAAAGCAAACTAAACCATCTCAGCTACATAGAGACTCCTCTGCAACCATGATGGAATTTAAGCGTTTGAGAAAAGACACTCTTTTGAAAAAGGAGGGGAAAAATGTCACCCAAAATATTATCATTGGAGATGAATTCATTTGCACCTTGAGGACTTCTGTCTTTCCAGAATCCTCTTTTCTGGTTAGGGTGTCCTTAAAAAAAACACCCCTCAAATTATTACCAATGTACCTAGAAGGGACAGAGAAACTGGCAATCAGCTGACAGTAAAATAAATTTGGGTAATAATAAGAGGTGAGAGGCCACCACTAAAGAGCTGGGGGAATGGGGTTGGATAAGGACAAACCCCTTTTCTGAACACGGTCTCCTAGTGACTGCATCACAACACTGCCATATTGTGTCATACAGATAGGAAAATTGAGGCACAAAGCTGTTTAGAGACCTACCTCTGGTCACAGAATGCTCTAAAAATATAATCACTAAGGAGCAGCAACTTCACCATCTCTGCCGTGGATTCTGCTCTACCCAATGCACCTGCCCTAAAGCACAGGAAGTCAGTGGGAAGCCAAGAGCAGGTATGCCCAGGAGTGGGGTAGGGAGAACACCAGAAGAGCTGCATTCCTAGGCTTCTGCAAAGGGCATTGACCCCATCCCACTACTTCCAAGTGGGCAAACAGCTCTCTGGTTCTCTGCCATTACTGTTCGGGGAAGGCATTCTAGCCTCCGGGTTGGGGGAGACGAGGAGCCGGCAAAGCTACACACACTCCATCATTTTCCCTTCACCATCAGTCCCAAAGCAAACCTTTCTGCCATCATGGTCACCTGTCACTTTGCCGATGTAGAAATCTGCAGGGGGTGGGCCATGGAAGGGTGGGAGGGAGGCAAGGAAGGGGAACAAGGGTTTTCTGGTCAGGTCCAAACACTCAGTGAGATGACCAAGGCGCCTCCCTGTGACCCACTGAAGATGCTCCAATGGCAAGTCAGCTTGGAGCTCACGATTCCTGAAAATGCTTGTTGAACAGCCTCTTGGAGAGTCAGTAAAGCTTGGAATTGCTCAGAACATCTTTGCCCATTAAACTGCCTTTTTTTTTTTCTTTACAAAATCTGGCTGTTCTTCCCAAAAGGTTTTGACTAGAAATTTTTTAAATGTCTTCAACATATTTCTGGACCATTTTTTGAAACCAGGGGGATTTCAACTGCCACTCCCCCCAGAGAGCTTTCCCTGCTCCACACCACACCACGAAGCAAGGGTCCTGAGTCAGACCGCACAGGTCATAAAGCTAGAATCATCGTAACAGCATCCCAGGCCAGGGACACAATGCAAGCATATCACTTTTGACCAATGGAAGTGGCCTCCCAAAACTGGGTCCAAGCCAGGAAAATAAGCACTGGGGTGGAAGAGGTAAAATGAACAACTAAAAGCATTTCAGATGACAGTTCAGAATCATTCAGTTGACAAATATTTATTGAGCATCTACTAAGTGCCAAGCCCTGGAGGCACAATGCTCAGCTGTCTTAGAGCTCATGGTCTATGATTCACTCATGTACCCAATCTCCTAAGACATGCAACATCTAAGCTGCCCTCCAGGCCCTTAATGGATTTATGTGCTAACTGAGACCACTCAGACAGCAGAGGAAGTGTGTATAACCAGAGCCATGCTGGGTGACAAGGACATGACTACATGGGAGACCAGAGCCCACTGCAGGGCGGGAAGAACTCAGGTAGGCAGCAGAAAGGAGGCCACTTAGGTTGCAATTAATCCCAAGACAAACCCTGTTTGCAGCCCAGTTCACGAACTTCTCTTCCTAGGTTTTGAGACCTCACAATGGCTACCTGACGGCTTCCAGGCAAAGGGGAATTCACGATGTTAATAAGAGGAGAAACCGGACGAAAGAGCAGGAAATTCAGAGTCCTGAGGCTTCCTATTTTGCTGATCTGAAACCCCCTAAGAAACCATCTGTCCTGACTACTCCAAGACACTCAACAAACATCACTTTTGGTTCTTCCCAAGAATCCTGCCAGTTTGCCAACTGTATGGATGTCCATAGGACCCTGCTGGAAAAGATGTCCCTAAGCATCTTGACTGTGAAACTATATGTCAGATGGGTCCCCACTTCTTCACAGAGCAGGGAGGAGGGCAGTTTGCAATAGGTAGTTTCACTTGGTTCTGTCTACCACCTAAGATGTGAGCTGTGACTCTGGAGTCCTTGAAAGATGTATCTGGGCTTCTTGGAACACAGCAGGCTCCCTGGATTCTTGAACCTAATGAGGATTGAGATGCTTTGTTTTGATCTCTGCCCTAAGCCAGGGATGGTCAAAATACTCTGGATTTGTACTTATGTAGGTAGCTCCATTTTTAGGCAAAATTACACAGGGCGACTTAACTGGTGTTGGCACGTCCTGAGGTAGCATCCCTGGCTGCCCGTGCCCAACCTTGTAAGTCTGTGCCTTGGTTCATCAGCCCAAAGTGGGACAGGAAAGACTCACTGAGCTCCGTCTTTAATAACATTTTAAAAAATGTTTAAGAACCACCATAAAAATCCATTGGATGGCATTTTTTTCCACTTTGGCAAAACTAGAGTCATAGTCTATGTTATTGCAAACTCAACCACAAGAGAAGAAAGTCGGCCAGTCACAATTTAGAAAATCACATTCCAATAGTACTGGAAGCACATATTAGCTGAGCAGAGATGTGTCCAGTCACATCTATCTTTTTCCGCAGACACAGCTCCCCTAAGCCACTATTGAGCAACCTGGCTCACTTTTCCAAGCAGCCTCTGCATGCTGGAGATTGACCTGACATGATTCTGTTTCTCCAACCTACAGATAGGGAAGCCTTGGACTTGGTACAGTTTGAAGAGCCCCAGAAGAAGACCCCTTGACTTGGCAGGACGTGAAGTGACCCACTTCACTTCTTACCAATTTAGGATTCATTGGGTGGAATATTAACTCTGAAAGTTCCCTTATAAATGTGGCGTGTCCCTGGGAGGAATAATGTATTAAACCACACAGCCCATCCACACTTTAGCATGGAGTAGTCTAATCTTTTTATGAAGCATCTACTCTGAACCAGGAATTTAAGTAGTTTCTTTAGACAGTCACATAATCAGACCTTAAAGAAATTAAACTTTGTAAAATTTTGATGAGGAAAAGTTTGGACATGTCCTAGATAGCACGGGGTTAGCGTGAGGATGCTACACGGACAAGACTGCCACCATTCAGAGAGGTAGATGGCCAAGGAGAGAGTGATTAACTCGTATGAGGAACTCAAGGCAGGCTTCAGAGAGGTGACATTTCCGCAGATTTTGAAGGACAAGGAACAGACCAACAGGTAGCCAACGTAAGGGAATTCTGGGTCGAAGAAACAGCATGGGGCCGTGCACAGTGGCTCCCGCCTGTAATCCCAGCACTTTGGGAGGCAGAGGTGGGCAGATCACTTGAGGTCAGGAGTTTGAGACCAGAGCCTGGCCAACATGGTGAAACCCAGTCTCTACTAAAAATACAAAAATTAGCCAGGCATGGTGGTGGGCATCTGTAATCCCATCTACTTGGGAGGCTGAGGCAGGAGAATCACTTGAACTCGCGAAGTGGAGGTTGCAGTGAACCGAGATCCTGCCACTGCACTTCAGCCTGGGTGACAGAGGGAGATTCCATCTCAGAAAAATAAAAAAGAAAGAAAAAAGAAAAGAAAAGGAGAAACAGCATGGGAACATGTACCAGTGTGTAAAATGACACTGTGTATAGATCGTCTGAATTCCAGCTGGAATACTCAAGAGAATTCAAGATGAGTTTAGAAAATGGACTATTAACAAAGGTGTGTGTGCATTACAGGGAAACCACAAGAGACAGTGCAGGAGTTGTGGGGGCGGGGGGTGCCGTACGACCCCTAGATGCAAAAGATGGAAGGAGGCAGCAGTTATCTGAATACAGAAAGAGAAAATTATGTGGAGAGGGCCACCTTGAAAGGATCTGAGACTTCTAAGGCACCGCTGAGGGAATAAATACCCCCCACCTCTCTCCTCCCTCCTCAGATCTCTTGTGGGACCCCTCCCCCAATGACCAACCCAACCACAAGCCAGAGGTTGGGGCAGGGCAGCCCGGCCAAGCATCCCTTGCAGTCAGACTTCTGGGGTGCAGAGCTGGGCAGAGACGAATAGAGTGAGGCTCTGGGGAGGAGGTAACTGGAAAATGCCCAGTGCATGAGACGTGGCTGGAACATGGAGTATGGGTGGGACAGGAGACAGAAGGACACAGAGCAGGGAGGTGACCGCAAAAGACCTGTCAGGCTGAGAGCGAGCAGGGACATTGACCTCCGGGGACATAGAGACCCCGGCCTGTCCTGCAAGCCCTGGAGACAAACATCCATCAAACGACCCCTGGTAGCCAATAACTTCCCAAGTTGCACTTTGGAAGGTGACCCCAGCCGTTTTTGTCTCCTGGAGTTCTGGACACGGCAGGTGGGAGCCTATGGAAGCAGAAGGGAAGTGTCTACCAGTGGCTACCCCAGGCAACGCCACCGAGTACATCTTGAACCAGTTAAACCCAGTCTATCTCTTGTATTTCTAGTCCATTCCACCTTTTTTCCCCTGCTGACGTAGAAAGAGGGCCCTGAGATGAGAAACTCCGCAGGCACAGGTTTCCCAGAAAGATGAGAAATGTCTGCTTTCCCCCAGGGACAGCGCCAGGCGGCCAGCCGAGAAGCCAAGTCAGTCCTGCCCTGTAAGGCTTCAGAAAAAAGACAAGCACCAGCCCCCTCCTGTCTGGGAAACATTCAAAGCAATCTCCGAAGTGATTCATTAAAAGTCCTCCTATGGCAGAAGACCATCACCCAGATGTGAAAATAAACACAGAGGGAAATTCCAGCATCAGAACGGTGTCAAGTCTTTAAACAAATGCATGGCTATTTCAGGGAAGGGAATAATCTTTCGACTATCTTTCCAAGCCCTCAGAATCCAAGTCAGACTCTCCATAAAGCAGGCCAGGCAAATTCCCACGATGCCAGACTGGGAAAAATGTGAAAACACTCAGTTGACTGTGGGCACAGTGACTCTCTGGGGCCCTTCCCACTTGCACTTCTCAGCAACCCCGCTCCCCACGCCAGGGCCAGCCACCCAAGCTTACCAAGCTCCCGATAGTGCAGCCCTCAGCTCGGCCTTGATAAAGCATCAGAGGTTAAAGCAGAAGCAATCCTTTCATTCTACTGAAATAAATCATCACAGAAAATAAATGGGACATGAACCAATATCAAGCAAAACAGAGAGTGTGTATATACCAATAGAAATAATAAAAATGGGCCAGGCGCGGTGGCTCACACCTGTAATCCCAGCACTTTGGGAGGCCGAGGCGGGTGGATCACGAGGTCAGGAGATTGAGACCATCCTGGCTAACATGGTGAAACCCTGTCTCTACTAAAAATACAAAAAATTAGCCGGGCGTGGTGGCGAGTGCCTGTAGTCCCAGCTACTTGGGAGGCTGAGGCAGGAGAATGTTGGGAACCTGGGAGGTGGAGCTTGCAGTGAGCCAAGATTGTGCCACTGCACTCCAGCCTGGGTGACAGAGCAAGGCTCTGTAGAAAGAAAGAAAGAAAGAAAGAGAGAGAGAGAGAGAGAGAGAGAGGGAGGGAGGGAGGGAGGGAGGGAGGGAGGGAAAAGAAAGAAAGAAAGGAAGGAAGAAAGAAAGAAGGAAAAAATGGGAGAAAATATGAGTATGTTTGCGCACAGAATACGTGTTTTCATGTCCAGTGTCTAGCAGGGTGAATGGTACACAGTAGGCATTTGATAAACATGAAGGAAGGCAGGGAGGGAGATTATCAACTCAAGTTGTCCCAGAACCCACGAGTTGCTGAAGTACTGACCGTACTTAGGGTACCCAGTAGAACCACAGCTGACTCGCACTCACCGCCAATTAACTGGTAAAGTTTGGAAAAGCCTAAGTTCCTTAAAGCCAAGTTCAAATCCTTCCCATCATAAGATATCAAACTTCTCCCACACAGCTGGAATTTATTCTGTTGTGTGTGTGGTAAAACACACATAACATAAAATTTACCATCTTAACCATTTGTAAGTGTTAAGTGCAGTGGCACTGAGCACATTGTTGTGCTATTATTAGCCCCATCCACCCACAGAACTCTTTTCATCTTGCAAAACTGAAACTCTGTACCCATTAAATAACTTCCATTCCTTACTGCCCCCAGCCCCAGGCAACCACCATTCTATTTTCTGTCTGAATTTGACTATTCCAGGCACATCATGTAAGTGGCATCATGCAGTATTTGTCTTTTTGTGTCTGGCTTACTTCACTTAGCACAATATCCTCTCAAGTTTCATCTATTTCATAGCATAGGTCAGAATTTCCTTCTTTTTCGCAGCTGAATAATATTCCACTGCATGTATACACTACGTCTTGTTTATCCATTCATCTGTTGGTGGACAGTTGGTGGATTCCTCCCTTTGCCATTGTGAATAACGCTGCCATGAACATGAGTGTGCAAATCTATCTCCGAGACTTTACTTTCAATTCTTTTGGGTATATACCACTGATACTACTTTTTAGCAATGAAATTTCCCCTGAATGAGTCAATCATTTAGCTGTCAAATGATTCAAGAATGCAGCAATTGTGAACTTATTCATATTTAGATTAGACTGTACCCTGTGCATACAGATAGCTATGAACCTGTGAGAACCCCTCTCCCAGTCACAGGCAGCTACACATTCTCAGTGAAAATCAGTGAAAAGGGTAGGGTTCCAAAGCCTGAGAGACCCAGGTGCAAATCTCAGGAGGAGCCCTTATTAGCTGTGTGGCTTATGCAAGACAGTGAACCAAAACATTCCTCAGTCTCTTCCCTGCAAACTGAGGAGTGAAGTGAAGGCTATCAGGAAAGTGTCCGAGGTGCCTGGTGCGTTGTGAGCACTCCGTAAACAGTGCACTTTCTCAGCTCTAAGATGCCCCTCCTTTGTTCACAATTTCACATTTCTAAAATCATATTTCCAAATTGAGGGTGTGCACTACCAGACACCAGCTTTTTCACTGCTGGTGCATTGACTGAACTTAGCCAAATGTCTCTGAAGAGACACAGAATTTCCCCAAGAAGATTCTGCGTTCCTGCAGGAGGAGAGGGATTTGGTGGGAAGCTTGCCCCGCACTGCACACCTTTTCCAAGCTGTGCCATCAGCGTTCCCTACAGTTCTCTTCGCCACTCTAAAGCTTAGGAGAAATAAAATCTGCTCCAGCCATCCATTTATTCAGCCATCCATCCCACACTTACCGAGGGACTGCCCTGTGCCAAACCTGATGTAGCTACTGGAAACCAGGAGATGACTAGAACAGGCCTCTTCTCCACAGGAAGTCACGGTGGAAGTGGGGGAGGAACAAAAGTAATAAGAATAGCAAACACTTACATGGGCATGTGCGCTAGGCACTGCTTCCAGTGCCACTGCCTAACTCATTAGTTCTCCCAGCAGCCCTAAGAGATAGTAAGTCATAACAATGACTTCCACTTACCGATGTGGAAACAGAGTAATAGAGAGTAACTTGCCCAAGTTGCACAGCTGGTAAACGATAGAGCTGAGATTTGCATTCCAGCCCTATGACTCCAGAGTCCATACTCCTAACAGGGCTGAGAGTCAAGAAATTTTAACCTCGGGTACTACACAGGCACCAACCAATCAGAACAAATGCCAGGGATTTTTATGATGCTCTTATATACCAGCTGAAACTCAGCAAGCCCTGCACTAACCACGTTTAACCTCTAGACTGTAGGAATCTAAGTTTAGACTAATGGGAGTCCTGTGGCAGAGGCATGAAGGAAGGTCCCCACCAGCACCCAAGATTCAGCAGGCCCAGCAGTCATTGGCCAACAATCACTGACTGCTTGTGGAACTTTAATACCTTTGCAGGTTGACAAGCGGTGAACCTGTAAATAGCTCTCCTTAGCATGGTTCTCCATAAATCACCGAGGGCCATTGTCACACATGGGATCTCATGTAACCTTCAAGACAGCCTATGAAGGAGGCCTCATTGCCTTCCCAGTTGACAAAGGAGTAAAGTGGGGCTCAGTGGGGTGAAGTGGTGCAATGAACTCCAAGTCAAAAATGTACACCTATCTGTCAAAGTCCCCTGTTCAGCTCAAATAAAGGAATTACTCTCAAAGAGAACATCTTTGACCCAATTCTATATGCTTGCCCAAAGCAATGGAGCTGGGATTGAATCCCACGCCTTTGTCTCCCACCAATGAGCAGCTCAGCTATCAGGGTCCCTTCCTTTATTTTCTGCCTGCTGTCCCCTTCTCAAGGTATCTACCCCCAGCCTCTCTGGTCAACCCGCACTATCAAAAACAGAACCCCTGTGGCTCTCCACTGCCTTGTCCTGCTCCGTTCTTCTTCAGGGCATTTATGATGATCTGGAATAGTAGTAGATTTATTTGTTTTGTGGCTATTTCTCCCTAACAAGAATATAAGTTCCATGAGGGTAGGAAATGTGTTTGTTTTGCTTTTTGCTGTGTTCTGGTGCATTGTACATGGTCAGTGAGATTTAGTCCAATGAATGAACACGTAAATGAATGGAAGATGGGTTAATGAATTACTCTCTTGTCTAAGAAGCCAGAAACAAGGGCTAGGAACTCACCTGGGACCCTGCAGGTCTAAGGTCCCCCCCAAGCTTGGGCTCAAGACTAATAGAAAACCTTGACCTCTTGCCTTCCCTTTCCCAGTCTCCTCCTCTTTCAAGGGCACTCTGACTTCAGGGTTCCTTTTGAAAAACACCCCATAGCTTCAGATCTTTCTCACTCACCCATTGCCTCGCACACATGCACACTTCCCTACTTTTACCCCAAAACAGAAGCAGACCTGGTCTATCTACGCAGGTACCTTGTAATCCTGTAACCTCATTCATGCACAGGCATTGGTGAATGATAACAGGTAACAGAAGTGATTTTTAAAAGGGCCTTCCAGTGACAACGTCGTGACATACTAGAATGGATGACTGTAGGAGTTTCTGGTGTCCTGGAAACCTCATATGTCTCATCATACACACACAAAAATGCCTGTGGATGTCATTCATTCATTTATTCATTTATTCACTCGATCGTTCAGCAAATGTTTACTAAGTGCCTTCTGCCTGCCAGGAAATGTCCTGGGTGCTGAGAATACACAGTGAGCAAGACAGCCCAGGTCACTGCTCTCAGAAATCCACCATCTAGTTGAAGAGGCAGAGCAGTAAGCAAAGACCTTGCCGAGGAGTTTAAATTCTTATTCTTACATTAGAACACAAGGTGGTAAGAGCACTAACAGAAATCTGTGCCGGGACCAGAGGCAGCTACCAAAGGAGTGGGGAGTCAAGGAGGCCTGCTGGAAAAACTGCAGTCTCTGATGGCTGTTGATGGTAGGCTAGGAGTTCACCAGGGAGCCAAGAGGTGTGGGTGTTCCAGGGTCTGCAATGATGCAGAGGTCTGAGGTGGCACAAGCAAGGCTGGCTCTGAGCCCACCCTGCTCCATGACAGCTTCAAAAATTGCTGAAGCTCAGCACAGCCAAGGCATGTGTACCAGGCAGGAGGAAAAAACAACAGGGCAGGGTGTCCTTGGGACAGATTAGATGCCAGTAATTCTTCCCTCCTTTTGGAATGTTAGAAACCAAGTATGTGTTCCTGGGGTTCTCATTCTCTATAAAATTGCCCAATTTCATTCTTATAATAACCTACGAGGCAAATCAGCTGCCTCTGCACACAATTTCCCGTGCCGCCTTGACCCTGCCACATCCAAGGAGCTGTTTAAACAGTCTGCTGTCTTTTCCCCTGAATGTCAAGAGAAAGAGAGCTGATGGCATCAGCAGCCACAACCATTATGCATGACCTGAGAGTTTTCTTTGACCCGCCAACTAAGGTAAATGCCTTTTGACAAAGACACCCAAGACTTCACTTTTAATTCAACTTGAACCTAAGTTTCTCTCCAGAGCACTGTCTCCAAAACGCTCAATTGCCCAGTGCAAAGAATCATAGCTCTTTCCTTTTCTGGCTTTCTCTGATACAACAAGCTTACAGCAACCGTCAGAAAAGAAGGCAAGTAACATCTGTGGTGGAGACCAGACTATGAAATTAGTTCAAACATACAGCAAAGCACTGTGCTCACTGCAGAGAGACACATGCTGTTCCGTGGATGTGAGCCCATTCATGAGTCACCATGCATAATAGGGCATTGTTGAAAGTGTTGGGAACATGAAAAATTCCTCACTGCCCAGTTTGGCTAATGCTGGAGCTATATTTGCCTTCAGAAATGAAGTCAAACAGAGTTGGCTTAACTTCCAGTTGACAGGCCCAAAGACCACTGGGCCACCATGTTTATTATGCTGATTTTTGTTTATAGGAGTTGCCGCCTGAGTTGTGTTTAAGAGGATGTTTTTTGTTTGTTTGCTTGTTTGTTTGGGGTTTTTGTTTTTGTTTTTGTCTTTTTGAGACGGAGTTTCAATCTTGTCACCCAGGCTAGAGTGCAATGGCGCGATCTCTGCTCACTACAACTTCTGCTTCCCGGGTTCAAGCGATTCTCCTGCCTCAGCCTCCCGAGTAGCTGGGATTACAGGCGCCCACCACCAGGCCCAGCTAATTTTTCTATTTTTAGTAGAGATAGGGTTTCGCCATGTTGGTCAGGCTGGTCTCGAACTCCTGACCTCAGGTGATTCTCGTGTCTCAGCCTCTCAAAGTGCTGGAATTACAGACGAGAGCCACTGTGCCTGGCCTGTGTTTCAGAGTTGACTTCTCATCTGCATGTACAAGGAAAGAGAATTCTTTGACAAAGGACATGCACAGACCTCTGACCCTCCCAGAGGGTCCTTGAACACAAGAAGGACTGTTTTAAAGCCCTCCACAACACAGCTCTGTGCTATCAGGTGGATTGGCGGGAAAAAACTTGCCCATGATTTGGTGTGAAGAAACACAGCAGGGTCTGCAGGCAACAATCCTTCTGCAATAATACATAATATCTCTCACTTCCCGATTACCTGTTATTCAGTTCTTAATATGCATGACTCCATTTCCTTGTCGCATCCCTGAGACACAGGCCACATCAACCTCATCTTATAGATAAGGAAGCTGGACTCTGAGAGGTGACAGAACATGCCTATGTTACAGAGCTAATGATTTGCACAGCTGGGATTTGAACCCAAATACACATAGACTTATTTATATATGTATTTGTAATCAGGTAAATTATGCATATCTTTATTTTAAATATGTCTAACACATACATTAATGTCAATATACACATTTATACACATACATATATGTTTATTTCTTGCCCGCCTGGAGAAACCATGTTAGGCTGACAAAGTGTTCTACAAAGTCATATAGATATAAATAAATATGTTATATATTTTATTTATTTCTTAATTTATAAATGGATGTTACATATTTCTTCATCTATTTAGAAATAAACACCTTTAGTTGGGTGTGTGTGTGTGTGTATATATATATCTTTATATATATAAATATCTTTATATATATTTATGTATATACGTATATATGTATATATATGTGTGTATATATACATATATATACACACATATATATACATATATACGTATATATGTATATATATATATATCTTTTTTTTTTAGACGGAGTCTTGCTTTGTCACCAAGCTGGAGTGCAGTGGTGCGATCTCAGCTCACTGCAACCTCCGCCTCCTGGGTTCAAGTGATTCTCCTGCCTCAGCCTCCTGAGTAGCTGGAACTACAGGCACCCGCCACCACGCCCGGCTAATTTTTTGTATTTTTAGTACAGATGGGGTTTCACCATGTTAGCCAGGATGGTCTCGATCTCCTGACCTCGTGATCTGCCTGTGTAGTTATATTCTTAGGTATGGTTAAGGGACACTGGAGGTAATGCTCCCTCTCCAGCACACCACCACAGGACAGGATTGTGGGAAGGGAAATTTGACAGTGAAGTGGTATTGATGTCTGGGAGAGTGGTACCTTTTGAGCCTTAAATAAGGGCAGCACGAGGACCCACTTGTGCAGATCCCAGGCCTGAATGCCCAGGCCCGGATTCTTTGCAGAATCTCTATCACAGCTCTTATCACATAACTCAACACAGAGATGGCTCATTAGAACAGTCTCCCCCACAACATCCTGGATCCACCAGGACCAGGCCCTCTATCATATTCTTTGTATCTGCCACAACACCTGGAACTGTGCTTGCACTCCAAACATTTCCATGAGCTGCATGAATGGATGTATAGGTGGTTGCCTAGATGCATGGATAATTCAGCCAACCTGGGTTCAAGCCCAAGTGATACATGGTGACACATGCTTGGTTTGGAAACCATGTTAGCTGACCTTTAACATTGATGACAGGGTCTAAATTCTGTGTGTCTCATGGGGGGATCGAGAGAGGGGCTTCAGAGCACCCAGACTCACAGGGAGGAGTGAAGCGATGAAACATGACTTTCCAAAGTGGCCCTTGTCCGCTACATACGACATTCAACACCTACTGGATGCCTATTCGGTGCCTGGTACTACTGGGTTAGTGCCCTGGGTGACACCGTCAGATGGGAATAAGAACAGAGGATTGGGCTGGTGTAGGGGCAGGGAAACTAGAATTCAGCATTGTCTTTTTAAAGCGTCAAGTTCTATGCATAGAAATGAGTGTAGACAGAACTCTCCTGGTTCGCTTTGAATAAAAAATGAACTTGGGAGCTTCCTAGAAGACAGAAGACCATTGCATGGATACGTCTGTGGAGGGTACACAAGTAGACACTTGGAGCAAATTGCCTCTAATTTCCCATCTAATCCTGACATTGCTTGATGCCATCACTGAGCATGGGACATATCTGAATATGTATTACTCTGATGAAAAACCCATTAGTTAAATCAGCCTAGCCATGAATCGTTTCACCTGGAAAAGCTCCCCCTGGTCTCAGAGCGGTTCTGCAGGGTCAGTAGCTCCTCAAGATCCTCAAGCTCTGTCCTGTCAGTGACAGCTGTTGAGGAGCATGGTGGTGGCCCCCGAGAAGGGCTGCAGGTGGAAATTCGGTGGCAGTGGCCCCATCAGCTTCTTTATGTCCCAGTCATCTGCTGCGTGAAGAGAGGGTGGGGTGGATGTGGGCCAATTGCACCACAACTCGAAGCCTGAACCCTGCTGTCTCTGTGGATGGAAGAGGGAAACATTGTCGCTGTGTATGAAGAAACCGGATATATATCTCCCATGATTGCTGGGAAAAATCACCCAGAGGCGTATAGCTTCCCATGAAAGCCAAACCAAAACCAAATAAAACAGTGAAATTGCATCCCAATGTTTCATTTATGCAAACTGCATAATTTTCCTCTAACTGGACATCCACTAGGATTTTCCCAATTTCTTTTAGTTGCCCAGTCTAGAATGTGATTTCATTGCTACTTGGAGACATTCCACAAAGACACAGAAACAAAGTAGCAGTGGGTGGAGATTTCCATGACCCACAGAATGGATTTCCCAGTTGAACACGAGTAATGAATACCATTTATTAAGCAAGTATGACATACACCGCAGGCACTGTGCTCGGTACTGTATGTTTACTATCTAATTCCTATCTCAGTCCTGAATGTGGCTTCCTTACATAGGTGTCATGGTTTCAGATGAAGAAACAGAGGCTGGGATCAGGTGACTGCATGTCACAAGACAGAAATTGCACAGCTAGTAGGTGCCAGAACTAGGATTCAAGCCCAGGCTGTCTGACTCCCACACTCACACTTCGCCTGACCTTCATCACATCCCCATCCCAGGCATTAGAGGTGCAGGATCTTGGTGCCATCCCCAGCCCACCTTCTGGAGGGTCCTTTCAGTCCACATCCCTGGGCCTGGGCCTGAGCCACTCCATCTCTCACCCCTTCTCCTCAGCCTGATGTGTGCTCCTGCCTTCCTCCTCCTCCCGCTGAATTCATTTCTGTCCTTCTACAGCCAGGGCATATATTTTGTCCTCCAAGAAGCCTTCCCAGCCTTCATCCATGTGACCACCCCTTTCTCTGATCTCCCATGTAAAGGTGGTGACATAGAACTTGACCTTCGACTATCAGCAGATGATAGTCAAAGGAATCATTTGACTAACAGGAATGTTTTCACCCTGTCTATTCCCACCCAAGTGGGTGCTGGGGTGCACAGCCACCATCCCTCTGGATGTCAAGACCCCCACTCCCTATCTCCAGGTGGTCTTTGAGAGAATAGGGTGTGTCCACCAGCTGAATGGGACTTGGCAAAGTCTCCAATGCCATTCTAATGGGTGCCATTCTGTTGGTGATCCACAAGTGACCATTAGGCCATATGCTGAAGTGACCACAACAAGGAGCTTTCAAGGGTGCCCTGGCCGTGGGACATCCCTAGATGTCAGCACAGCCCTGGGGGCATGGGCTCAGCTCCAGGTCTCTTGAAGCTGACCTTCTCCTCTCTGCCCAGACACCCCATCAGGTCTCCCTGTCCCATGCTCGGCCCTCCCAGATGGGAGGCCTTCCCACAGTCTGGAGTCGGGAGAGGCCTGGGAGGCTCTTCCCTGATTCTTGTTCTAATCCTAATGTTGCAGAAGAAGCTGTGCCATTTCCCCTCAAGTCCCCACTTGTGATCCACAGAGGCCTGTTTTGGTTGTCTCATCACTGGATGTAGATGCAGGCAAGAGAGCAGGCAGTTAAAACCAGGTTCTAAAACCAGCCCCTCTCATTACATTCTAACTATGTAAACTCAGTCCAGGTCCTCAAAGTGGCTATGGTGTGAAGAGTGAGTTCACACACACACAACCCTCAGAGCAGGGTTTGGCACGTGTAAAGCACTCCATAAATGCTGGCTGCAGTTATTACTTCTTGCTCTTTTTATGCCCACAGTTAAAACCTGACTTCTAAAATAAAACAGAGGCAGCTTCGGAAAGTTACAGTCTCCCGACAGCATCCACCAAGGAGGAGTAGATGCCCACTTAAGACCCCAGGCTGCATGCAGGGGCCAGGGAGGAACAGAGAGAAACCCCAGGGGCTCAGAGAGATCTCCAACTCACACAGCCATGGAACTAGGACAACCATGTTTAATCAGATCTCCAGGTCGCACAGGACCCCACCTACCATCTGAGATCCATCACCATTACCTCCTGGAGCTTCATTTCGTTATACGGAAAATGGGGATTGAAACAATACCGCCCTCGAGGAGTGGCTGTGAAAATGAGCTGGATTAACACAGGTAAAGATCTGGAAGAGCACCTGCACATAATCCTCCCCAAATGCTGGCGCCTGCTGTTACCTGGGTCTTACCTGTTTTATTCTTTGTGCTTTTCTGCACTCCCCATTTGTCTGTGATGGACATGTACTACTTTTATGACTTGGAAAACATGGGAAGGTGACATGTTCTAAAATAATAATAATGATTAAAGATAGAATATCAGTGCCAAAGGGTTTAAATAAGGAAGTATGTCCAGTTGAACGTAATTCAGGGTGGGCTTCATAGAGGCAGCAGCACTTGAGATGGGTTTTCAACCATGGGTCAATTCTTGTTAGGCAGTAAGGGGTTTTCAGTGAGTGCTAAGGCTCCCAGGTGTACCACTGTGAGCCAAGGAACAGGGAAACTGCTGCTAATTAATGGAGAGTGAGGAGAAAAAGGTCAGCCACATTGGTGGAAGAGACAAGAAGAAGGACAATCAAGGCCACGTCTCCACAATGCCTGTTTTCTGGGCAATAAGGAGGGCAGAGAAAGTAGACATCTTCTTTTAAAAAGAGGGAACTTTTCTTATTACTAATCTAGGCTTAGAATTGGTGCTAGAAAACATGAACTGATTATTTACAAGAGAAGAAATGAAAAATGACCACTAAAACCATGGGGAAGATGGTGAAAATGATCAGGTAAAACCAGCAATACACACAAGGATGCTTAGAGGCAGAAAGAGGAAAGCCATCAAGATTTATTCTCACATCCTCAGAAACAACAGAATCAAATTCAACCCTTCCCAAGACAATACAGAGTAGCACATTTTCCTGTGTCACCTCCCCAAGGCCCTCCACTACATGAGATTCAATGACAACAAGGCCCCCACTCCACTCACCTCTTTGTGGAATATACCACCTCCCGGGCACTGGGGGCACAATGCTCCCTTCTCTGTGGATAAGCCTTACCTGGGCCAGAGGACATGAGCATGTGCATGTGCTCTGTCTTTACAGAAGCATCAGAGTCTGGGGAAAGGATCAAACCAAGCCAGCTGGTGCAGACAAGGAAGTTCACAGGGAAATTTAGAGCAAACACATTCCTACTTTCACCATTCTTTAACAGCACATTCAATTATATGTCTGCAAATCAACAAGCAGTGCTATGGTATGTCAGGGTTGAGTATGAGTCCCACTTCTGCCACCCCAAGTGTAACTCCAGGCAAGGATCCTGCCTCCCTAGAGCATGAGGTCCTTCATGCAGTGTATAGACATTGTCAGGCAGTTGGGATCATTAAAAAGAGTACACACATGGCCAAAGTCAGCCCTCCATAAGGACCAGTTATGTATATTATCCAAAAGCCAGAGAGACAAGCGTGACAAGCGTTGCTGTCTTCTTGGCTGAAGCGCAAAGGCTTAAACTGGGTGTGATGCTGAAGTCCTTAGTTCCTCTGATTCTCCACTACCAAGTACTCCTGTCCAGGAATAAGCTTTCAAGTTGTAAAAGTCACGTTCTTCTAAGTCACACAACAGGATCAGGTGGTTAAGTGGAGAGCTGGGCGCACACAGAGCAGTGGGGCTGGTGGGCCAAGTGTGGAACCTGGCTCCTTCGGAAACCTGAGGCAGATTTTGTGGTCACTCTTTGGTGCTAGGCAAGGATAAAAGACCTCGGATATCTGCCTGCAGCTTTAGACCAAGAAAGGGACAAACATGCCTGCTTCAGGGTAATTAACAGGAGATTTGGAAGGCTTCAGGCTCAATTAACTCATTCTAGATGAAGCATGGATAATGGAGGAAAATGATGCCAATTATCCCAAACATCTGAGACCACGCCTAGTTCTTCCTTCCCTGCTCCCCATCTTTCAGGTCACAAAATAAGCATAAGAGCCTTACATTTATGTACCAGCCATTTGATTTGGGAACTAAAAAGCTGCTTCTGCTGGCTCAAATAAGGAGCCCCAGTATCTCACCTGAATCCTTCTTGACTCAACAACCGTCCAGAAAACACGGCCTGCAACATGTCTTTGTTTTGCTCATCTTCTTGCACAAAATCACATACTGGGCAAGGCAGCAAGGGCTAAACTTCTGAACCAACTTCTCCCTTTGTTTCACCATGTAAAATCCCACTGAAGTAGCACCAGTATATTCCACAGTCTCTGCTTACTCATGTCTTCATTTAGCAAAAGCTACTTACACTGTTAAGTTGCTTTGATATCCAACAGAGAAGAGTAAATAAGCCATTTACACAAAACAAAGGTGGCATTAGCCAAGGATGGCCACAGCTAGTGGTGGTCAAGAACTGTGCATGTCCTACTCCAGACTAGTCTAAGGGGATGGTGCAGAATTTGCTGGAAGCTCAGAAAATACACGTTTAGGATAAATAAAAGAAAGCATGCCTTCTCATAGCAAGTAGATGGCTCATGGTGGAAACATGTCATGATTTTTAAATGCTTAAATAAATTCATGGATGTCAGATCCAAAAGGGTTTGTGAGAGGAAACTAGAACAGACAGTGTGTTTATAAATTAGCAGAACAAATAACATGAATCGGCTTCCCTCTCCCCTAGAACCATATCGCCATGGCAAAGTTAGGAAGCATTCCTGACCATCGACTTGGCAATAATTAAATCATAAATACAATTCTTAATAAATCAAGAAAGCAAAGATATCACAACCTCTAACCTTGATAACAGTGTACTGTGATAAGAATTTACCTTATGTCTCTGACAAAATGGACATTGTCTCACCAATATTAATCATACAAAGGGTCCCATTTTCCTATAAAGCATACCATAAGTAAAAAATAGAATGTAACTCTACCACCAGCTTGACCTAAAGCAGGTATGTTAGCTATAATATGTTAGCTATAGCACACATTACATTAGCACCAGCTTGACCTTCCTTCTTAAAATGTAGATTTTAGAGGAATAATTTCAACAATCCTGGTCTTTTTTGAAGGTGGGACAAGGAAAACTGAATGGATGCCCTCATTTTCCTTTGATAAATTGTCCTGCAACACAGAGGTGTTATTCAGCCTCAGTGCCCTGCCTCAGAGCCCTGCTCCTGCTCGTAGGTGGATCATGAGGCCCCACCTTGATGGTGGTGTGGTTGCCAGTGGCCACGTCTCCCCTTCTCCTTAGAAATCCCCTTGCAGCCCAGGTGCGGTGGCTCATGCCTGTAATTCCAGCACTTTGGGAGGCCGAGGCAGGTGGATCATTTGAGGTCAGGAGTTGGAGACCAGCCTGGCCAACATGGCGAAATTCTGTGTCTTCTAAAAATACAAAAATTACCCGGGCGTGGTGGCGCATGCCTGCAGTCCCAGCTACTCTGGAGGCTGAGGCAGAAGAATCGGTTGAACCCAGGAGGCAGGGGTTGTAGTAAGCTGAAATTGCCCCACTGCACTCCAGCCCGGGCAACAGAATAAAACTGTCTAAAGAAAAAAAAAAAAAAAAGACAAGAAAAGAAAAAAGGAATCCCCTTGCAATGGCCCAGCCTTAGTAGGGGTGCTTCCAAAGCCGGACACTCACTGCAAGGCAGCTCTGGCTATGGAGGGAGATATCTCAATATCTCATTCCCTCTAATTCGAATTCCACTTTCTTGCGGTCAAGGAAATTAATCTTCCTTTTATAGGCTAGGTTATGCCAATTAAAATGCCTTGAGCTTCAAGAAAAAGAAAAGCCAATTCAAAACGGATTCAACAACATGGAGATTCACAGACTTGCCCAAGAGGAAGTCCCAAGGTGGGGTGGGCTTGTGGGTAAGGATGGCTCTAATGGCTCAGCAACGTCCCTGGCAACTCAGTCTTCCCATCTCCTGAGGCTGGTGCCTTTGTGGTCCCACAACGGCTGCCAACAGTCAGCAAGGATATCTGCTTTCTTGTTCACTGTTGGGGAGAGGGGATAGATTGAGACAAATAATGCCTTCCTGAACCTCCTCATCAAAAGCAGACTGACTTTCCTAAAAGCCCCTACCCAACGTCTCCCTGCATCTCATTGGCCTGAACTGTCTTAGAGCTGCCCATCTCTCATCCAATCACAGAGGCAAGGGAGATGGGCCTTCTCTGATCGACTTAGCTGTAGACCAACCATGGCCCATCCAAGCTGAAGGTCAATCTGCCTAACCCTTACCCAATAGGAGGCAGGTATGGTGAATGTTAGCAGGGTCGCCTCATGTCCACTCCCTGGCTCTTTCCCTTTCCTGATTGGAAAGTCAAGCCCTTCCTTGCTCCCTCTTAGGCAAGATCCCTGAGTCTTTTCTGGCTTTGCTGCCTTCCCTAGCCTCAGTGCTTCGGGGCGCTAATCTGTACAGGGGAGCCAGCTTGCTGGGCTTCCAGGAACACTGGCTAAGCCTGACTTGTGGCTTTTGCAGTCTTGTCAAGCTGGGGGCTTATACTGGACACATACCATGAGCTTCAGTGGATCTTTTTTTTTTTTTTTTTTTTTTTTTTTTTTTTTTTTTTTGAGACGGAGTCTCGCTCTGTCGCCCAGGCTGGAGTGCAGTGGCGGGATCTCGGCTCACTGCAAGCTCCGCCTCCCGGGTTCACGCCATTCTCCTGCCTCAGCCTCCCAAGTAGCTGGGACTACAGGCGCCCGCCACTACGCCCGGCTAATTTTTTGTATTTTTAGTAGAGACGGGGTTTCACCATTTTAGCCGGGATGGTCTCGATCTCCTGACCTCGTGATCCGCCCGCCTCGGCCTCCCAAAGTGCTGGGATTACAGGCGTGAGCCACCGCGCCCGGCCGCTTCAGTGGATCTTGAGTTTGGATTCTCACTCTACTATTTACTGGATGTGTCACACTGAGCAGGCTATTTCACCACCTTCACCCTCAGTTTTCCTCATCTATAAAAATAGGAATAATAATAGTAACTATTATATTGGGTTGTTTCAAAGAAAAAAACCATATAAGGTCTGAGTCTACTTCATGGTACTCAAGATCCTCGTAGATCTTGATATTATCATTAATAATAATAAACGTGTTCTCTTCCATCTCATACCGATACCAACCTCCAATTGCACAGGGAAGTACAGGCTGTCTGCTTCTCCTTCACTCACACCAGATTGGGAAACATGACTATTGTCACCAGCAGACACCCATTTGTGCAGAAGGCCCCACACTCTCTACAGGAGACACTTGTTCTCTGCCTTTCCAGAGGCCCCACCACCACCTGCTCAGCCATCGCCCACCCCCAGAGTCTGAATATGTAATACAACTAAGCAAAACAGCTCTTACACAACAGAAATTCCCATTTGCGGTAACTGTGTGCCTTTTTTCTGCCCACTTCAGTTGATACTTTGGGCTTCAGTTGATACTTTTGTACTCAAATGTACCAAAGCAATTTGTGCAGTACTAAAGTTAATTGTAAGAAACAATATCAGAGCTGCTGGAAAGATGATTTCAATATTAACCATACATCTTGTAAAATACATGATGTCCTCAGGAGCCAAAAAAGAAAAATAACTACTACACTATCATTGTTTGCAAGTGTTTCTATGTAATATAAGCTCTTCAGCCTGCAGTGAGAAGTCATGGAAACAATTACCAATATTAATATTTTTAAGTGGTTTTAAGAAGTTTGCCAAGATAGGGATGAGAGGGAAGACTGAATGGCCAGCTACAGTTTCCTTCTTAGGGTGAAAGCCAGTGAAGAAGGGGGGTCCTGTCCCAGATCTTAACAACTTCCTTCTCTCCCCTAGGCTACAAATTCCTGGTACTTGGGGGCTTTCTTGAGCCTCTACCCTCCAATCTGTCCAGCACCCTCTTGCCTTGGCCTGGTCCTATGGGATCTAGCCAGTTGCCCTGACTTCATCTCTTTCTGCCTAGCCCTTGGACTTACCCAGACTGGCTGCCTGGCTGTCAGCTTTGCTCTCCCAGCTCACCCTTGGCCCCATGCTCAGCAGCCCTTGATCAGGCCTCTCTGAACCATGCACTCAGCCCAGTCCTTCCCTGACCACCTGCCTCTCCAGCAGGGGAGTCCAGACAGTAAGAGTGGAGACCATCCCCTTACACACTGAGTGGAGCAATTCCTGAAGGGCTTGGGGTGCATAGCTCAACCTTGATTTTGACCTCAAGGAGGAAACTCAAGCTGTTGCAAAGATATCTCCCTTATCATTACCATCAGAGACAGAAAAGGCTAAATGGGTCATGAAGCTAATTCTGTGCAGGGAGCCAGACACTAATGAGCTCTCACGAAGGCAACACGGGATAGATTAGACTCCCATTTCTTCTCTCTTCTCTCTTCCATGTGGCCTTGCAGAGCAGGAGACACAGAATAACCACCCCAGATGCAAACTGGCAATGGGTTTGGCTATGTGTTTTGTTGGGCCAAAAGAATATTAGCAAATGCAATGTGGGCCAGGGCTCTTCAAGGGTAGAAGAGTTCACAGTTTGGTTTGCCCCTTTAACTCCTATGATCTGCTATGAGAAATGCATGTCCCAAGTATGCACCTGCTCCAAAGAGCTCTGGAGCTCTTGGTTGGCCAGTCCCAACCAAGACACAATCAAACCTGGACCCATGAACAAGAAAATAAATGTTTGTAGCTATTTGTATACAATAAAAAAACAAAATGGAAAACCACTGCCCAAGAACACCATCAATAACATTCTGACCACAGAGCATCTCAATGCCTCAAACCAAGAGGTATCTGCAGGACAGGAGAAGAGTGGTCACTCCATCAACAACCCCACAACACTTTGCAAAGATAACAGACCAAGGAAAGAAAGCAATCAGAATCCTCCAGGGGACCTGGCTTCTGCCTTCCTTCACAGGCCCCATGGTGTGAACAGCTGTGTGTTTGTTGCCCTGCACCCCTTCTTTGGGGACCATCTCCCAGGCTTTCCCTGGGGAGCCACCCCACCCTATCAGTCCCTGTGGGCTTATGGTCCTGGCCTGGCCATTCAGCATACATATTCCATTACCCTGGCCACAGTGAGTGGTTTAGGATAGACACATGACCCAGGCCAGACCCAAAGCGCCAACCATGGGACTTTTGGAAGGAAAGAGGAGCTCTCTTATTGGTAAGATACAGGCCTGGAACTGCTATAGCCACCACCAATGGACAGACTGCCCAAGAATGAAACAAGCACAGAAGAAAGCCAGGGCTAAAAAATGGAAAGACCAGCCTGGGCAACATAGAGACCTCATTTCTATTAAAAGTAAAAAAAAAAATCAGTTTGGTGTGTGTGTGCCTGTAGTCCCAGCTACTCAGGAGGCTGAGGTGGGAGGATCGCTTGAGCTGGGGAGGTCGAGGCTGCAGTGAGCCCCAATCACGCCACTGGACTCCAGCCTGAGCAAAAGAGCAAGACCCTGTCTCAAAAGAAAACAAAAAGATGGAAAGAGACAGATGCCTAAAGACTTTGTATGAGTACCTGATGAGTACCTGGATCCAGCTATGCCTGAATTTAGCAATATCCTGAACACTTCAGGTGTGTGAGCCAGTACATTTCTGTGTCTTCAGCCAGTTGAGTTGGGTTCTTTCCCTCCCCCACTGAAAGAGACTTGATGGAGATGCTTCCTTGTTAGCCACACTGTGCAGTTGCCCCTTTCCATCCTTCCATTGTTGAGGTTTAAATTTAATGTGAAGAAAAGGCATAGAATTTTCATGCTCCTCCACTGGCATTTCTGTTGCTGGCCTCTGCCATTTTGTTAGGCCAGTGATTCCAAACATTTTAGAGTAGCAAAGCCCATCATTGTTGGTCAGGAATATTGCATAGCATGTATTTATTACCCACGCTCTTATTATAGTCTCAGCAAGTGGTTAACCTTTCATTTTTCTTGGGAAAAAATGAGCATGTCACTCCCTCATTTCTCTGCCTCTCTCAGGATTCAGAGATATGACAAAGTTAAATTGGGTATTTCTGAACTTTACAAAGTTAAAAACAAATCAGCTCATCCCCCTTCCCAAAAAAATTATCTTGTCACAGAGGGCCCTCTTCCCTCCAACGTGTTCCAAAGCAATAGCACAAATGCACGCATCTGGCCAAATGCCATCGGCTGCTGTCTGAGGGCCATCTGAAAAGCAGCCTCTTCTTCCGGCCACCCCATCCCCAGCTGTCAGGGATCCCCACTTGGAGTCCTCATGCTCCTGAAATGATATGTCCAGGGCAGATGTCGCAGGGCTCACGTCAGGCACGAAGGCAGTGCTCCCCTGCTCAGCTGTCATGGCCGATTGAGACACAGTCCCAACCCAGGGCTCCCTCAGAGAGCCACCAAGACTGGACTGAGCTTCCCCCACAGAGATGCTGCTGACACGCCAGGGGTGCATCCTGGCTCTCCAGACTGGCAATGCTGATTCTAATGAAGTCACAGCCTTCACTGTTGTTCCTTTTTTAAATAATTGGGGTGAAATGCACATATCATAAAATTGAACCTCTTAACCATTTTGAAGTGTACAGTCCAGTAGCATTAAGTACAGTCATACTGTTGTGCAACCATCACCACCATCCATCCCCAGAAAATGTTTCATCTTGCAAAACTGAAACTCTATATCCATTAAACAATACTCCCCCATTTCCTCCTCCTCCCAGTCCCCGGCAACTACCATTCTACTTCTGTCTCTATGAATTTGGCTACTCTAGAGGCCCTCCTATAAGTGGAATTAGACAGTATTTGTCCTTTTGCATCTGACTTATTTCACATAGCACAATGTCCTCAAGATTCATCTATGTTGTAGTATGTGTCAGAATTTTCTTCCTTTTTAAGGCCGAATAATATTCCATTGTATGTCTATAGCATATTTTGCTTATTCATTCATCTATCGACGGACACTTGGTTGCTTCCACCTTTTGGCTATTGCGAATAATGCTGCTGTGAACAGAGGTGTACAAATATCTCTTCAAGACCATGCTTCCAATTATTTTGGGCATATTCCCAAAAGTAGAATAGCAATAACACAGTAATTCTTTTTTTTTTTTTTTTTTTTTTTTTTGAGATAGAGTCTCACTCTGTCACCCAGGCTGGAGTGCAGTGGCGCAGTCTCGGGTCACTGCAACCTCCATCTCCCAGGTTCAAGCAATTCTCCTGCCTCAGTCTCCCAAGTAGCTGGGACTACAGGCATGCGCCACCACGTCCAGCAAATTTTTGTATTTTTAGTAGAGACAGGGTTTCACCATGTTGGTCAGGCTGGTCTCCATCTCTTGACCTCATGATCTGCCTGCCTCGGCCTCCCAAAGTGCTGGGATTACAGGCGTGAGCCATTGCACCCGGCCTATCACACAGTAATTCTATGTATAATTTTTTTTGAAAAACCTCCATGCTTTTTTCCACAGTGGCATTTTACACTCCCACCAGCAGTGCACAGAGATTCCAGTTTTTCTACATGCTTACCAACACTAGTTATTTTCTGGGTTTTTGACAGTAGCCACCCTAATGGGTGTGAGGCAATATCTCATTATGGTTTTGACTTTTACTGTTACTCTTATTGTAACAGTCACTACTATAACTTTCTCATGTTGTACCAAGTTTGGTCTTTTAATAGTTAAGAGATGGGCTTCCTTCACTTCGAAGATAAATGATCCTTGGTGTCTAAACAACTTACTACAAAAGGCCAAAGTTCTTTTAAGAGAGATATTCTAAGGCTAAGTTACAGGGGCCCAAAGATCCTAAGTGATTAGCCCCATCCTCCCCTTTTCCAAAAAGGAAACAGAGGTCCCAGAGGGATCATGCAGTGGTTAAGAAATATGAACTGGGCAAATCTCGCTTGAAAACCTGGCTCTGCCACTCACGAGTTGCAGGACCATGGAGCTGTCTCTCAGCCCCTCTACACTTGGCTTCTTTTCACAGCGCAGTGGATAGGAACAGTGTCTCTCTTACAAGGTTGCTGCGAGAGTTAAGCTGTGTGCCAAATGCAGTGCCTGCCACAGGACAAGGGCTTGGTAAATTCCAGCAGCTCTTACGGTTGTTGCCTTCTTATTCTTATGAAATAAGTTGCCCAAGTCCCATGCCTAGTGAATTGGTTTCTTGATTCCCAGTGTTTGCCCTGGCCATGATGGTTCTTAACCCCACTTTCCCCAATGTCTATGCTCACCTTAAACAACTCTGGCTGTTACTTACTGTAACTGATGGCCTGGTTTCTAAAATGTACACTGAACTCATTCCCTCAATGGTACATTGAGTCAATCCAGCACAGGAAGAGAGAGGATCGGCTGCTGCAAATTCTGAAAGGTCCACAGTAGCAGAAGGCAAAGTGACAAATGACAGAGGTAGGGAAGGGTCTCATAAAACCTTTGACCTCAAGGAAGTTCACATGATCTGAAATGATGCTGCTCCCACATTCCTGGGGAGTTGCTTCCTCTTTGCATCGATTCCGTCATGCATTTCTCTGATATTTTACAGCTTACAAAGATTCCCTCCATTGATAAACAGTTGTTGAGAACCTACTCTGATTGAGCACGATGTGCCAAGTGCCAGAGTCACAGCCAAGAGCAATGCCAGAGGGTCTGGGGAAGGAGACAGACATGATTCGGAAAGTGACACCAACCAGTGGAAAACCGCAACTGTGCTAAGGGCAAGGAAGGAGGGAAGCAGGTGCCCTGAGAACCCACAAGAGGGGCTCTCAGCTGAGCTCTAACAGATGAGTCACAGGAAGTGTTCACAAAGTAGCATATAAAATAGACATTTATTTTGTGCTTCACTCCTCTCTGTCTGTGGGTCTTGAACATTTGCTGTGTGTAGATCCTTCACCAACCCTGCTGTACTTAAGGCTCAGGCATTTGATGAACTCAGGGGATTATGGAAAGCACGCAACTTGTCCATTAAAAGGACAGTGGGCAAATCAAGTGTAGTTTCTCCCAACTGCAGAATACTATGCAGCTGTTAAGAGGAATTAAATACACCTGCACAGGCTACTGTGAAAAGATTAGCACAATAAATTAGAAAGTGAAGAATTCCTGGTGTAGAAAAGTATTAGTAAATGATTCATTTATGTAAGGAAGAAAATCATATACACAAATATGGGTATAGTCAGACTCTTTTTTTGGAGGGACACAAGAAATTACTTATGTTAGTTTGTTAGGGCTGCCATAATAAAGTACCACACATTGAATGGCTTAAACAGCTGAAACATATTTTCTAGCAGCTCTGAAAACTTGAAGTCTGAGATCAATGTGTTGGCAGGGGTGGCTCCTTCCGGGAACCCTGAGGGGGGAATCTGTTCCACTCCGCTCTCTTTGGCTTGTACATGGCCATCTTCTTCCTATGTCTCTTTACACTGTCTTCCCTCTATGTAAGTCTCTGTGTCCAAATTTCCCGTTTCGATAAGAATATCAGTCATACAGGATTAGGGCTCATCTTAATGACCTTATTTTAACTTGATGACCTCTGTAAAGACCCTATCTCCAAATAAGGTCACATTCTGAGGTTCAGGGGGGTTAGGACGTCAACATATGAACTTGAGTAGGGGACACAATTCAACCCATGGCATTGCTGGGAGACAAAAGGGATTCATCTTTTACTTCATATATTCCTCTATAGTATTTATACTTTTATGATAAGCATACATTTCAATTACAAAAACAACTTTTAGTCCAAAAAGTGGGTGGAAATTTAAATCCTGCCACAAATCAAGCACCAAGTGAAAACATTGGGGTTGTATATTGTAGGTCAAAGTGACCTGTTTCTATATCTGAAACAAGAGGCACACCCTCCATTAAGGCCTCCAAGCGGGAGTGTGTATGTCCAAGAAAGGGAACCTGACCATCACTGGTCTTGCACACTTCTAGATATTTTTATTTTCTTTTAATTTCTATTTTGTTTTATATTGCGTGTGGAGGGGTACATACTTAAAACTTTCTACTTGGGGTTTGCCTTCTAAATAGCGTGCATGGCAAAGGCCTTGGGAGCACCTTTCACGAAGCTTAATATTTTCATAAGCAAAGAAAAGGACCTAGTCCGTGACTGCGTATGAGTCACGTTAGTTTGGTTTTCTTCAAAGGCTGACTACTCCAGTTGCTATCTCTGTGTGACACAGTGTCTTAGGATGACTATGTTATTTTGCTCATGATTTCATAGATCAGGAATTCAAGAAGGGATTAGCTGAGTGGTTCTTGCCGGGGGTCTCTTATTTGTTGCAGTGAGATGTTGGCTGAGCCTGGAGTCATCTGCAGGCTTGGCTGGGCTGCACGTCCCAGATGATCCTCTCACATGACTGATGGTCACTGGTTATCTGCTGAGTTCTCAGCAGAGATGCCAGAGCACCTACACGTGGCAATCTCAGGGCATCTAATGTCTTAAACGGTGGCTGACTTCTCCCAGAGGGAGTGTCCCTGAATACTTGGCAGAAGCCGCACGGCCTTTTCTGATCCAACCTCAAAAATTAAGGCATCACTATTGCTGGACTGATTGCAAGCCAGTTACATTCAAGGCTCAGATCCAAGGGGAGGGAACCAGGCAGAAACTCAATGCTTTTCCTGACCTAGCTTCAGAAAGAGCAGAGTGTATTAGTTATCTATCACTGCATAACAAATTCTCTCAAAGCTTAACAGCTTAAAACAACAAACCTTTAGGACTGTACAGTGTCTATGGGCCAGGAATTCAGAAGTGCCTCTGCAGGCTGCCTCTGACTCAAGGCCTCTTGTGAGATTGCAGTCAATATATCAGCAAGGGCTACAATTATCTGAAGGTTTGGCTGGTGCTGGAAGATCTAATTCCAAGATACTCGGTCACATGGCTATTGGCAGGAAGCTTCTGTTCCTCAGGGTTGTTGACAAAAGGCCTTAGTTCTTCACTGTATGGGCCCTTCCATGTGTTGCCTGAGTATCCTAAAAGCATGGCAGCCAGTTTCCCCAAGAACCGAGTGAGACAGAGATAGAGAGAGAGAGATAGAGATAGAGAGAGAGAGCAGGAAGCTTCAGTGCCTTTTATAATCTAGTCTCTGAAGTCATACCCCATCATTTTCACTTAATTCTATTTGTTAGAAATGAGTCACCAAGGTCACACGCAAGGGAAACGGCATTAGGCTTCACATTTTGCAGCAAATGTCAAAGAGTTCTGACACCACCCACGACATCATCTCTGTTGCATCCTATTGGTTATAAGTGAGTCCCAGCACAGATTCAAGGGGAGAGGACATACATCCCACCTCCAGTGGGAGGAATGTCCAAGGATTTTCAGACAAGGACTTAGATACAGTGTCTTAGCTCAGATTTCTATAACAAACTGCCATAGGCTGGGCGACTTAAACAAGAGGAATTTATCTCTCACAGTCTGGAGGCTAGAAAAATCCAAGATCAAGGTGCTGGAAGATTCCTTTCCTGGCTTGCAAATAGCCACCTTCTTGCTATGTCCTCATCTGTCAGAGACAGTGTGCAGGCACTCTGGTATTTCTTCCTCTTTTCAGAAGGGCACTAATCCCATTATGGAGACCCTTACCCGCATGACCTCACATAACCCTAATTACCTCCCAAAGACCTCCCTTCCAAATACCGTCGCATGACGGGGAGGGTTAGCGTTTTCACATATGAGATGGGGGGAACATAAACACTCAGTCCATAACCTTCCATGCCGGGCCCTTCAAAATGTGTGTCCTTCTCACATTCAAAATTCATTCAATCCCAACAGCCCCAACAGACTTCACTGGTTCTAGCATCAACTCTAAAGTCCCAAGTCTCATCTAAATATCATAGAAGTCAGATATCTACATCATAAAGAGTTTATTCCAGGAGAAACAAAAGGGGAGAGTGAGACAAGGAAGGGAGAAGAGCCAGCAAGGGATAGATTACAGCTTGGAGCTCCGTCCTGCTGGGGGTTCTTCAGAATCCACGTGGAACATGGCTCAGCCTAGGCCCATTAGAGGATGGGGGACTGGGCAATTATCCATCTACTCTCATCCCCAACTAGTTGAGGTTTTCCCCTGGAAGCGTTAACACCCCCAGAGAAAGCCCTTAAGCAGCTGGAGATGGGACTCTGTCAGTGAATTGAAAACTGTTGCCCACTACCTCAAGTGAACTCAGGTAGCCCAGGGTGGATATAGAAAAAGCACCAACAGCATCTGCTATGGAATGTGAGATCAAGGAGTGCCTTCCAAAATAAATGTTTTTTATTGATCAGGTAAAGGGCTTGTGATAACAGGTCACTGTGACTCGGCAAACAGATTCTGTGATAGTCACATAGGCATGCAAAAATACTCACAGGTTCTCAGGCTATGGAAGACTCTGATTCACCCATTCAGTGAATATATACTCAACAGCTACCACAAGCCAAGAACCGTGCTAGGCTCTGGGGTTACAATAATGGACAAAACAGATGAGTTTTCCGACCTCACAGGGCTTATAGGCTAGAGGATTAGAGCGGCATTAATCAAATAATCACACAACATGATAAATACTAATTTGACAGCTGGTATGAAGGTGCATTTTCTGCAGAGAAGGCCCTTGACAGGGCTATAGAAGCCACCGTGTATGTTCCCCAGGGCATGGTGAGAAAGCAGTGGATGGTGTTGGAAGCAGTTTTGAGCATGTGCTGGGTAATACCTTCACAGAGAAGCTTCCTCGCCCTTTCAAGAAGTCTCTTGGGGAGATAGGGAGCTTTCTACTAGTTTGACAGAATGAGAATTTCTCTCTGAAGCTGGGCTTTTATAAGGAAGGGTCGATATCACTTCAGCATAGATCTAGTCATTGAAATAATAGTACTTGAAAGAAAGAAATACAACCAACACCCGAAGGATGGTGAATTGCAAAGAGAAACAAGTCTGGGTTTTCTTGATGACATTGCTGAGCTTTTTCGCTAGCCTTAGTCTCCTCACCCTCGAACTTCTTGTGATGTGAGCTCATTAAAAGTCTTTATTGCTTCATCCACTCTAAATCAAGTTTTCAGTTACTTGCAACCAAAAACATCCCTGACACACCATATATTTCATATTTTTCCACAGTTCTTCATGAGAACTCTTATTGTTCCCATGCTAGGTGAAGGAAACTGATACCCATATAAGTGAACTATCCAAGGTCACACAATGAATAAAGCTGGAATTGGGATGCAGGCCTTCTCATTGCAGCTCCTCTGAATTTGCTCTAGTGCAGTATACTACAGCACAACACAACACAAGCCCCTTTTCTCCCCACTAGGTCTTTGCCACATGTTGTCACCTTACAGAGCTATTTTTAGTCCCCAGATGCCATGAGGCACGGGATTCCTAACTGCCACCTCCTAGCTCAGTGCCATTGACATGATGTGTCAGCGTAGTGGCCTTTCCTGTAATTGCGCAAGTCCAGAGTTTCCACGGACATCCTTTTTGTTTTTTGCGTCCTTGCCTTGACAATTTGTACTGCTCTCTTCCTCCTTTGGCCATTCTTGTTTAACTGTTTCCCTAGAACTTTTATTATGTCACCACATACACACATTCTTGCAATATTTAAAAGAGTGGTTATGAAAATTGTGTGATAACATTAGGATATTACATGTTAAGTGCAAAGTAGGATACAAATTGCTTGCACAAAGATATGAAAAAACACATATGCACATTAAAAATTAAAACAAAAACACTAGAATGTTTGCTATGATTGTGGTGGTGTGGTGAGACGTGGGTAATTTTTTTTTTTTTTGATTTTCCAAATTTTCTGTTATGTGCATATAATGAAAAAAATAGGTTAGGATGTTTTTTAAAATATGTCATTGTTTATCTGGCCCATCTCCTGGGAGGCAGCATAGCAGAGCATGCTAGTTAACAGCGTGCACTCTGGAGCTTGATTGCCTGAGTTCAAATCCCAGCCCAACCACTTAATAGGTGCATAGCTCTCAGCAAGATCTGTAACTATTCTGTACCTCAGTTTACCCATCTGTAAAAGGGGCAATATCCCATCCACCTGTCTCATAAGGTGACTCTGAGGATCAAGTAAGTTAGCAATTGTAAAGCCCTTGGCATGGTGTCTAGTACAGGAAGAGTGTTATGTGTTTGTTGAATATAAGCCATTTTATTGTGCCTTACCCATTGTGGAGCTTCTTGGAAGGGACTGTGATGCAGAAGTGAGACAGACCTCTGTGTTTTTCAGATGGACACAACTGGTGAAAGTGCAAAGAGATGACTTGTGCTCAACATGAAGACTCTTTTAACCTCAGAGTCAAGCAGGCTGGAGAGGAGCTCCTTAGCAATTCACCACTGGATGGTTGTGTCACAGACTCCTCGGATACTTGACATCTCATGAAGCATCCTCACATAAGGCCACTGGCAGAAATCAAGTGAAGGGAAGACGACCAAACCTCCACCAGTATAGAGAGGCCCCTAACAGGCCTTCCTCCACTGAAATAGGATGAAGTCCTCTAGTGGCCAGGGGGTGACAATACAACTCCTCTTCCAAGTCCTTACACAGGATGCCCCTCCGTTGCTGGCGACCTCTAGTTGGGTTTGTTTTTGTCAAGCGTGTCAGGAGAGAATGCAGGGCTCCTTCTATCCCCTTGCTGAGACTGAAAGAGTCAAAATACATTTCCTAAGACCAAGTATCTGCATGTTTGTCGTATGAGCCCACTTTACAAAGCTGATCTCTAGAAAGGAGTCCCTCACTGGCACATTGGGTCATATGGGCCGCTTGTGTACACATGACCTCTGCTTGGAGGACAGGGCTTTCTCAAAAGGATGGCTTAGAATGTGTTTCAGATGGGTGGGACCTGAATCCAGCTCCTCTCATTTCAATCCCTTCACTTTGCAAATGGAGAAAATTCCCCGTTAATTCTAAATATTCCCCAGCAATTTTTAGACTAGTGTCTGGAACAGGGTGGGTGGATCATAAATACTTTATGGGAATTTGGTGTCACTTTCTGTCCTCTTGATGACTTTAGCAGTGGGCCTCATCAAAAGGCTCACTGATGATACATCAACGGCTCTGTCTTTCTCAACTTGGCACTGGTAAAATACCCAAGAACACAGAATGCTGCATTAGGAAGAATCCCCCTTTACTTTCATATTTTATATATTATCCGATGGCTGGGAGAAAGAGAAAAAACAGGTAGGAGAAGAAAGAAGAAACAGACAAAAAATAGAATAGTCTAGCTCAGGGTTCTGCAAAGGGGCGGTTGGTAAGGATTTTATGCTTTGCAGGTCATGCAATGCTGTCGTGACTACTCAACTCAGCCATTGTAACAGGAAAGCTGTAATAGATGACACGTAAATAAATTGGGTGTGGCTGGATTCCAAGAAAACCGTATTACAAAACAATCAGTGGGCTGGATGTGGCCTGCCCACCCCTCATCCAATGCAAGAATGATAACATTCCCCATCCTTCATACATGGCAGAAATGGTTAATCGATCGTGGTGTCAATTAACTGCCTGAGTTAAAAACCCTGTTCCAGGCCCTTAGTAAGTGTACACCTTCAGGAAATTTGCTCAATATTTCCAAGCTTCAGTTTTCTCATCTTTAAAATGGAGCTCATAATGCTGTGAACCTCAAAGAACTCCTGTGAGAATTGAGTAAGACTGTTGGAAGAAGCTTAGTATGGGTGACTTGTACTTAACAAGCACACTGTAAATGCCAGCTACCTTCATCATCATCTTTGTTGTCATCATCATCATCTGCCTCAATTGACTGACAGATGCACGAGCATTAAATGAGGTAAAGGACATGCAAGTGCCTTGAGATGACCCCGATTATGCAAATAAAAAGTATCTTTCACTGAAATGCTCAAATGCCTTACACTATCCCATCCACTTACTTCCCCTTGCTGAAGTGCCAGGGAAAGCTAGATATGTCCTTCTTGTGCTAATGGAATAGTTAGGGAAACCGAGGCACTTGAAAGCTCAGGAGAGTCACTAAAGGCAGCAACTTACTGACTTGGTGACTAAGCTGCATCTACAGCCAGGTTTCCACATTCTTTGCCCACTTTTCTGTCTCCTACCAGCATCTTTGAGTTCTGATTACCCTACTGGGTCCTGTTTGCTCAGGGATTTCAAATATCTCCAGGGAATAGATTCTACTTCTGAATTTTTTTTCCAGTCTGCTCCCCCCACCCTCCATTCTCCTGTCACCTCTACCTACTGATTGCTGGCTTTTATTATCGGCTGCCTAGTCTATTGTAGCTGCCCCCTAACAGGTCTCTTTGACTCAGATTTCTCTCCGTTGAACACCCACCATCTACCCTCATCCTGGGTGATCCTCCTAAAGCACAGATCTGACTCTCTGGCTAAAGGCCTGCACTTTAAAAATTGGATGAGACCTCTCACAATCTGACCCCCATTAGCCCACCAGTCACAGTTCTTATCCCTCCTATGTCCTTGTCCATCTGCAACGACCTTTAACTCCAGCTCCTGGGACATGCTCAACTTTTGCGCAGCTGCAGACATCCACCGAGCTCCGCATGCTCTTTGCCAGACAGCCCCTCTGCCACCACCACCACACACACACACCAGCACTTCTCATCTCAACACCACAGTCTAAGGAATCTTCAAGAGAAATTCCATCATGCCGTGGCCACCACCCAGAGTCCATGACTCCCAGCTATCCCCGTCACCTAGCCTTTCATGCCAAAAGATCTCTGTACATAACTTGCTGTGACTCAAGCCCACTACCATCCCCAGTCTCCTAGCCTCTCCACGGAGCCAGTGGCTTTCACTGTCCATATATAGCAAAGTTCTCTGTCTTCAGCCTCTTCTTCAGATCTCCCCTTCACCTTCTTGCCCTTAATCAAAGCCCAGTGGACTCCACTTCCTCTGCTACTTGCTTAAGGATGGCCATTCTCTCCCCCAAACTCCTGGTGTCACTGGCCTGGAGATGGAGGAGATGTCCTCCTGGCCACTTTCTGGCTTTTGTCTCTCCCACCTTCCTAGAAAGGCTCATGGACCTTGAACTTCATGCTACTGGGCCAGACCACCCAGCCCCTCCCCTGCCCCAACCATGGTGCACTCTTACCAACATAACAGTAATGTTTTAGAATGCTCATGACGAGCCAGGCTCCATTTCAAGCACTTTGCATTCATTAATTCATCTAAACCTCACAAAACCTCATGAGGTAGGTATGATTATCATCCTCACTTAACAAATAAGGAAACTGAGCTACACAGAGGTTAAGTCACTTGCCGAAAATCACAGGATAAGAGTCAAGCTCAGGGTATGTCAGAGAGATATCTGTGCCCCCATGTTCACTGCAGCACTGTTCACAATAGTCAAGACATGGGGTCAACCTAAGTGTGCACCAGAGGATGAGAGGATAAAGAAAATGGGGTACATATACACAATGGAACACTCTTCAACCTTACAAACGAAGAAACTCTGCCCTTTGTGACAACATGGATGAACCTAGAGGATATTATGTCAAGTGAAATAAGCCAGACGCAGAAAGTTAAATATGGCATAAACTCATTTATACAGAATTTTAAAAAGTTAAACTCAGAAGAAGAGAGTAGAATGGTGGTAACCAGAAGCTGTGGACAAGGGGTGGTCAAGGGGACAAAGTTTTCATTAGACAGGAGGAATAAGTTCAAGAGATATACTGTACAACATGATGATAGTTAATGTATTGTATTCTTTAAAATCACTAAGGGGGTAGATTTTAAGTGTTCTCACCACCAAAAAAAATGGTAAGTATGTGAGGTAATGCATATGTTAATTAGCTCAATTTAGCCATTCCACAATGTCTATGTATTTCAAAACATCATGTTGTACAGGAGGAATATATAAAATTTTTGTCCCCTTAAAATAATTAATTAATTGAATTTTTTTAAAGATTCAAATTCAGGGAGTTGGCACTAAAGTCCAGCCTCCTAATCATTCCATCCACTGGCCCCTAGAGACTCTAGAGACCACAGCATCCACTCGCCGCCATATTTGAAGATTTTAGCACCTGCCTCCCTGTCTCTCTTTCCAAAAACCAGTCCTGTCATGACGCTGAGCGATTTCGATACCATGAAGGCACTTCTCCCAATACTTGTCCTCTTAGTTCCTCAACCTTCTTGCCTCAAATAACCCTGTTCTTGACTCCATAACCCATTTGACTCAGACCTTGTCATTGGCAATAACAGCATGTCATGGACTGAATGTTTATACCTGTCTAAAATTCTTATGCTGAAACCTAACCCCTAATGTGGTAGTATTGGGAGGTGGAGCCTTTGGGAGATGAGTAGGGTCAGATGAGGTCATGAGAGTGGGGCCTTCATGACGAGATTATAACCTTATAAAAAGAGACTCCAGAGCTCACACTCACTCTCCACTCCCCCATCTCTGTGCGCATAAAGAGGAGATGTGAGCATAGGGCAAGATGGCAGCTGCTGGCAAGCCAAGACAAAAGATCTCATAATGAAACCCACCTTGGCGGCACCTTGATCTTGGACTTCCCAGCCTCCAGAACTGAGAAATAACAACCACCAAGAGGACCTCTCCTCCTTGCCTGGTTAATTCCTTGGTCTGTCACTGCCTTTCATACACCCTCAACCACCGTGCCCATGTTTCCTTTTTCATTGTAGCCTAGCAAAACCCCCAAGCCTACTTAAGCTCAACTTTCTACTTACTCTGTGCCTGCTCCGAGCAGCTGAACGTGGCTGGAGAAACACCCCTAGCTGTGTTGACTGGCCCTACTTAAGCTATCAAAGCCCCAAATGCCTCTTGGCTCTGTCTAGCAATCCTACATTTCCCCCGGCAGGTCCTCTCCCTCTCATCTGGGGGACAATTCTCTGACCCCTCTCTGTCCTCCAACTTCCAACACTTCCTCCTTCATCTTCACTGCATCTGTCCCCATATTCCCGCCTTCCTTCTATCACTAAATGGGCTCTTTGCAAGGCCAGCCCCTCCCCTTGGGCCCTGCATCCCATCACCTCTCTCTTCCTCCAGGGCATTTCTCCAGCAGTTCAACCCCCAGGCTCCTGCATCATCAGCCTTTTCCTCTCTGCTGGGTCTTTCCCATCATCTTACAAACACACTGCTATTTATACCTTAAAAACAAAATGTTTCTATACTTTAATCCTATGTTTTCCTCCAGCTACCTTCATATTTTTTTGCTCCCTTTCACAGAGTAGACTTTCTAAATGGTTAATGGAATTCCAAGTGCCCAGGCTCTCCCCTCTCATTCTCTTAAATCCACTCTAGTCAGGCTTTCAGCCTCACCACTCCCTAGACTGTTCTTTCCAGTGTCGATGCCCAAATCAATGGTCAATGCTCATCTTTCACTGCCTTCCCCTTTCAGTAGCATTTGGCATTGAAGATCACTTCTTCCTCTTGAAATACAGCATGATCCAGAATGAATCAAACACTTTCAAAAATGTGTCACTCAGTCCCTAGATTATGAAGAGGTAGTCCACACTTATTCTTCAATGAGCTTAAACAGATATTTCTTTCATCCTACAATTGTCCAATATGCACCCCTCATGTCACATGGCCCTTGTTGACACTGGAAGTTACTTGTCCCAGACCTGAGTAACATATTACTGTTGAATGATTGAAATGGCAGTGACAATACATTTGTTTATGTCCTCGAGGTTGGCAAGAAGACCTGAGACAAACCAAGATCCTTGTGTGATAAAACTTTTATTCTGACTACTGAATAATAAAATTGTTATTGTGCCCCATTCATCTTGACTGACCCTGTACTTTCTTCATGTGCCTCCTGGGACACCATGCTCACCAGGTTTTCTTCCTATCTCTCCTGTTGCTCCTTCTCAGTCTCCTTCATCAGGTCTTTCTAACCTCCCTGACCTTGTAACATGGGTGTATCCAAGTGTTCCTTCCCTGTTATGCCTCCTCTGTGTCTACTCTCACTCCCTGGCTTGCTCATCCAGGCTCTTGGCTTTTCGTGCCATCACTATGCCTGTGTTACCCAGGTGTATATATCTGATCCAGGTAACAGGCTCTCATATCCACCTACCTACTCGACATAGCCACTTGGTGTCTAATAAGCAACTCAAACACCTGTCCTTCCCCGACACAAACCTGATTCTCCCTGTCTCCCCCTTTCAGATGTCAATTCCACCCTTCAGTTACTCAGTCTGACACTATTAATGTCACAGTCCTCCTTGACTCCTTTCCTTCATACCCCACATCTAATACCTCAGCAAAGCCTACCTTCACAGTGGGACAGCCTCTTGCCCCATCACTGCTCCCACTCTAGGCCAAGGTAGCTTCATTTCTTACCTGTATTTTTGCAATAGCTTTTTTCCAGACCTCGCTGCTTCACTCCTGCATCTTGTATTAGCTTCTTACGTTGCCATAACAGATTATCTCAGACTTGATGGCTTAAAACAACAAAAATTTATTATCTCACAGTTTTAGAGGCCAGAAATCAGAAACTAACCCATCAGCAGCACTCTGATTCCTCCAGAGTCTCTAGGAGAGTCTCTTTCCTTGCCTCTACACGCTTCTGGTAGTGCCAGGGATTTCTTGGCTTGTGACTACTAGACTCCAATCTCTGCCCCCATTTTCACATGGCCTTCTCTTACCACCCATCTTCTCTTTTTCTGTCTTTTGTAAGAACACTTGTCACGGGATTTAGGACCTATCCAGATAATCCAAGATGACCTTATCTCGAGATTCTTAACTTAATTACCCTTTTCTAAATAAGGTCACCTTCAGAGATTCTGGGAGTTAAGATGTGGACATATCTTTTAGGGGACCCGCCAGTCAACCCACTAAACCTCCCTAGAGTCTGCTCTCATATGGCAGCAGGAGGGTGGGAGGGTTAAATCATACCTCAAATTGTGCAATGCCTTAAAACCCTCCATAGGCCCTTACTCATCAGAGTAAAATCCAAGGTCCTCACCATGGCCTTGAAGACCTTGCCCCAGGACATGGCACCCACTAACCCTCTGAACTCATCTGCTCCCTGCCCCTCACTCACTCTGCCTTACCCCTGCTCCCCACCCCAGCCTCTAATATCAAACCTGTGGTCCCAGCTCTGGGGCCTCTGTTCTTGTATTTGCTCTGCCTGGAGCATCCTCTCTGACGTGGCTCTGTGATTCACTTTGCGCCCCTCCTCAGGTCTCTTCTTCTCCGTTACCTCCCTAGACAGGTTTTCCCTCTGCCCTGCTCTCAATCACTCACTAGTGTTATTTTTCTTCATGCCATTTGTATTCTCTCCTGTCTTCAATTGCTTATTGCTTATGTGTTTATTGTTACCCACCCCAACTGGAATGAAAGATCCATGCAGACAAGGACTTTGTTTTGCTCACTGCAGTGACTCCACCACCTAGAACAGTGCTTGGTGGGTGGTCGATGCCTCACAAATCCTGTTGGGTAAAACCATCCCTAAATTCTCTGGACAGAGCTTACATCGCAATTTGAAGGCATTTTCCTTCTTTTATCCAAATGGTGGAAGGTAGCATGGGGCTGTGGTTGCGCTCCTAAGTCATTCCTCACTGTGAGCATGGCTATGCTTGCCTCCAACATGCCAACATAGCACTCACCACACCATCTTGTCATGACATGTTTACATATTGTCTCCTCCAGCCAGCAACTCTTCTTGGGACGAATGGGACTTCAGGAGTAATGCTTCTAAGTGCTTCCTGAGGTCTTTGGGTACCACAATTTGTCCCAGACCAGTGATTCTATCAGTGGATGTTTCCAGGACCAGAGCAGACCAGCAAAAGACAATACTTTGACTTGTTAGGTGTGTCAATGCACATTATTTCAGTTCCAAGTAACAGAAGACCAAACTCAGGCTTAACCTATAAAGAGAATGAAAGATCTTAGAGGTAGAACAGGCTTCAGGTGGGGTCTGATCCAGTTAAACATTTTCACTAAACATTCATTTACTTCCATCTCTCTGTGGACCTTCCAAGTCATTCATTTGCTTCCATCTCTCTGTGGACCTTCCCATTCATTCATTTGCTTCCATCTCTCTGTGGACCTTCCCAGTGTCAGCTGCTATGTCAAGGCAGCTCCTCTCACTGTCACAAGAGAACTAACAGGGTTCATCCTCATTCATATCTGAAGGGGGAAGAGTTTCTCTTTCTCCATAATCTTGGGCTGCCTCTTTTTTAATCCACTCACACCACACTTCCACTCCTAAACCAGTTTGCTGTAGCAAGAATTAGGTTAACGGCCTTCCACCAATCCACTTCTAGATCTGGGGGTGGAGGTGGGTCACTCAAACCACATGCTGGGAAATTTGGAGTCCCTTCAGGATGGAAGAAAGGAAATGGATGCTGGGGAGGTGGTAATTCTCAGGACAGTGGGTCTTCCGGAACCTCCAACCCTCCCAGGTGACAGCTGCCCCTGTCTCCACACAGGATTAGTTCTGGGCACCCGCAGTCAAGTTATGGCTTTTATGAGATATGAGCGAATGTAACCAAGGCTTTGGAATGTCTCTTTTAGAAATTAGTGGTGAGCAGACGAAGCATACAATTAAGTATTGAATTTTCTACAAACACACAAGTACACATACACACAGAACAGGCCATGACATTAAGTCCTCAAATCAGATCCCATTCCCACCAGCCTGCCTTGTGCTGAAAGACCTCTGGTTACAGAACATGCCAAATGATGGAGTTGAAACGTTCCATCGTAACTGAAGCAGATCCTCTGCTCGGTATGGAATGCCTTTATGTAACTGCATATCCATGTATGTTCACCCACAACATCAGTCCTGAGGGTTCTTGCTCTCTCTCTCCCTCCCTCCCCAAATCCCAACCTCCCGCCACCAAGATTAACAGGAACTAAATGCTAAGGAAATCTCGACTCTCTATTCAATAGACTTCCCATCTCAAAGTGATTAAAGATTCCAAAAAGCTTCATTGTCTCCTACTACCTCCCCCTGAGCCTGCTCGGTGTCTCAAATTCCCACATTGGTTAGGCCTTTGGATAGGGGGTCTTAAAAATGCAAACAAATTCTCTCTTGGGAAAATAACTAGCAGCCATTGATTCTCAAGGCTGTTAGAGATGCAGAGGGCATGGAACTCTGGTTGTGTAATTTTAATGGAAAGGAAAGAGGCCTTTACACAAAGACCAGAGCGAGGGCTGCCAGAGGATGCCCAGGAAGTAGGCAGAGTGAAGGATCTGAATTTGAGATGGAAGGACACCAGCAGCCAACTTTTCCTACATCCCAATTTGGAGGCATTTTGCTTCTTTTATCAAAATCATGGGAAGCAGCATCACAAGGGTCTCTGATGAAACCCTAGAGTCTGACATCTTGGCTCCAGACTCCAGCTCTGCTCCTGACTGCAACCCTGGGCAAGTCTCCTCACCTCTTCATTCTTACTTTCTTTATCTACAAAATGAAGGTAATATTAAGACCTTGCATGATCACACAAAAATAATATTTTATAGTATAATATATATACTATATTATTAGTAGTATAGTGTAATATGTAATATACACTTGTAGGATAATTATAGCATAACACGTTGCAAAATAGATACTGATATAGTGTAGTTATAGCATATAGTATAATACATAATATATAATAGTAATATAATATGGTTAATAACCCCGGTAAGGTTGTTGGAGGGCTAAATGACATACTTGACAAAGACTGGAATTGGTCTCATTTCTCCATTTCCCCTGTGGTGGTGGTGGTGTTATGGTTCACACACCCTTGCCATGGCCTCAGGGAGCATGGAAGAGCCTTCTCTGCCCTTGACTTTGGATGTGATTATGTCACTTGCTTTGGCCAATGAGATGTTAGCAAAGGTTTGAAATGGACCTGCCTAACTGGCATTGCCCTCTTATGATCCTTCCTCAGCTCAAGGAACCAGCTAGTCTAAGAAGGATAAGGATCACATAGAGAAGCCCTGGATCCCCCCTGCAGCCCAGAGCCCAACCCAGCCAAGCCCTGCATAGAACAGGCAAACCCCAGCCAACGTGCAGACATAGGATCTGTATGCCCTTGAGATTCTGTGGTAGTTTATTATACTGCCAAAGCTGAATGCATACTACACACTCAATAAACATGTACTATTTATATAATTAATGGCATGAAAAATTGCACATGGTTTATACAACCAGGGTATATTTGCAATGTCAGGCTTGTGATATTTGCTCTCATATTGCCCTCTTGGAATCTGAGCCAGCAGGTATCCTGTGATGTGGCTGACCAAGAGAATCATTAGCTTCCCCTCCATTGGCATCAGTGTTTGTCAGGAATCCTCTACTGCATCACCCATTATCCACCCACCAGTCTGATCAATGTGTATTGAGTGCATTCCATGTTTGCTAGACAAGAGGTCATACCACGGTGAATAGGGCAGGTAAGGCTGAGCTTGCAAGGAGCTTGCATTCTAGTGTGGGAGACAGATAACAGATAAACACATAAAGAAACAAGCACACATAGACTCTGATGAGAGCTGAGACATCACTAAACGAAATGATGTGTCAGAGAGTCACTGGGGGAGGCCATTCTATACAGCAGCCAAAGAAAACCTCAACCTTCAGCTCAGGCTGAGCTGAGGGAGGAAGAAGAGGAAAGCAAGTCAGCCTGCAACAAGCTGGGGGAAGAGTGTTTCAGGAGGAAGAATGGCAAGTGCAAAGTGTCTGAGGAGCCGAAAGGCGCCCTGTGGCTAAAAGGAGTGCACAAGAGACAAGTGGGGAGGTGAGAAGGTGGGGAAGGGCCAGGGGTGAGGAGTGCAGCCATACAGGAGGAGGCAAGAAGCCTGAATTTCATTCTCAGCACAGCGAAGTCTTTGAAGGGTCTTAGACAAAGGAACAAAGATCACCCAGCCAAAAGGCTAGCTAGGAGGCTGTGCAGGAGTCCAGGGGAGAGGTAACAGTGTCCCAGACCAGGAAGATGGCTACAGAGAGGGACACACATAGTTGAGGATATAGAGGGACTGGAGGTATATTTTGGAGCCAGAGCAGACAGGATATTCATTCAGAGCAGACAGTTAACCATAAGCCTTGCAGAAATGTGGGCCTCAAGGATAAACCACTGGAAGCCTTCAGAGTCAATGGGGGGACTTCTTCATAATGGAAATAAGCCCAAGAAAGAGACAAACTCCCCTGCCAGGGTTATCACCTCATACAGAACAAGCTTAACATGTTGGTAATAGGAGGGATATGTTTTCCTCATGTGAAACAAGACTGCATAGTCACTGGGGGGAAAATGACGGCCATGGTGTTATTTTCTATGTGCAACACAATGATGAAGGGTGTTTGACCTTAGAAAATACAGAGGAGATAAAAGGACCCTGGTATACTAGTGGTGGGGATGTCAATCGGTACAGCCATTATGGAAACAGCATGGAGGTTCCTCAAAAGATTAAAAACAGAACTATCATATGAACTAGCAATCCCACTTGCGGATCTATATACAAGGGAAAAGAAATCAGCCTGTTGAAGAGATATCCGCACTCCCACGTTCATTACATGTTCATTGCAGCATTATTTACAGTAGCCAAGATATGGAAACAACCTAAGTGTCATTGACAGATGAATGGATAAAGAAATTATACATATATATATGGGTGTGCGTGTACATGTGTGTGTGTGTGTGTGTGTGTGTATAAAAATACAGTTTGGCCGGGTGCGGTGGCTCATGTCTGTAATCCCAGCACTCCAGCACTTTGGGAGGCCGAGGTGGGCAGATCATGAGGTCAAGAGACCGAGACCATCCTGGCCAACATAGTGAAACCCCATCTCTACTAAAAATACAAAAATTAGCTGGGTGTGGTGGTGTGCACCAGTAGTCCCAGCTATTAGGGAGGCTGAGGCAGGAGAATTGTTTGAACCCTGGAGGCAGAGGTTGCAGTGAGTCGAGATCATGCCACTGCACTCTAGCCTGGCGACAGAGCGAGACTTGGTATCTCTCTATAGATAGATAGATAGATAGATAGATAGATAGATAGATAGATAGATAGAGATATATATAGATATATGGTTTGGATGTATGTCTTCTCCAAATTTCATATTGAATTGTAATCCACAATGTTGGAGGTGGGGCCTGGTGGGCGGTGATTGGGCCATGGGGGCAGGTCCCTCATGAATGGCTTGGCACCATCTCCTTGATAATAAGTGAGCTTGCTCTGAGTTCACACAAGATCTGATTGTTTAAAAGAGTGTGGCACTTCCCCACTACCCCTCTCTCTCACTCCTGCTCTCACCATGTGACATGCTGGCTCTCCCTTCGCCTTCTGCCATGATTGGAAGCTTCCTGAGGCTTCCCCAGAAGCCGAGCAGTTGCTGGTGCCATGCTTCTTGTACAGCCTGCAGAACCAGTAGTGAATTAAACCTCTTTTCTTTATAAATTACCCAGCCTCGGGTATTTCTTTATAGCAATGCAAAAACAGCCTAACACAATATATACACACATATATACACAATGGAATCATATTCTGCTTTAAAATAGGAAGTCCTGTCATATGCAACAACTATGGATAAACCTGGAGAACATTATGCTAAGTGAAATAAACCAGACATGGAAAGACAAGTACTGCATGATCTCACTTATATGTGGAATTTGAGACAGTGGAACTCATAGAAGAGTAGAATGATGGTTGCCAGGGGTTGGGGGTGTGAGTTTGGGGTAAACAGGGAATGGGGAGGTGTTGGCCAAGGAGTACAAGCTTTCAGTTAAACAAGAATACATTCCGGAGACCTATTGTATAGCATGCTGACTATATGCAATCATAATCTATCATATAATTGAAAATGGCTATTGGCAATTGTGAAGAGGCTCTCTGGGGGCACTGGCTCTGTTTAGAACACAACAGGATGTGTCTCTAATGGTTCATCCTCTGTAATTAGTTTTACCAAAAATAAGACAAAATATGCATTTGTTTCCCTCTGGAGCCTCCTTCCTAGTGGATCTCCAAAGTCTCCTAAACATGTTTTGAACGCGTGGAGAAATCAGTGCATTTAGGACACCATGGCTGAGCTTCTGCTGTAGCTTTTGCAATGGCTGCAGGCCAGCAGGGAGAAAGAGGAAAGGGAGAAGTCTAAAATCTGGACAATGAACGGGAAACCAGGGCCCAAGAACCCTGAGTGATCATCAGAACCTGCATTTTCCTCGCCTGGGGTTTGCCTCACTGAGGTTTTGAGGATGAGTGACATCTCAGGTTCATCTGTCACCCACCTCACAGCCTGCTGGCAGCAATGCTGAGGCTGCAACTCCTGGAACACATGCTTCCACCTTGCCCGTCTGTCCTTGGTGAGCAGGGCACACTTCACTGTCCTGGAAGCCTCTTGACCCCCAAGAAACATGAAGCCAGCCCTGGCCCCTGATCTGTCTGCACCTGGTACACACCTCCAATGGGTACAACACTGACCCAGGATAATCTGTGTATCTGATGCCCTCGCCACTGGACTCCAACCTCTTTGTGGACAGGGACTGTCTTTCCATCCATATGCCCAGCACATGGCATAGCACAGAGGAGATGTTACACCCACACATGCACGCAGGAGGGATTGAGGGAGGCCTCCACAGCCTCAGGAAGTGAGGCAGAAAGATCTCAGACCTTCTGGCCTTTAAAACGTAAATATAAGTACCCCAGAGGGTACCAAATCAAGCGCAGAGTGAAAACTCACCAAGCCCTCATACATCTCCTGTCTTACCCCAAAAGAACGCAAAGTCTCTCCCAGGAATGGAAGGGCAAGAACTGTAGAAGCAATGATGGAAATGCCTTTGGAGATGTCATAGGATCAGCTTCTGGGATTCCATGTACATTTGCTAAAGCTGATGTTTTAGAGGTGTGGGTTATTTATGATTGCTAACTCCATCACAGTTACATGAGACAGTGTGGTTATTTGGAGAAACTAAATGTCAAGCTGCAGTTCCCACCACTGGGAGGTAAAGGGCTTCCCACTGTTCCAGCCCAGCCTTGAGGCCTGGAGTAACTTCCCCCAACCTATCCATAGAGGGAAATCCTCCTTCCTCTCCTGCAAGGCCAGCTTAAATATCTCTCCAAAAGGCCTCATCAGACCCCCTAATGGGAGCGAATGTGGTCTTCTGAGTGTCTGGGGGCACTGGGAGAAGCAGAGTGTGGCTGTGCTTAGAGGGTGAACTTCGGAGCCAGCCTGCCTGGGTTCCAATCCCTATTCCCACTTACTGTTTGTGTGCTCATGAAGGAGAAATCTAACCTCTCTTGATTCAGATTCCTCACCTAAAAAACATGGATGTTAACAAAACCTATGTCTCAGGGGTGCTCTAACAACGAGTTAATACACACAAAAGCACATGAAGGATGCCCTGTGTTTACTATTATTATTATTACTTATATTCCTTAGGATAAAGACTGTATCCTTTCTTGTAACTAGCCACTGTTGCACCCTAGGTGGAGGCAGCTCAAGAAAAGAAATCACTTAGCCCAATCTTTGTTGTGCTCTCACTGCTGTGTGGCTCACACAGAGTAAATATAAATCAGTGACTATTTCCTCCGTGAACATGCAGGTGTATTATAGAGAAGACACCCCCTGTCCCACCACCCACATAAGAAAAACGGAATCTTGATGCTGGTAATACTCAGTCATCCCTTTTCCCCTAAGGAATTTGGGCTGTGACAACATCCGCATTCAGCAGCAGCAGGTCTGGGCCAGCTTTTTTTAGACTCCAATCCTTCTTACTTTTTTTTAAACACACTTGTCTCCCTCAACCTCCTTTTCCACAAACATAAAAGAAATGGGTCATATGGAAGCCAAAGAGTAGATGGTAGGAATTCACAGTCAATTGGAAAAGAGGAATGAACTGGCAGAGCAGGGACGCCTGGGCTCAAATGCTGGCCTGGCTGCTGTATCTCCACCTATGGCCTTGAAGAAGTCAACGCAAGGCTCTGAGCCTTCCCATTCCTCACCGAGTAGATGGAGCAATGATATCAAGCTCATGATCGAGGTTGGTCTCGGGAGGAACAGACAAGCTTGCAAATGAAGTGTGTAGCATCCATCAGAAGCTGCCCAGCCCTGGGTTCCACAGGCCCAAGTGCTGCTCTAAAGTGCACTGAGAGCTCAGTGTCTCTGACTCAGTGCTTTACAACTGCAAAGCCCCCAAGGGCAAGAGGACAGCTTGTTTAGATTCATCTGAGTGTCCTTTTCCCAAGAGCCTGGTACATGCTGTAAGCACACCAGGGGCACTCCACAAATATCTCAGATACCTTGGTGAAGGCCGGGTGCAACAGCTCACCCCTATAATCTCACCACTTTGGGAGATGGAGGCGGGAGAATTGCTTGAGGCCAGGAGTTCAAGATCAGCCTGGGCAACATAGTGAGAAACCGTTTCGATAAAGAAATTTGTAAATAAAATTACTTGAGAGTGGTAGCTGCGCCTATGTTCCCAGCTACTCAGGAGGCTGAGACAGGAGGATCGCTTGAGCCCACGAGGTCGAGGCTGCAGTGAGCCATGATTGTGCCACTGCATTCCAGCCTGGGCAACAGAGACAGACCCTGTCTCAAAAAAAAAAAAAAAAAAAGTCAATGAAACCACTTGCCTTTTCAGGGAGAGGGAAAGTGGACTATGGGATCGAACCTAGAATGTGGGTGTCCTGACTCCACATCCAGAGTTCGATCCACGAGACTTGGGTCTCACAGCCATTTGGCCACTCACAAAAGGACAAGAAATGTCTGAGTGTTCCAGTGTCTGGATCCAGCGGGACACAAATGGCCAAGTTTTCAAGATGGAAACGAAATAAGAGGAACACCCATCCATAATGTGAAACGTTGAAACCAAAACCAGGAAAAAGTACAGGCCCTCCCTCTCATCGGAAGCCAGAATAAAGGAAAGAGAAGGAGGCAGAGCAAAAAAGAGGGTGGAGGAAACAAAAAAGAAAGAAAAGAGCAACAGAAGCAGGGCACAGAGTCAAGAGGGAATACGATTCCCTGAGAGCTGCAGTAAGACGGAGCAGCAGAGAGCGGAAGAGCCAGGGTGAGGGCGCGGGTGCGGCGGGAGCTGGGCTGGGAGGGAGGGGCTCGAGGAGCAGAGCTACCTCGGGGAGCCCACACGAGGCCATGAAGTAACAGGAGGTCAGGAGAGTGTCACAGGCTCCACAGGGATTAGAATCCTCTCACAGGCAGCCACGGACAAATCACAGCTCCGTGAAGGCAACTGAAGGGAGGATGATTGTAAATCCACACTCGCGAGGCCAAAGCCTCAACCTGGTAGCCAAAGCAACTGCATCTCCAGGAAACAAAAGAGTCTGATTGGAAAGAAATGAAGCAGTGGGGGAGATACAGCGCTGGGCTTGGCTGGACTTCCCAGTCTGGGCCCGAGCAGGAAAATGAGAAGCATTTCAGCAAGCCAGACAGGGCAAGCCGTTTTCCTTGATTCAGAGACTTCTCCAGTTGAACCTTCCGTTCAAAAGGTGCCCTTTCATCCAGCAAGCTAAGTGGACAAAAGGACAGGGACCCGGTCCAGCTCCACACTACTCAATGTCCTCAGTAGAGATGGATTGTCCTGGACTGCCCAGTGTGCGTTCTGTCTTTTGGTAGCAGCAATGGACTTTTACAGCACCTACCCCTCCCCATGCCTTCCCCAGGTGCCCCCCTCTGGCTCTACTGTAGGGCATGTGGGTTGGGTAAAAGCCGTTGGGTAAAAGCTAACGTGTAGGCTGGGTGTGGTGGCTCACGCCTGTACTCCCAGCACTTTAGGAGGCCAAAGCGGGTGGATCACTTGGGGTCAGGAGTTTGAGACCAGCCTGGCCAACATGGTGAAACCCTGTCTCTACTAAAACTACAAAAATTAGCTGGGCATGGTGGCGTGTGCCTGTAATCCCAGCTACTCTGGAGGCAGAGGCACGAGAATCTCTTGAACCCAGGAGGCAGACGTTGCAGTGAGCCGAGACGGTGCCACCGTACTCGAGTTTGGGTGACGAGCAAGACTCCATCTCAAAAAAAAAAAATGCTAATGTGTATAATCCTACTGTCCCGTTCATAGGAGGTGGGTGCAGAGCTGGTTTATGCTCCCTAAACTGGTCCAGTAAGAGCAAAATCCAAGATTTTGTTTAATGATTGAAGAAAGGGATAGTCTCTTCCCTGCTGTATATTAATTGGAAGTACCATAGCCCCGAGGGCCATAGGTAAGCATCTTGTGATAATGAGGAGAGAATTTTCATGAACCTGGAGCCAAGCCAGGGGAAACGGGACTGAGTTTCTTCATCTAGGTTACATTATTTCTGGATCAAGGTGCTCCTGAAGTCCCCCGGGATGTTCATTTAAGCAAATCAACAAATTCCCTTTAATGATTAATCCAACTGGGGTTGAGTTTCCTGTCATATGCAAGGAAAAGACTCCTAGCACAATGTCTTACTGATTTTATGCATGATCACCTTACTTTGGGCAATCATCATCATCTAAAAATAAAAGCAAGTGCTAGAGTAAACACACGTGGGAAGCAAATTTAAGTACATTGAATCATTTCAACGTGAGGAATTAGAGGGGCTCACTACCTGTTAGAATGGCTAAACGTTTTAAAGCTGACCATATTGAGGGTTGGGGAGGATGTGGAGGAACTGGAATGTACACATACCTCCGGGAGGTTTGAGCTTTGTATAATAACTGCACTGGGAGATGGGGAGTGATGGGGAATTCACTGAGAACCATGGGGGTCCAGGGGCAGGAGGAACTCCATGTAACATAGGGCAAGATGGAACTCATCATAATGAGAATAATGCTGCCCTCTACTTTATCCTAAATCCCCTCATTCCCCATTTACTCCACTCATCCCACCCCACCTCTAACCACCACCATCAACATCTGACCTGATCTGTCGACACGGATAGGCACATCACTTGACCTCTCTGGCCTCTGCTGCCTCCACTGTGGAGTGGGAATTATATCCCAAAGGCAGAAGGCTGAGCATGTTCTCCCCAAAGCACGGAGCAGGAAAACGGCTTGGACCAGAAGCAGCCCATTCCAGGCCAAGCAGCTGCCTCTGGCTCGACTTGGCATGAGAAGAGAAACTGGGCCAGCCACATTTCCTGTACTAGGAATCTGAACCAGGGCTTACTGAGATGATGGGCAACAATTGGTGGGAGCCAAGCTGGAAGGGTCTGGGAGGAAGAGTAGAGTGATGGGGGTTCAGGGTGCATCCAAACCATGTGAAAGCCAAACCTGGGAGTGAGCAGAAGTATCAGAGAAGAGATACACAGAACAGAGGATGAAGACCTCCAGAGAGTAGTGAGGGGGAAAGAGCAGACACTCAGCAAGAAGCAGAGACAGTGGCAGCGGGGGTTGGTCACAGCCCCCAGGGCCTCCTCAGTCCCCAACACTTCCTGGTCCCCATTTTGCTCCTCTGTATTCTTCACAACCTACCCCTCCCTTTAAGGGGCCTTGCGAGGTTCAGCCAAAGATTCCTGAGGGCTCCTTTCTCCAGCTCCAGCACCCAGAAGCCTCCACCCCTGAGTGCTGCAGACTGACCGATGTCCTGCAGGAGGTGACCACGTGCCTTCTCATCTCTTACAAGGGGAAACTCCTTCATTTCAGTGGTTCACTTCTTATCAGCATTACAATTTCAGACCCAGGAATTCAAAATCCAGCCAGGCAAGGTTACTTTCTTAGACATGCAAGTCTCCTTGAAAAACTAAGAAGTCAGGAATCACTGTGTCTTCTAAAACAATCTCAGAAGACAAGAAACCAAAAAAGCCCAAATGAAAATATGGACTAAAAGCATTTCTTTGGATTACAAGGTTACAGAGAGACCAAGTGTGTGTGTGTGTGTGTGTGTGTGTGTGTGTGTGTGTGTGTGTGTGTCTGTGTGTGTCTGTGTGTGTATGTGTCTGTGTCCCTTTAGTCCATTGACCTGTTTAACCTTCCATGAGTCTCCAAGCCTGGCCCATGGAAGGAGCCTGAGGCTGAGAAGATGGAAGAATTGTGGTCCCCTCAGGGAGAGGGCAAGGATTGCCTGTAGGAGAGCTCAAGGGAGGCTTCTGGAGTACTAGAAATCTTCCATAGCCTGATCTAGGTAGTGGTTCCACAAGTGTAAGCATATGAAAAAATGCATCAGGTTGAACACTTTAGATGGGTACACTTTACCCAGGAATTCCAAAACTCCTAGGCTCCTAGGTTTATACCCAAAAGAATAGAAAGCAGGAACTCAAACAGATATTCCTATACCAGTGTTCACAGCAGCATTATTCACAAGAGCCAAACAGTGGAAACAACCCAAGTGTCCATCAACAAATAAACAAAATGTGGTCTCTACATACGATGGAATATTATTGCCATGAATAGGAATGAAATTTTGATGTATGCTGCAACACAGACAGCCCTTGGAAACATTATACATGATATATGCCAGACACCAAAGGGCAAACACTGCATGATTACACTTACACAAGGTATCTGGAATAGGAAAATTCATAGAGACGGAAAGTAGACTTGAGATTACTAGGGCCTGGGGATAGGGACAAAGGGGAAGTTACTGATAATGAGTGCAGAGTTTTTGTTGGGGATGATGGAAAAATTGGGGGTATAGATAACGGTAGCGACTACACAACACCGTGAATGTATTTAATGCCACCAAATTGAATACTTACAAATGGTTAAAATGGTTAAATATTATGTTATGTATATTTTACCACAAAAAGTCATACTTTATATACATGTTACACCTCAATTCAAGAAATGAGGAAGTCAGTTTTGGTGGCACACACCTGTAGCCCCAGCTACTCTGGAGACTAAGGTGGGAGGACTGCTTAAGCCCAGGAGTTCAAGATCAGCCTGGGCAACACAGCAAGGCCTTGTCTCTAAAAGAAATGTTTTGATACAGGGTCTCACTGTCAACCCAGGCCAGAGTGGGGTGGTGCAATCACGGCTCACTGCAGCCTCGGCTTCTCAGGCTCAGGTGATCCTCCCACCTCAGCCTCCCAAGTAGCAAGGACTACAAGCATGCACCACCATGCCCAGCTAATTTTTGTATTTTTTGTAGAGACAGGGTTTTGCCATGCTGGCCAGGCTGGTAGTGAACCAGGGCTCAAGCACTTCTCCTACCTTGGCCTCCCAAGTGCTGGAATCACAGGCATGAGCCACCATGTCTGGCAAAAAAAAAAAGAAATCTTTATTATTATTATTTAAAAATAGATAAAATTTTTTAAAAAGATATGGGGAAGTGTAGTTGGTCCCATTGACACTCTGAGAGCTGTAAACACCTTTTTTCCATTAGAAGACACATCCATATCCATGCATCCAGGATACTTTGCTAGGCCATGTAGCAGATCTTGGATTCAAACTCAGGTCTGTGAATCCAGAGGCCAGGACTAAAGACCCTCCTATAAATCAACCCCTCTCTTCTAAGCTGGTCAATCCATTCTGCTCAGGCTGAGGACTGTCCCCAGCTTGCCAGGGACAGCTGCAGCTGCTGACCTCTCTTTACTGGGTGGCTCAACAACCTGGGTCACTTGGAGCCAGTGTCCTTCCTGCATCTGAGCTGGCCCCAGGGTGCTTATGAAGCCTCTCTGTCTGCAGAAAACACCTGGTTCCCTTGTCTATAAAAAGCAACTAGCTCAGAAGGTGTGGCTGAAACCAAAAATGACAAAACATCCCAAATCCAATGATGAATTTAATCCCACCTGGCACCAGGAAGCATAGACAGGCACTATTCACTCCACCCTTCCTCTTCTGGGTTGGAATAAATATAGATGCCCATGACACCAACTTTCCACCCTCTGTGCACACCAACTTGTTCTACTCCACCAGGTACATTGGAACAACATGTTTGTGACAAAGATCTCACAATAACATCAATTCAATAACATCAACAACCTTTGAAGAGAGAAAGGAAGCCCTTCCATAGACCATGGAGTTTAGAGGTTAAAGTATCCTTCAAGATCATCCCACCAAATCTCTTCATTTTCCTAGAAGAAAAAATCATAGGGAGGGGGTAATGAGGATGACTGATATTCAGGGTTAGATAGCCCCAAGTTTGAACTCGACTTTGATACTTACTAGTCATAAGATCTCAAAAAAGTTGAGTTACAGTCTTTGAGGCATCATTTGCTCATCTGAAAAATGGGGATAATAATACCAACCCCACAGAATTGTTGTGAGATGAAATAAGATTAAATGACCTAGAGCCTGGCAGGTGCCTTTCTCACTGTGGTAGATATTCTTCATCATCACTGTCATCATTAGGATCATCATCATCATCATCATCATCAACATCATCAAGAAACTAAGGCCCAGGGAGATGAAGAATGTGTCCAAAATGGCACGGCTGTGGCTTGTGTCAAAACAAAGTGTCCCACACCAATAGCTTTTTCCATTTCATCACCCTGACACAGCACTATTGCCTGGGCCTAGAAATTTACAGCACTTCATGGAAAATGTGTGAAATTATACAGCTTTTCCACATTTCCAAATTAGAAGCCCAGCTTGATGTTTAAGAGTCTTCAGCACAGAAACAGGCTTTGGAGAGTATGAATGTTAAAACCAAAGAGTGTGAGCTTCTGCCCTCTCTCCCTCCACCTCAGAGCCTGGAATTCTCAAGGGGGTTAGCAACACGGCTGAAGGAGGCCCAGATGGTTCACCTACAGGAGCGACGCACAAAGCCTGCCCAAGAAGGCCACTGAACTGTTAGAAAGCCAAAGTCTGAAAGGAGGGCTAAGATGAAATTGTGAAGGGAACAGATAATGACCATCATAGTAACATTTGTGGAGTACCTAGTAAGTTATGTGCAAGAGACCATTTTAAGCACCTTACATCCATTAGATTTTTTTAACCCTCCAACCCTATGAAATAGGCAAATGAATCACCCACAAGTGAGTAAGCTGAAGCAAAGGGAACGTTACAGACTCACTTCTCAGGGGGATTTTTCACTTCTCGTTGCTGAGATATGGCTACATCAGGATACCCAACTTGCCTTCCAAAACCTTGGAACTTCCAGGTTTTGCTAGGTTGTCTTTCCATCCAAAATGCCTTTCCTCTGTCTCTGTTTGGTGTAATCCTATTCCTCCTTCAAGGCTTAGCAGAAATGTTATCTCCTCTGACTTTTCCAGGCATCATTATCCATTTTGCCTTCTGACTCATTCACCTGGAAGCTCAGCACTTACCATGCTGTATTACAGTTAACTGATGGGGGGCAGGAGGCACAGTGTGTGCATGCACACGTGTGCACACACATACATGCAAGAATGCTCCTACACCAGTGGGTGAGCTCAAGAAGGGCTAGAATTGTGTTTCATTTGCCTTTATATCTCCAGGATAGTATTGTTTGGTGCACATAAAAGATGGCCAATAAAGATTTGTTGGAATTCTTTTTTTAATACCTATAGTCACACAGTTTGTAGTTGGAGACACTAGGACATCATCAATAAGAACTTGTCCCCCAAATCCAAGAGCTCACGTGATCTGTTGAAAGATATTATCTCCAAAGTTGTTGTTGGTTAAATGTGCACAGGAACACAGCTTCAAACGAGTAGTTTACCATTATGAGTTAATTGAGCAAGTGGACAAAGATACATATTCAAGGATGTTCATTACAGCCTTGTTTATAATGGAAAAAAACGAAGCACCCTAAATGGCTAGCCATGGAGGACTGGTTAAAGATATCTCAGTGTGTACCTAAAATGAAATGCAATGTCACTTTTAAAATGATTAGATACATCTCTGTGTACTGATATGAAAAGCTCTCTGTGATGTATTCCTGAGTTTTTTTTTAAAGCAGATTACAAAACTGCATCATTAATATTTAGGCACACTTACATAACTGAACATCTTCACATGTGCTTAGAGGGAAGTTTTGAAGTGAGTTCACCAAAATTAACAGTAATTATACTTGTGTGGAGATACTTTGGGTAGTTTTTACTTTCTTTTTATACATTTCTGTACTCATTAAACTTTTTACTTTGAGAATGCATTGTTTATATAACCAGAAAAAAACAGTAATTATATTTTTATTTTGGAAAAAAATCTGTATAATCTCAAAAGAGGCTTTATAGATTCATGGGTGACAAAGCTCCAAACTGCTTCCTGAAAAGAGTTAGAGACCCTTAAACGTAGAGGGTGCCATTGCCTGTCCAGGAACCCTAATTTTTCCTTCTGGGAAATGAATGTAGTACCACTGCTCTGCCTACCCCACAGGGCTGCAACAAGGAGCTAATGGGTTTGAAACTGTTTTGAAAAATAAAAAGTACAAATAGATGTAAAATGTGAATTCGTATGATAATTTAATCATTGCTGATTAGGAATTTGCAATAAACTGGTAAGGCATGTGATACGGTTTGGATTTGTGCCCTTGCCCAAATCTCATGTCAAATTGTAATCCCCAATGTTGGAAGAGGGACCTGGTGAGAGGTGATTGGATCTTTGGAGTGGATTTCCCTTTTGCTGTTCTCATGATAGTGAATGAGTTCTCAAGAGATCCAGTGGTTTAAAAGCGTGTGGCACCTCACACCTCTCTCTCTTCCTCCCGCTCCGGCCGTGTAAGCCGTACCTCCTTCCTCTTCCCCTTCTGCCATGACTGTAAGTTTCCTGAGGCCTCCCCAGCCATTCTTCCTGTACAGCCTGTGGAACTGTGAGTCCATTAAACTTCTTTTCTTTATAAATTACCCAGTGTCAGGTAGTTCTTTATAGCAATGTGAGAACAGACTAATACAGCATGCTTTACTGTGATTTCAAATGCCAATGGGGACCAGGCAGGTCAGAGAGACCTTCAGGGCCTCTGGAGTCCTGGCCCAGTGATTTCTGAAGAGAAACCTGAAATCTAGATTTTTATGTGAATTATCTCAATTTTTAAAAATTGGCACCTAATTTAAAAAAATTTCAAACATCATGCCATCCCTATAAAATGCATCCTCCAAACCACACACATTTGCAATTTCTGGTATATATTCCCCTAACTTAAAGCTCAAGATTAACTCATTTATCTCTTGTCTATTGACATAGTTATATACCATCATTCCCAGGACTGAAGTACTTCTTGAATTTAAAAGAAAGATCCCACTATGAGCAGTCTAATTTTAGACTTAGATGCCTTATTGCATTCTTGTTTCAATTGATAGTTTTTATATGACATAAAAAGCAATTCATTATTAACCAGAATATTAAACTAATAAGAATATCCTATATGTCCTAATCATGTCAAATGACAGAATTCTGAATAAAAACTGTGCACTATATTTATGTTTGTGCAATTACATATATACCTATACTCAAAGGTGTGAATGTGTCCTTATCTACACATAGTATGTTTTCAAACCCAAAGAAAACACACCTGTCCTTTTAAAAAGGCACTGTGTTTTTTATTTTTAATTGTAATCTGAAAGATGTTAGCAAAACACAATTGAATGGCACATCTTTATTTTTATTGTATATATTTAAGGTGTACAAAATAGTGTTTATATATATGTGGGGGGGTAGATAGAGAAGTGATAGCAATAGTGAAATCTACATACTTATCACGTTCCATAGTTACCACGTGTGTGTGTGTGCGCGCACATGCAGTAAGAACATCTATTAATTCTACTCTCTTGGCAAATTTTCAGTCTATAAAACAGTATTATTAACTATAGGCTTCATGCTATACATTAGATTTCTAGACTAAGGTGTCCTACCTCATTGCAAATTTGTACCCTTTAACCTACTTCTCTCCTTTTCCTCCCGCTATTATCCTCCATTCTACTTTCTCTTTGTACTTATTTGACTTTTGTCAGGAGTGGTGGCTCACACCTGTAATCCCAGCACTTTGAGAGGCTGAGGCAGTAGGATCACTTAAGCTCAGGAGTTTGAGACCAACCTAGGCAACATGACAAAACCCCATCTCTACAAAAAATACAAAAATTAGCCGGGTGTGGTGGCGCATGCCTGTAGTCCCACCTACACAGGAAGCTGAGGCAGGAGGATCACTTGAGCCCAGGAGGTGGAAGTTGCAGTGGCCTGAGATCATACCACTGCACTCCAGCCTGGGCAACAGAGCCAGAACTATCTCAAAAAAAAAAAAAAAAAAAGATTTGCAAGTAAATGATATTATATAGTACTTTTCTTTCTGTGTCAGCATAATGTCCTCCTAAGTATCCATCCACCGACAAATGGATAAAGGTACTTTGGTATACATAAGTGGAATATTATTCAGCCTTTAAAAAAGGAGAGACTGCCATTTAAAAATCTTATCTCCAAATACAGCCACATTCTGAGGTCTTGAGGGTTAGTCTTTCAACATAAGGAATTTAGGGGGACATGAATCAACCCATAGCACTCCATGAAAGGGGCTTTTCAGTGCTGCCCCAGACTTCTCAGCCTTCTCTCCTGCTTGGTAACCCCCTCCTTGTTCTTGAGTCCCAGATCGACATCACACATGGGGTGGGAGATAGCAGGACACCACAACAACATGGTTGAACCTGGATGGCATATTAATGGGGTCCAACCCCACATTAAAAGGTTGAAGCTTCACTGCTTCCAACAATCACGAAAATATACTCCAAATAATTCATATACATCTGTGTGGATAAATAGATGGATGAAAGGATATGAAGAAAGCTTATAAAAGTATGCACAATATAATAAAAAGAGAATAAAATCATAGATATGGGAAAGGAAGGCTGTGCAGCAGGACGATGTCAGGGAAAATTAGCACGCAAAGACCCATGGTGCCAGCCCTACATACTCATGTACAGACTGCAATCCCAGCAACCAGGACAGACAGATGCTACTCATCAGATATTCTCAATGTGTTGCTATCACAATCGACGATTTTTGTTCTCCTGGTGATGAAACTAAATGACATAAAGTCTATCCTATGGCCCTAAGCTAAAGATGACAGATCAACTAAAAATATTCTGAGAGCATTAGGAAATAGAAGGCCAAGAATCTTGCTATGCCTTTTATTCAGCATTCTGAGACCATCCATACCCAGTTCTGTGACTGTCCACTGACTTCTTTTATCCCAAGACAGACTCCTATGCACACACTGTCATCATTCACTTACTTCAAAACTCCAATTTAAAAAAAAAATAAGAAAGGCCACATTTTAAACTAGGCCAGCCTTTAATATGTGCAGACAAAAGACAAACAGTCCCAAAATAACCCCACCCACACCTCTTCATCTCCACACCCACCGTATTCAGAAGGACTTTTCATACTGTTCATGTTGTCCAGAGTCCTAGGACTCTGATGAAAACCCTGTAGCTGCTTCTACCAAAACACCATGCAGTGTGGTGTCGATCTGGGATTCAGGAACAAGGAGAGGGGTTACCAAGCAGGAGAGGGGAAGGCTGAGAAGTCTGGAGCAGCACTGAAAAGCCCCTTTCATGAGTGCTATGGGCTGAACTGTGTCCCCCTAAATTCCTTATGTTGAAGGCCTAACCCCCAGGACCTCAGAATGTGACTATATTTGGAGATAAGTCTTGTAAAGAGGTGATTAAGGTAAAATGAGGTAATACAGATGATTACCTCATTACCTCATTTGCCTAATTAAAATGACTGGTGTCCTTACAAGAAAAGGAGATTAGAACATAGACACACACAGAGAGAGATCCATGTAAAGGCACAGGAAGAAGATGGCCATCTACAAGCCAAGCACAGAGACCTCAGGAGGAACAAACCTGGCAGCACCTTCATCTCCAACTTCCAGCCTCCAGAACTGTGAGGAAATACATCTCTGTTGCTCAAGTCACTCAATATGTTATGGCAGCCCTAGCAAACTAATGGAGGGATTTAAAAACAACCACAATAACTCTTCAGTTATTGGGGAGGCCATCTTGATGAGAGGTTCTTGCTGATGAGAAAGAACTCTTGAAGAAGGAAAGATGGCCTCTTGCATGCTAGGGCTGTACATTCTCAGTTCATCCTTAAAATTTTGCTCTACTTTACTACCTCTCATTGTTTGATTGTTTGTCCAGCCTTAGACTTTTCAATCTTCTAGTTGAGAAATCTCAACTGCTATTTCCCACCATCTTGATGCCGACTGTTGCAATTCAAATGTACGTTCAAAAATACCAGGCTGGTGAGAAGGAAGATGGGACTCGGCGGGATGAAGATGGAGCTGGGGAGAGTGGCAGTGACATCTGTGAAACGTGAACAGATGAACAACGTAATAGCATTTATAAGCAGTTCACCGTGACCCTTATATTGGCTACACATTTGACATGCCAACTCATTCAATCATGTCACGTTACCCCACAGGTGCAAAAATGGACACGGAACTGTTGCATGGTGTGTCCGAGACCACATGCTAAGTGGTGGAGCCAGCACGTGGATCCAGCCAGTCTGGTTCCAGAGCCTGCGCTCTTAACTCCCACCTCTCAGTGAGTTCCCCTCCTTTCTCATGGGGCTTGGGCTTCCCAGAACTTGATACAAACTAGGTCTCTCCCAGCTGTGGCAGAAATGCAGCCCAAACTCCCATAATTTAGATAAAGGGTGGTTCACTAGACAGGACTGAATCTAGGACACCAGTGAGTTGCTGGGGTTTTGCATCTCTCTTCTCTGCTTCTCTCTGAATGTTAGCTACATGTTTCCTACTAGTGATGGGCCCTCTCCATGTGGTGGGAAAGATGACCATGAGAAGCCCCAAGTTCACTTCATGCCAACACAGCAAGCTCAGAGGCAAGAGGCAGGCATTCCCACCAGCACCAGGAGGAATGTCCTGGCCATCTGGAACCATATGACTGCAGGACAGTGTTCTGAGTGGCCTTGGACCAACCCACTCAAGAGTTCTGCTCACTCTTGCTGGTAGATCTCATGAATAACTATAGAATGTACTGAGAATGTAACACCCTGAGATACGGAGGGACTGGCTGAACATCTTGGGCTCTGGTCCAGCCTCCCCTAGAAACAGAATGTCCCCCAACACTTTAGCCCAGTGAGTCATGTAACCCTGTGGTATGTAACCCGGGTAGGTGTCCTTACAGGGTCCCTATTCTACAGTGCAATTCAGATATGCACCGTTCAGACTCCATCCACCCCAGGGAGCTTTCTTAGCATTGGGAGACCAACTCACAATGAATCCTAGGCTTCTGTGTCCCTTGCTGCCTACCTATAAATAGTGGATCCACTTCACATAATTTGTTGCATATGAGTATGTTCTGTCTCTCTGGACTCAGACAGATTGGTAAGCAGTGCACAGTGAACCTGCTTCACAGACCTTCCCGGGACAGATAACTGTCACCAGGGCAGTTATTTGGCAGTACCAACTTGAATCACGTCTCCACACTCGTGATTGGCGCTGGGGTGTGGCAGTTTGTTACCAAGTGAAGAAAAAAGAAGCATTAGCTGAAGTTTGACCTAGATAGGCAAAGATGTTGCCCAAAGTATCACAGCTAGGGAGCTAGAGAACTTAGCATCCAGGCCGCAAGAAGCCATGAAAGAGGTCCTGTTGGAAAGTTCTCCAGGTGCAGAACGCTCCATACTTCTAATACCATTTGCATAAGAAAGGGTAAAAGTAAGAGTGTCTATTCCATTTGTATTTGGGTAAAGAAACTCTGGAGAGACAGATGCACAAAAAAACTAGTACAAGTGATTCCTTACAGGGTGTGGGAAGAACAGAGTGGACAGAGATCGGAATGGTTGTGAGATTGCTCACTGTATGTCTCTCTGTATGCTGTTTTTATTTTTAATCATTTAAAAATATTACCAGTTTTGGCAGGGCGCAGTGGCTCATGCCTGTAATCCCAGCGCTTTGGGAGGCCGAGGCGGGTGGATCACCTGAGGTCGGCAGTTCGAGACCAGCCTGACCAACATGGAGAAACCCCATCTCTACTGAAAATACAAAATTAGCCGGATGTGGTGGCACGTGCCTGTAATCCCAGCTACTCAGGAGGCCGAGGCAGGAGAATCACTTGAACCCGGGAGGCGGAGGTTGTGGTGAGTGGAGATTGCGCCATTGCACTCCAGCCTGGGCGACAAGAGTGAAACTCTGTCTCAAAAAATATATATATATAATATATATATGTAATATAAAAATATAAACATATATATAAAATATATATATGTATATATAAATAAACATATATATAAACATATATATAACCAGTTTTTAAATATATGTAAATTAAATTAAAAGTAACCCCAAAAATTCATAAACGAAAGATAGGAGGGAAACAGGCTAAATGATAACAGTACCTGTCTTTGGATGTTAAGTCTAAGCATAATTTTTTTCCCTCTGAATTTGTTTTCCAAATTTCTTCAGATGAACACGTATTGCATTTTATAATGAAAAGAAAAGAAACTAAAAGGTCTAAACTAGATAAAAAATATTTTCAGAATTATTTCTGCTGTGTATATTCATCAATCACATGACCCATGATGCAGAAATAATAATAATTCTGAAAATATCCTATCAAATGATTTTTTCTTTCCTGTAAATCAAGTCACCCTACAGCTCCCCAACCATTCATTGCCTCAGAGGGCCAAGCAATGGCTGAGCTTTGAATTTCAAATAAGATTTGTGATGGCAACAGCAAAAAAAAATAGTTTTGAAAGTCAGGCTTCATTAAGAAAAGGGATTTTTAGACTCCAAAGTGCTTCCCTTGCAAAGAACACTGCGTGCTAGTCTGAATGCACTAGTTGGAGAAAAGGCAGGATTTGACAAGAGGGGAGCTCTCTCCCCCACAGAAAGAAAGAAGAGCCCCTTTGGCCTGGAGAGTGGCTCGGAGGAAGCAGAGAGATTGAGAGGGGTGGAGGAGGTGGGGTGATGGTCTCACCCTCAGCCTGATCTCTGCAGACCCAGCAACCATACCCCTTCCTGAACCTTGGCTAGATGGGTGAGGGAGAGCTCCAGCAAGCAAGAAGAACCCCCAGATAAATCAAGGGAAAGGAAATTGTTACAAACTGATTTGTGTTCCCCCAAAATTCATACATTCAGGGCCAACCCCTGGATATCAGAATGGAACCATCCTTAGAGATAAGGTCTTTAAAGACATGATTAGGTTAAATGAGGCCTTAATGGTGGAGCCCTAACCCAGTAGGACCAGGGCCCTTATAAGACGAGGAAGAGACACCAGGGACACACATGCAGAGAGACAACCGTGTGAAGAGGCAGCAAGAAAGTGGCAGCCTGCAAGCTAAGGAGAGAGGCCTCAGGAGAAGCCAACCCTGACAGCCCCTTGATCTCGGACTTCCAGCCTCCAGATAAATTACCATTGCTTAAGCCACCCACTCTGTAGCATTTTGTTACAGCAGCCCTACCAAACTAATACAGAAACCATCTCGCAGAATGTCCCTGCTACAACATCATATGGCCAAGCAAAATAGAAATAGCCACGTGTCGTGGTTAGGCCAAGAGGCCAGGCTGAGACAGTGCTCCTAGTGGGCAGTGGTCAGGAGACCCAGAGGCTCCCTTGAGTACTGGTTGGGAGACAGGATCTGCCAGTACCAGCAGACCCAGAGAGGCCCACACAGTGGGACCAGCCTGCGTCCAAACACAAGGACCTCACCACCAAGGAAATGGAGAAATACTGATGTCAGTAGTGGGTGCTTCTGTGGCCCCAAAGAGACCAGGAAAAGTGAAAACCTCCATTCAGGACACGTGCAGGATGTCAGGGACTGGGTCCCATCAGCTGCGCCACAGCAGGGTACAAAGGAGGGCTGCAGAAGCTCCCCACACAGTCACAGCGCTATTGAGCACCCACTGGCCCCTTGAGATCTCCTGGGGAAAATGGAAGGAGAAGCGGGAGGGAAGAAGCTCTAAAAGATGATCCCAGCCCCCAGCCCCCCACCTGGGTGCAGTGGCTCATGCCTGTAATCCCAGCACTTTGGGAGACCAAGCTGCAGAATCACTTAAGGCTAGGAGCTCAAGATCAGCCTAGGCAACATAGTGAGATTCCCATCTCTACAGAAAAAAAAAAAAAAAAAAAGATTATTTCTCCCCAAAGAGTCTTTTCATTCAGAAGTATTTAAGTTCCCTTTAACTACCAAGTTAGAAGTTTTTCCACCATATTTTTGTTGCACCTCTGCATTGCTGTGGATTCATTTCCAACCAAACCATGGGTGTTAGTGATGGTAAGAAGACATCTATAAATGAGACATCAAGAAAAATGACCTAAACTTGGCCAAAGCAGTTATTAAGCCTCAGGCGTCATAGCACAGAATTCAAACTGCCTTGAAGGACATGCAAGCGGGTAGGGTTCCAGGACCCCTAAAGGAGCTGCTTGGGCCCTCTCTTGAGATGTGGCGGGGACCCCAGAAGAAACGTTTTATGAGATTCTGGTCGGTCTCACTCGAGGGTGAGTTCCTGCCCAACAGCTTGGAGGTCTTCCTGCTTTTTTCCATTTTTAAAAGAGCAGATGTTCTCCTGGGAAAGAGATATTTAGCCACCCAAACAAATCAGAGAAGCGGAGGAATGGAAATAAACCAGGCATCTGCCTGCCACCGTGGCAGTGCCCAAAGAAATCACATTAGCTGGAGGGGAACATCCGGCCTGAGCGAGGGCTGCTCAGCTTGGCGTGGTTCCTGCCCAGAGCCAATGACGAATACGACTCTTTGTTCTGGTTCTCGAAGTGAAGACGGTCTGTGGGCTTATTTGTCTAGTTTGTTGACTCTCATAAAAGACATTCATAAATTTATTCTTGGTGCCAGGGGTGCTTACTGGTGTCAAAGTGGAGTCTTTTCAGACAGTTGCTCCGTGTTAAAACAAGCCACTCAGATGCATCTATAAATAATTGTCTGGGGCTTCGTTGAGCTAACAAACAGCTTTTTCCCCCCTCTCTCCTCTCTTTTTAAAATCAACTCTAAAATGATTTCATAAACAACGAGAGGAATTTCCCATTAATATTAAAGTGTGTCTGGGTTGGTCATTTTAATAGAACTTTCCAGAGGGAACAAGCAGTTCTTCCATCTTGTCCATATGAAACCTGTTCCCTTTTCAGACTAAGACATTTGGCAGCCCAGCCTCACTAGGACCAGTCATAGCTTCCTCTCCCCACCACCCTATGTCCATCTCTTTCTCTGATTTAGCCAAATAGAAGGATAAAAAGGCAGTAAGCAGCTGCAGCCTGGGCCCATCAGGAGAGCTTGTCACCACCCCGAGGCCTTTGGGGTTTCCACTTCAGGGTTTCCACTCTGACCTCAGGTCTCCAGAATTTTGTTTTTCAAGCCATCTTGGTTAGAAATTATGGCTGTGTCAGTTTCACTGATATAACAAAATTCCCTCCTGCCAGCCCCCCTGCAAATAACGGTAGCTTAAATAAGACAGAAATTTATTTCTCCTTTACATAAAAGAAGTTCAGAGGTAGAAAGCCCTGGGCTGGTATGCTGGCCCCACAGTGTCACCTTCTGTCTTCAAAATTTACCATTATTGGCAGGTCACCTCATGGTCTAAAACAGCTGTTGAAGTCCAGGCATCATGTCTGCATTCCAAGCACCCAGATGAAGAAAGAGTAGGTAAAGGTTATTCCTTCTCATTCAAGGACATTTCTTGGAATTACCACACAATACTCCTTACACGTCATCAGACAGAATCTAGTCAGATCACCTCACCTAGCTGCAAGGGAGGCTGGGACATGAAGTCTTTTCAGCGAGGCAGCAGTGTTATTTGAAAAGGAAGAATGGACTTCGGAAGGCCACCAGCCATCTAGGCCATGAGGATGAGTGCATTTGATAACCTCCCATAGAGTCTTCCAGCAACTACAAATCCACACCCCCACACAATCCTGCCACTGCCCTATTTTTAAAGAGTTTCCATTTTCACATCCCTTCCCTTTAAAACTCATTATCTTACTTTTTTTTTTTTCTGAGTTGGGATTCTGAGAAGTTGGACCACTAGTCTGATTTAAGTTTAGTTCTCACCAGGTCAGGAACACACATTGGCTTAAACTCCTGCCCCATGAACTGCCTCCCATATTCTGAAGGTCATAAGAAACCAGGCATGTAGATCATTCCAGAAGGATTTCTATAAATACAACTCAAAATAAAAAATGTGAGTCTTGCTTCATTCCTGCTTCATGCAGGGACCAGCAAAAATCTTCTGGGCCTTGCGAGGCCCACTAGGGAAGTTACCAAAGTCAAGATCAACAGCAAAGCTGCTATGGCCAGAATTAATGTGGATGGACAAACCCACTGCCTGGGCCAGCCCTGCAGACATGACGGACAGTCAGTTGCTCCCTTGGCCCCAGCCTGGATTCTGAAGATCAACCTCAGCTTGGACCCCACACCTTGTTTGAGACTCCAGACACCGGCCCTGCTTTGTCACGTGGTATTTCAGCAGACCATACGTGGTCTTTATTAGCTGGCCTCCTGGTGCCCTCCTGCCCTTATATGCCACCCCACCAGCCCAGCTCAGTGTCTGCTCTACTCCACACCAGCCTCATTACTGACACAACGAACGCCATTGAGGATGGAGTGTCAGAACATCCTCAACATGAAATCCACCCACCTACACTGGGTGGGTCACATGAGTAGAGTGAGTGGTATTAGGATGCCCATGCAGTTGTCATAGAAAGGTGAAGTAAAAAAACAAGTAGGAATGGCAAGGAAAAACAAGCCACAAAACAGCCTTCCTTATATTGGATTCCGTGACATACCAGCTCCATGCAATGTTGATAGGTGTGTCCAACCCTGAAAGCCTGTTCAGCTAAGTTTAGAAACCGTTGCCTTTAGAAATTAATAACTTAACAAATTAAAGCTTCTGAGAAGGCCTGCAATAAAGAAAGCTACTTGTTTCCCTCATTTGGCCCAGCATTTTCTCAACTGCTTAACTACCCCACCTTTCCTTCTGGAATGTCTATTAATGTCTCATAAAACCAAGGTTCATCAGGACACTAAATGATGCAGTAAAGCACTGATGGCCATAGCTACTTCTCTGACTCTGGAATCAAACCACTGACATTCAAATCTCGGCTCTAGCATTTTTTTAGCAGTCTGACTTGAGCATGTTATTAAATCTCTTTGTGCTTAGTTTCCTCATCTATAAAATAGGGGTAATAATAGTATCGACTTCATAGAGTTGTTGCAAGGATTAAGTGAATTATGCATATGGAATTCTGAAAACAGAATAAAGTTCATTATGATGTGATGACAATGATGAAGATGACAATGAAGATGATGATGATGACAACCCTGATGATGTTGATGATGAGGATGACAACAACTTTCTCCTGGAAACTTTCCACAGCTTATGAGTATGTTTCTCCCAGTGGCCAGCACTATGGTTATGATTGTCTCTACATCTCCAACATCTAACACAAGGCCTGGATGCTCCATAAATATTTGTTGAATGACTAACAGATGGAAACCTGAAGTACAGCATAAGAAATCACAAAAAGCAACAGACTCTTTGGACAGTAGCTACAGGTAAAAATCAAAGCACTTCCCCCAGGAAACGGGACTTATATCTGTCTTCCCAAACATGTAAGCAGGTCATTGGACACCTAGAGTGTGGAACGACAACTGGATGTCACACACGCCATCCCACAAGCTGAAATAGCACATTGGCACCTTTCTTCCCCCTTCAGCTAATTTATTGATCTACCACGTGGCCTGGGTTAGAAACAAGGGTTGGCTAACTGTACCATACTATTTTGATCCTTGGTCTTAGTGAATGTGAACAAGAAAACTTACAGAGAGGGTCAGCAGCTGGTGCAAGAAGCTGAAGTTGGAACTCAAAGAGAGAGAAAGAGACAGAGAGGGTCAAAAGTGGAATTGGTAAAGAAGAGAGAGGGACAGAGAGAAGTCAGGTGGTGGTGGTAGCAGGTGTGGTGGAAGCCTGGAGAGAACAAGTTTGGTCAAGCTGCAAAATCAAGTACAGAGCCTCTTCCTGGAGGAGGAAAGCTTTGTGGCCAGCAGTGTCCATTGGCCTGGAAACTCCACAGACATTTTGAGGACCCTAAGATGGAGGGAAGAAGGCAGGAGGAACTCAGCTAGGAGTGGAGGAGCCAAAATATGTCCAGCAGCAGCAGCCACAAGAGCACCCTTTGGGGGAGGCTCCTATTACATGCCCCTGCCCACAGCCCCACAACCAGGGCCTGAGCATTACACAGTTAGAACAAAAATACAACCTTCTACAAGATACAAGCAATAGTACAGAAGCCAGTCTTGGAGGTTTCCCCTTACATGCTGTATTAGTCCATTCTCATGCTGCTAACAAAGACATACCCAAGACTGGGTAATTTATAAAGAAAAAGAGGTTTAATGGACTCACAGTTCCACATCACTGGGAAGGCCTCACAATTGTGGCAGAAGGCAAAAGAGGAGCCAAGGCACATCTTACATGGCAGCAGGCAAGAGAGTGTTTACAGGGGAAACGCCCTTTACAAAACCCTGAGCTCTCATGAGACTTATTCAGTATCACCAGAACAGCACAGGGAAGACCCACCCCCATGATTCAATTACCTCCCACCAGGTCCCTCCCATGACATGTGGGGATTATGGGAGCTACAATTCAAGATGACATTTGGGTGGGGACACAGTCAAACCATATCACATGCCCAATTCCTGCTGCAGCCCAGCTCTGGATTTCCTCAGTCCTTCCTTATTCTTCTGTGTACACATCTACGTATTTACACACCCATACCTGCAGGCCCATACTTTGCTTACATGGTGATAAAGGTCCCTGAGTCCTTACATCACCTTGTCTGCCTCAGCTGTGGCCCACCATGGGGAATGGAGGGAGCCCTGCCCAGGCTGAAGATAACGTTGGGGGCTGGGGAGCAGGAGAAAGCCAAGAGCAGCCTCATGTGGGAACCCAGAGTCATCTCTCCTCACGCACAGCCTGCCTGTGGCTCCCCATTTTTGTCTCGTTAAAGCCATGCCCTCCCAGCTTCCAAGATTCCCCACCATGTGGCCCTGCCTCCCTTCCTTCCACACACACACTTCCATGCACGTTCCCAACACAAGAGACTTCACGCTGGCTGTTCCCTCTGCCTGGGACACTTTTCCCCTAGGCAGCCACCTCCCCGCTTCAAGTCTCTGCTCCAATCTCACCTTCCATGAGAGACCCACCCTCAACCCCTAGATACTGCTCCCACCTGCTGCCCCATCGCCTATCTCAGTCCCTACACCCTGCATCTGGTAATAGACAGGTCATTTATTTGCTCATTGTTAACTGTCCAATCCCCACAAAATGTAAGCTCTGTACCAGCACACATCTCAGCCTATGTTGGTCAACAACGCACTTGAAGCGCCTACACATGCCCCTTATGTCACAGGCACCAGGGAGGAAGTGTTGGAATGGACACATGGAGGTGGGAGGAGGAAGTGCTAAGTCACAGTCAGGGGAGGTGGGCTTTCCTGCAGCCACAAAAGGCAGGGGTGCAGTGATTTTATTTGGCTATTAAAGAAAGAGGCGGAAATTTGGGTAACTGAGATGGTGGAAGGGGTATGTAGAGAGCTATAGTCTCAAAAATACAAACAGCCAATTTTCTATGGGGTTGGGATTATGAGTGCTTTGCACTTCTATTTTATATTATGCATATATAGTGAACATGGATCAATATTTATGTGTAATATATACATTTATGTAGTAAATATAAATAAATATAATATGAATTATAATTATATAAATGTAGACATTTATACATAAATATAAATAAATACTTATAAATATATAGTTATATAAATATAAGATAAATATGCTTCATATAGTATATTAGAAATGTTATATTTATATCTTATATATTTACGAATTTATATATTTTATATGCTGTTTGAGTGTTTATAATGAACCTACATGTGATTTTGTTAATTTTTATTGAAATCCTCTATGGAAAAGCACAGTGAATGAATGCGCACAGCAACATCCACTGCGTGCATGCAGAGGAGACTCTGGCCCCTGAGATCTGAGGTCAGCCTCTGAGGTCAGGGACACGGCACCGTGAGCATTAAGGGAGGACATGAGACCCTTGTGGTATAACCATCTGGGACCCAACCTTAATCTAGTCTCCTCCTCTAGTCACACAGCCCTGATGTTCCTTGGGAAAGTGCCACACATGCACGCATGCACACACACACACGCGCACACACACACACACACACACACACAGTGCACAGATAAGGTGACCAGGCCTGGTCACTCAGAGCATCAGAGATTAGTTCAGGGATGTGCATGTGACCCAGTCAGAGTGCCTTCCATGGCCCTTGCTGAAGACCTAAAAGCAAAGCACAGTTGACCCTTGAACAACGCAGGGGTTGGGGCTCTGACAGCCCATGCAGTGGAAAATGTACACGTAACTTTTGGCTTACCAGAAACTTAACTACCAATAGCCTACTGTTAACTGGAAGCCTTACCATTAACATAAATAGTTGAATTAGCACATATTTTTTATGTTCTATGTATTATACACCGTTTTCTGTTTTTTGTTTTTTGAGACAGAGTCTCACTCTTGTCTCCCAGGCTGGAGTGCAGTGGTGCCATCTCAGCTCACTGCAACCTCCGCCTCCCGGATTCAAGTGATTCTCCTGCCTCAGCCTCCCGAGTATCTGGGATTACCAGCAGGCGCCACCACACCTGGCTAATTTTTGTACTTTTGGTAGAGATGGGGTTTCACCATGTTAGCCAGGCTGGTCTTGAACTCCTGACCTCAGGTGATCTGCCCGCCTTGGCCTCCCAAAATGCTGGGACTACAGGCGTGAGCCACTGTGCTCGGCCTACACCGTATTCTTACAATAAAGTAAGCTAGAGAAAAGAAAATGTCATTAAGAAAATCACAAGGAAGAGAAAATATATTTACTGTTTTTTAAGTGGAAGTGGATCATCACAAAGGTCTTCATCACCTTCACATCAAGTAGGCTGAAGAAGAGGGAGGGGTTCGTCCTGCTGTCTCCCAGGTGACACAGGCAAAAGAGGTGGAGGAGGTGGAAGGAGAGGCAGAAGAGGCAGGCACGCTCGGTGGAACTTTTAGTTTTTTAAATCCACATGTAAGTGGACCCGCACTGTTCAAACCCATGTTGTTCAAGGGTCACCTCTACTCTCTTTTTCCACTGTTGGCGGCCATCCCCCCACCATGAGGTGAACACCAGCCTGAGGACAGAGCCAACAGAGAGGGAAGCAGAGGCAGGAAACAGAGCCCCTGCTACACCATCTGGACACCTGAGTGCAGCCATGCCTGAAGCCAGCCTGCCCTTGTCCTGCTCAGTGTGATGAGCTCATTGTGCTTAGGTCAGTTTTCTTAGATGCAGTTAATACAGGGGCCCTGGAGATACAGACCTGGGTGTTCTCTAGACTCATCCACATGGGGAAGAAGTCTGCCCATGGGCTCTCAGCCAGAACGCATGTGGTGAAGTTTTGTGACCAGAAAAAAAACTCCTGGAGCAGAGAGTGTCCCTGCTTCATCCAATGTCCCCTCCACACCAACCCCCCCACCATCCCCTCACCCAGGAAAGTGTATTTGCTGTTGCCGGTACCCATCCCCCACCTTCCATGTGTTTTGTTCCAAAAGTCTGAACCTGAGAGAAGCGTTTGGGAGTTGACAGTCCTCTGGGGTGGCCCTCAGCCAATGCCTGACGATCCCGGGGTATGAAAGCCCAGCTCTCTACCAGCCCTGAGTAGTAGCTAACACTCCAGAGTCCCCTGCAGGATCAGACTGAAGCGACCCTCATGGGCCTCCGGCTGAGGCGTCCCTTGGCTTCTTCCCCTGCCCTGTGCTGCTTCCCATTCCTCGCTGTTTCCCTGGAAGCACTTCCTCCACACATCAGCCGCGTGCAAATCCTCATCTCTCTGCAGAACATGTCTTAAGAAAGGAGCTGCAAACAGGCGAAGCCAGGTGGGCTCTGAGCATCCCCCCCACAGCCCGGGGCTGGTGTGCCTGCAGGTCACCTTTCCCAACCCGTGCTTTCCATCTCACTCCGAAGACAACATACAACCACGCGGGCTCTTCTTCCCTCCTCTCCCGGCAGCCCCAAAGCGGGGAATGAGCTGTCTCCGGGATATCCACCACCACCCAGAGTGGCCACCGGGGCCAAGCTGGCTCCCTGCCCAGGGGAAAAACAGCCACATGCCATGGGTCATTCAGGCATGCAATTCCTCATCCCGGCTCTGAACCTGGCCCCTAGGCCTGCCTACACCATGCTCGTGGACTCCTCCCCTCATCAAGCTTGCCTTTGTCTCACCACACTGCCTCTGGAATCTCCAACAGTCACCAACTCAACTCCCGTGGTTCACTGACCCAGAGCTCTAATAGGCAGCTCTCCAGACCCATCTTGGATCGGCCCCATAGTGCATGTGCCAGGACCACACAATGGGCGCCCGGCTTCTTCTGTTCCCGGGGGCACGGGCAAACTGTATAGTTATTCTGCTACCACTAGCTAAGCATTGACTCAGAACTCAGAGGGAAAAGGAGCCTCTCACCTCTTGGTGGTGGTCCCTCTCCTGCTCCTTCTCCACAAGAAGTGTGTAAACCTTGTGACCACACTGAATGGGCACTGCTGTTTTTGTCTGCCCAGAAGCCACTCCCTCTTCTACCAGTAAGAACACCCCAGACCGTGTCATTCTGAAGACTCCAAGGGTGAGCGGGTGGTCGAAGTCTGGCCAATCAGAGTACAACAAAATAAATAAATAAAACTCTCGCCACAGTGATTGGTTTGGGAGGCCCGTGAGCACAACCAGGCTGGTGAGACTTGATTGTTTGACATGGGATTGTTTGAAGGGAGCGAGATGCTTTCCTTCTCCTGGATGTGAGGCTGGAAGCAGGTAAGCTTGGAGATGCCAGGAGCCCCCGTGGGAGAGTCTGTCCAAGGGAGAAGTCAGTACGTTCTCTTCTCTGTTATTGTTGGGATGCTGCTGCTGTTGTTTTTCTTTGCTTTTCTGCTTAAGCCGGTGTGAACTGAGTTTTTTTCCTGTCACTTGCAAACAAACGCATAGTGACTAAGAGAAATTCCAATGGCCAGCAAGGTGTGATGGAAAAAGTACAAGAGAAGTCACTGCCTCTAGCCCCAGCTCTGCTACTAATTTGACATATGACTTTGCTCAAGGCCTTCAACATCTAAAACAAAGGCAGTGGGTATATGATGCATAGATCTCTTCCCAAGCTTTGAGAAGAACATGCTAGGTTTGTCTTCACCTTCCTTTCAATGGAATCCTCTTTTGAGGCCCAGTTCAAATCACCAGAATGCCTGCCCTCCCTGGAACCCTAGGGAAGCCCTCTCTCCCTGCTTTGAACTCCTGCAGCATTTATTCACCTGTGCACTTATTGGTTCTTATACCACCTTCATATGTTCATGCATGTGTGGTGTGTCCCTCAAAACTCAAGAGTGGCTAAGCTTGTTGCACTTCACCATAATCCAGGCACTATGCTAAATCCATTACGTGCCAGCTCCTATGTGGTCCTCACCTCCATCTTGCAGGTGGAAGACAGTTATTAGCTCAGTCTCTCCACCGTAGAGGTGAAGACATGGAAGCTTGAAGGAAACAAGTCACTTGGCAGAGGTCACCAGGCTAGGTGCGCCAGGACAGGGATTCTTGAAGATGACAAACTTCTGCATCATACCGCTCTGCTTCACAGACACGGCCCTGGCACAGGGCTGCTTGTTCTATATTGCTTCCTTCCGGACACCTGCCAATGGATTTGTCTGTGGTGAACAGATCTCCAGAAGATGCAGTTCCAGCAAAAGGAAGGGTCAAATAGCATTTGGGGCTGCCTCTCCCAGCAGCCCAGGTCTGTGAGTTGGTGGGGGAAGCATCCCAAGGAACATGCCACTTGCCTCCCAGCTTTGCCTGCTCTGCCCAGACTGCATCCCCTCCACACAGAGCCCCATTCACCATCTGGCCAGGAGGTGAGGCGTCATCCAGGGAGTTCTGAGGCCACACTCTGGAGCTGGAGGGCGGCTGGCTAACAGACGAGCAATTCACCCCTGCAGCAGAAGAAATCCAGTCCCAATCAAGAGCTCTCACTGTCCATCCATGACCAAAACAACCCGCACCCGTTCACTGAACCCTGAGCTGGGCCCAAACATTAATTTTGTTACCAAACACAGTGGAACAAACCAAAGTGTTTTTTTCCAGAAAAAAAAAAAAAAAATAGTAGACCAGCTTGAACCTGAGCTGAACCCGTATATTTTCTAAAACTACTGAACAGGAACAAAAATCAGATGCCAAAATGTTCTGCAAATGAAACCAGCCTTTCACTCTATCCAACTTCTTGATTTGGAAAGCAAATCAGGCAGGCGCAGAGGGAAGAGGAGCATTTGACTTCCCTCGAGTGGAGTGTGTAATCCTGTTCTAAGGAACACCGTGTGAAGGTTGGAGACTGGCTTCTGTTCAATGTGGTGGGAAAAAATGTTATTTTTATTTTAACCTTCCATAAAGATGAATCAGAAAATTTCAGAGCATTTAGTTCCTGTGGTGTTGATGAAAGCATTTCAAGGATTGATCCATTATAATAATACATCCTGAAACTATCAGCTGAAAGGACAGGGCCTTGGGTCCTGGCCCCACTGCCTGAGTGGCCTTAGGCATCTTAGAGGGGCTGGGGTCACCAACAATCAAGGTCAGGTGTGGCTCTCGACAGCCTGACTTGGTTGGGCATGGAGTGTCCACATGGGTATCATCTTTTAGAAAGTTTGATTCACACAAAAATAAAGGCAACCAGACTTCGTGCCCCAAGAAGAGAGGGGCTGAGCCGGCTGGACTTGCCTTCCTGATCTCATTCTCCCAGCTGCTACACAAGCGACACTCAGAGTCCCAGAGCAGGAACCAGAAAGCCTATCTGCAGAGAGTCTCTCACCCTAGCTCCAAACATATGCGGACCACGCCAATCCCAGGGCCTGAAGAAAGAATGCAGTGTGGACAATAAGGAGCTGATAGAAAAGAGGTCGGGTGAAAAGCCACAACCATCAGCAGTCCACACCTTCAAAGCATGAGCCAGTGAAAAAGATTGTTCCATTGGCCAAAGACCAAATACATCTGTTTTAAAGACTAAGGGCAATCAAAATGTTAACGGTAGGGACTTCTGGGGCATGGGAATGCAGAGGTAGGGGCAGGGGAGAGGACTTCTGCTTTCTATGTTACACTTGTATCTCCCGTTTGGCTCCTTCATAAGGAGGATCTGTGCATTGCATTTATAATGTTTAAAATAAAAGGCTAAAATGCAACATACATACACGGCTAGGCATATGTCAAAGGCAGAAACCACAAAGGAATGATGATGGATTTGACTGCATAAAATTAAAAAACTTCTGAATATAAAAAAGGAAATTACCTTAAACTATATTAGGAGAAGAAGTTGTTTATAATATAAAAGATAGTAGATATTTATTATCCTTAACATATAAAAAACACTTAGGGAAAAACCACACTCCAATAGAAAAATGAGCAAAAGATGTAAATAAGCAATTCATGAAAGAAGACACACAAATAGACAATAAACATGAAAACATTCATTCACACTAATAATTCAGGAAACCCAACTAAAAGTCAAATAACATTTTTGCCTATCAAACCAGCAAATATGCTTAAAATTTTTTAAGCACTTGTTGATAGGAGGCCAGACAGGAAAACAACCTCATACACTGTTCTAGGAGGGTAAATTGGTAAAGCCTTTTGGGAAGGCAATATTGCAAAATCTACTAATAACTTCTAAAATATGCATAAACTTTGTCATAGCAATTCCATTTTTAAGCATTTATCCCTAATGAAAATCATCATGGCTAAAGATACATGCATTTAGGTGTTCAGTGAAGCATTGTTTATACAAGCAAAAAGTTGGAAATAGCCTCACTGTCTAAACAATGAAGGACTGACTTAATATATTATGGCACTACGCACAGGGAATAACTATGCAGCTATTAAAATGTTGATAGACAAAAAAAATGAAACAACATGGAAATTTTCATGATATATTGTTAAGGGGAAAAAGCTAATTACAAATGGCATGTATAATATAAAACCACTTTTATAAATAAATATAGATATATATCTGCTTTTAATTTTTAAATATCTGATTACAGGCAATTTTTATGTTTTCCTCTTGTAATTAAAATGTTTTATTTGTTAATAAAAAATGCCCGGTGCAGAAATGCATCCAAGGGGAGGAGGAGCCAAGATGGCCGAATAGGAACAGCTCCGGTCTACAGCTCCCAGCGTGAGCGACGCAGAAGACGGGTGATTTCTGCATTTCCATCTGAGGTACCGGGTTCATCTCACTAGGGAGTGCCAGACAGTGGGCGCAGGCCAGTGTGTGTGCGCACCGTGCGCGAGCCGAAGCAGGGCGAGGCATTGCCTCACCTGGGAAGCGCAAGGGGTCAGGGAGTTCCCTTTCCGAGTCAAAGAAAGGGGTGACGGACGCACCTGGAAAATCGGGTCACTCCCACCTGAATATTGCGCTTTTCAGACCGGCTTAAGAAACGGCGCACCACGAGACTATATCCCACACCTGGCTCAGAGGGTCCTACGCCCACGGAGTCTCGCTGATTGCTAGCACAGCAGTCTGAGATCAAACTGCAAGGCGGCAACGAGGCTGGGGGAGGGGCGCCCGCCATTGCCCAGGCTTGCTTAGGTAAACAAAGCAGCCGGGAAGCTCGAACTGGGTGGAGCCCACCACAGCTCAAGGAGGCCTGCCTGCCTCTGTAGGCTCCACCTCTGGGGGCAGGGCACAGACAAACAAAAAGACAGCAGTAACCTCTGCAGACTTAAGTGTCCCTGTCTGACAGCTTTGAAGAGAGCAGTGGTTCTCCCAGCACGCAGCTGGAGATCTGAGAACGGGCAGACTGCCTCCTCAAGTGGGTCCCTGACCCCTGACCCCCGAGCAGCCTAACTGGGAGGCACCCCCCAGCAGGGGCACACTGACACCTCACACGGCAGGGTATTCCAACAGACCTGCAGCTGAGGGTCCTGTCTGTTAGAAGGAAAACTAACAACCAGAAAGGACATCTACACCGAAAACCCATCTGTACATCACCATCATCAAAGACCAAAAGTAGATAAAACCACAAAGATGGGGAAAAAACAGAACAGAAAAACTGGAAACTCTAAAACGCAGAGCGCCTCTCCTCCTCCAAAGGAACGCAGTTCCTCACCAGCAACAGAACAAAGCTGGATGGAGAATGATTTTGACGAGCTGAGAGAAGAAGGCTTCAGACGATCAAATTACTCTGAGCTACGGGAGGACATTCAAACCAAAGGCAAAGAAGTTGAAAACTTTGAAAAAAATTTAGAAGAATGTATAACTAGAATAACCAATACAGAGAAGTGCTTAAAGGAGCTGATGGAGCTGAAAACCAAGGCTCGAGAACTACGTGAAGAATGCAGAAGCCTCAGGAGCCGATGCGATCAACTGGAAGAAAGGGTATCAGCAATGGAAGATGAAATGAATGAAATGAAGCGAGAAGGGAAGTTTAGAGAAAAAAGAATAAAAAGAAATGAGCAAAGCCTCCAAGAAATATGGGACTATGTGAAAAGACCAAATCTACGTCTGATTGGTGTACCTGAAAGTGATGTGGAGAATGGAACCAAGTTGGAAAACACTCTGCAGGATATTATCCAGGAGAACTTCCCCAATCTAGCAAGGCAGGCCAACGTTCAGATTCAGGAAATACAGAGAACGCCACAAAGATACTCCTCGAGAAGAGCAACTCCAAGACACATAATTGTCAGATTCACCAAAGTTGAAATGAAGGAAAAAATGTTAAGGGCAACCAGAGAGAAAGGTCGGGTTACCCTCAAAGGAAAGCCCATCAGACTAACAGCGGATCTCTCGGCAGAAACCCTACAAGCCAGAAGAGAGTGGGGGCCAATATTCAACATTCTTAAAGAAAAGAATTTTCAACCCAGAATTTCATATCCAGCCAAACTAAGCTTCATAAGTGAAGGAGAAATAAAATACTTTATAGACAAGCAAATGCTGAGAGATTTTGTCACCACCAGGCCTGCCCTAAAAGAGCTCCTGAAGGAAGCGCTAAACATGGAAAGGAACAACCGGTACCAGCCGCTGCAAAATCATGCCAAAATGTAAAGACCATCGAGACTAGGAAGAAACTGCATCAACTAATGAGCAAAATCACCAGCTAACATCATAATGACAGGATCAAATTCACACATAACAATATTAACTTTAAATATAAATGGACTAAATTCTGCAATTAAAAGACACAGACTGGCAAGTTGGATAAAGAGTCAAGACCCATCAGTGTGCTGTATTCAGGAAACCCATCTCACGTGCAGAGACACACATAGGCTCAAAATAAAAGGATGGAGGAAGATCTACCAAGCCAATGGAAAACAAAAAAAGGCAGGGGTTGCAATCCTAGTCTCTGATAAAACAGACTTTAAGCCAACAAAGATCAAAAGAGACAAAGAAGGCCATTACATAATGGTAAAGGGATCAATTCAACAAGAGGAGCTAACTATCCTAAATATTTATGCACCCAATACAGGAGCACCCAGATTCATAAAGCAAGTCCTCAGTGACCTACAAAGAGACTTAGACTCCCACACATTAATAATGGGAGACTTTAACACCCCACTGTCAACATTAGACAGATCAACGAGACAGAAAGTCAACAAGGATACCCAGGAATTGAACTCAGCTCTGCACCAAGCAGACCTAATAGACATCTACAGAACTCTCCACCCCAAATCAACAGAATATACATTTTTTTCAGCACCACACCACACCTATTCCAAAATTGACCACATAGTTGGAAGTAAAGCTCTCCTCAGCAAATGTAAAAGAACAGAAATTATAACAAACTATCTCTCAGACCACAGTGCAATCAAACTAGAACTCAGGATTAAGAATCTCACTCAAAGCCGCTCAACTACATGGAAACTGAACAACCTGCTCCTGAATGACTACTGGGTACATAACGAAATGAAGGCAGAAATAAAGATGTTCTTTGAAACCAACGAGAACAAAGACACCACATACCAGAATCTCTGGGACGCATTCAAAGCAGTGTGTAGAGGGAAATTTATAGCACTAAATGCCTACAAGAGAAAGCAGGAAAGATCCAAAATTGACACCCTAACATCACAATTAAAAGAACTAGAAAAGCAAGAGCAAACACATTCAAAAGCTAGCAGAAGGCAAGAAATAACTAAAATCAGAGCAGAACTGAAGGAAATAGAGACACAAAAAACCCTTCAAAAACTCAATGAATCCAGGAGCTGGTTTTTTGAAAGGATCAACAAAATTGATAGACCGCTAGCAAGACTAATAAAGAAAAAAAGAGAGAAGAATCAAATAGACACAATAAAAAATGATAAAGGGGATATCACCACCGATCCCACAGAAATACAAACTACCATCAGAGAATACTACAAACACCTCTACACAAATAAACTAGAAAATCTAGAAGAAATGGATACATTCCTCGACACATACACTCTCCCAAGACTAAACCAGGAAGAAGTTGAATCTCTGAATAGACCAATAACAGGCTCTGAAATTGTGGCAATAATCAATAGTTTACCAACCAAAAAGAGTCCAGGACCAGATGGATTCACAGCCGAATTCTACCAGAGGTACAAGGAGGAACTGGTACCATTCCTTCTGAAACTATTCCAATCAATAGAAAAAGAGGGAATCCTCCCTAACTCATTTTATGAGGCCAGCATCATTCTGATACCAAAGCCGGGCAGAGACACAACCAAAAAAGAGAATTTTAGACCAATATCCTTGATGAACATTGATGCAAAAATCCTCAATAAAATACTGGCAAACCGAATCCAGCAGCACATCAAAAAGCTTATCCACCATGATCAAGTGGGCTTCATCCCTGGGATGCAAGGCTGGTTCAATATACGCAAATCAATAAATGTAATCCAGCATATAAACAGAGCCAAAGACAAAAACCACATGATTATCTCAATAGATGCAGAAAAAGCCTTTGACAAAATTCAACAACCCTTCATGCTAAAAACTCTCAAGAAATTAGGTATTGATGGGACGTATTTCAAAATAATAAGAGCTATCTATGACAAACCCACAGCCAATATCATACTGAATGGGCAAAAACTGGAAGCATTCCCTTTGAAAACTGGCACAAGACAGGGATGCCCTCTCTCACCGCTCCTATTCAACACAGTGTTGGAAGTTCCGGCCAGGGCAATCAGGCAGGAGAAGGAAATAAAGGGTATTCAATTAGGAAAAGAGGAAGTCAAATTGTCCCTGTTTGCAGACGACATGATTGTTTATCTAGAAAACCCCATTGTCTCAGCCCAAAATCTCCTTAAGCTGATAAGCAACTTCAGCAAAGTCTCAGGATACAAAATCAATGTACAAAAATCACAAGCATTCTTATATACCAACAACAGACAAACAGAGAGCCAAATCATGGGTGAACTCCCATTCACAATTGCTTCAAAGAGAATAAAATACCTAGGAATCCAACTTACAAGGGATGTGAAGGACCTCTTCAAGGAGAACTACAAACCACTGCTCAAGGAAATAAAAGAGGACACAAACAAATGGAAGAACATTCCATGCTCATGGGTAGGAAGAATCAATATCGTGAAAATGGCCATACTGCCCAAGGTAATTTACAGATTCAATGCCATCCCCATAAAGCTACCAATGACTTTCTTCACAGAATTGGAAAAAACTACTTTAAAGTTCATGTGGAACCAAAAAAGAGCCCGCATCGCCACGGGAATCCTAAGCCAAAAGAACAAAGCTGGAGGCATCACACTACCTGACTTCAAACTATACTACAAGGCTACAGTAACCAAAACAGCATGGTACTGGTACCAAAACAGAGATATAGATCAATGGAACAGAACAGAGCCCTCAGAAATAATGCCGCATATCTACAACTATCTGATCTTTGACAAACCTGAGAAAAACAAGCAATGGGGAAAGGATTCCCTATTTAATAAATGGTGCTGGGAAAACTGGCTAGCCATATGTAGAAAGCTGAAACTGGATCCCTTCCTTACACCTTATACAAAAATCAATTCAAGATGGATTAAAGATTTAAACGTTAAACCTAAAACCATAAAAACCCTAGAAGAAAACCTAGGCATTACCATTCAGGACATAGGCGTGGGCAAGGACTTCATGTCCAAAACACCAAAAGCAATGGCAACAAAAGACAAAATTGACAAATGGGATCTAATTAAACTAAAGAGCTTCTGCACAGCAAAAGAAACTACCATCAGAGTGAACAGGCAACCTACAACATGGGAGAAAATTTTCGCAACCTACTCATCTGACAAAGGGCTAATATCCAGAATCTACAATGAACTCAAACAAATTTACAAGAAAAAAACAAACAACCCCATCAAAAAGTGGGCGAAGGACATGAACAGACACTTCTCAAAAGAAGACATTTATGCAGTCAAAAAACACATGAAGAAATGCTCAGCATCACTGGCCATCAGAGAAATGCAAATCAAAACCACTATGAGATATCATCTCACACCAGTTAGAATGGCAATCATTAAAAAGTCAGGAAACAACAGGTGCTGGAGAGGATGCGGAGAAATAGGAACACTTTTACACTGTTGGTGGGACTGTAAACTAGTTCAACCATTGTGGAAGTCAGTGTGGCGATTCCTCAGGGATCTAGAACTAGAAATACCATTTGACCCAGCCATCCCATTACTGGGTATATACCCAAATGAGTATAAATCATGCTGCTATAAAGACACATGCACACGTATGTTTATTGCGGCACTATTCACAATAGCAAAGACTTGGAACCAACCCAAATGTCCAACAATGATAGACTGGATTAAGAAAATGTGGCACATATACACCATGGAATACTATGCAGCCATAAAAAATGATGAGTTCATATCCTTTGTAGGGACATGGATGAAATTGGAAACCATCATTCTCAGTAAACTATCGCAAGAACAAAAAACCAAACACCGCATATTCTCACTCATAGGTGGGAATTGAACAATGAGATCACATGGACACAGGAAGGGGAATATCACACTCTGGGGACTGTGGTGGGGTCGGGGGAGTGGGGAGGGATAGCATTGGGAGATATACCTAATGCTAGATGACACATTAGTGGGTGCAGCGCACCAGCATGGCACATGTATACATATGTAACTAACCTGCACAATGTGCACATGTACCCTAAAACTTAGAGTATAATAAAAAAAAAAAAAAAAGAAAAAGAAATGCATCTAAGAATCATTTTCAAATAATCAATTAGGAAACAAACATCTTTAAATCAACAAGTTAAGAACCAAGGACATATCAAATAAGATAAAGTAGTATCAATTGTTCCAAATAACCCCTCCAATTAATCTTTATGCCTCTTTTTGTAAGACCACAGGATCTGAGTTCATACAGATGAGGTAATTGCATTGCAAAACTCGTTGGACCAGGACAACATTCTAAAATCATAACCTACTCTTACCCACAGAAAATAAGAAAATAAGCTTGCTCCCTTATTTTTCTAGAAAAAAAAATAATGTATTGTCAAAACTCAAGGTGGAATGGCTGAAGCCAGATTTTACAGGATAGTTTGGTTATCCAATGACATTGCTTTGTGGCAGTGTGAAATTTAGATTTCCAAAGAAGGAAAAGGATAGTCTTGAAGAGCAAATGCTATTTGCAAGCTGCAAAATACTGAGGTGCAATGCTAAGGAAGGAGATAAAATAGCAAAGAGGGAGAATTATAGATCCTCAGTGCCTGGTGTAACTCTTCTGGTGCTAGAAAACACACACACATCCAACCCAAATGTCCAACAATGATAGACTGGATTAAGAAAATGTGGCACATATACACCATGGAATACTATGCAGCCATAAAAAATGATGAGTTCATGTCCTTTGTAGGGACATGGATGAAATTGGAAATCATCATTCTCTGTAAACTATTGCAAGGACAAAAAACCAAACACCGCATGTTCTCACTCATAGGTGGGAATTGAACAATGAGAACACATGGACACAGGAAGGGGAACATCACACTCTGGGGACTGTTGTGGGGTGGGGGGAGCGGGGAGGGATAGCATTAGGAGATATACCTAATGCTAAATGACGAGTTAATGGGTGCAGCACACCAGCATGGCACATGTATACATATGCAACTAACCTGCACATTGTGCACATGTACCCTAAAACTTAAAGTAAAATAATAATAAAAGAAAAAAAAAGAAAACACGCACACATGTGTATGCACACCTGGCACATAGTAGGTGCTCAGTAAACACTGGCTGAATAATGTTGTCAGTGCTTTCACTAAGTTTCTCTCACAACATCTCTTTGACCCTTAACCAGAAGTATCTTCTCTCTCAGTGGAGTCCAACACCTCTTTGACCCATAACCAGAAGTATTTTCTATCTCATGGAGTCCAGCACAAAACATGTAGGCCACAGGACTGAAACTTTTAGGACAACACATCTCACTGAAGGGGAAAACTGGACAATGAGAACAGTGTAAACAGGACATTAATGAATTATTCCACTAATACCTCTTCTCTGTCTCTAGAGATAGTCTCTCAAGCCAGTGCTAACCTCCAGAAATAGTGAAAAATGATTGGCAGATTCATTAATTATTGCTTGTGAGACACATCAATGTGCTGGAAAGGGTCTCCTTGTTTCATTCAAGTCCTTCAGGCAAGGTAGAAAGAATGTTTTCACCTATATGTGAATTTCTATTGTCATCGAATGATTGTCCACACAACGGAATTACAACCAAATTTCCTATGATTGCATTACTGATCTTCCCCAGGATCCAGACAATAGTTCCTCTTGATCTTTGACCTAATAAGTAAATAAAATTTCATTTCTAATGCCATATTTTAACTTAATAATGGGATTTTAATTTATCTCCACTAGCTTTTAACCGCCATGGAGAATATTTTCCCACTTTTTGCACATTTCCTACCAACCAAATCATAGACTGTTCAGACACAGATAAGCACAGTTGGAAATGATCGCAACTAAACTTTTCTTAACCATAAATCTCAAGGAAGGGGATGTTCTGTTTTCTTTTAGTGGCCTGCTTGGCAAAAAGCTAAATAGAAAAGCTCCCCAGGGTAAGTTTTTGTGCAAGAGGTGGGTTCCAGAAGACCCCTAGAGATCAGATGAAAATGTGTCCAGTGCAAAGGTGCTGAACACTGTGAAGATGCTGAGACACTACAGGCAATCAATGTTTGCTGAATGACTATGCCAGGGTACGAGGGGTTTTAGTCCTAAGGAATGGTATAAAGGAAAACACAGGGCAAGGTTTTATGACCAGAGCACGTGAGAGAACTGAATATAAGACAGACATCAGGCTGGGCGTGGTGGCTCACACCTGTAATGCCAGCATTTTGGGAGGCCGAGGCAGGCAGATCACTTGAGGTCAGGAGTTCGAGGCCAGCTTTGCCAACATAGTGAAACCCTGTCTCTACTTAAAAAAAAAAAAAAAATTAGCCAGGCATGGTGGTTTGTGCCTATAGTCCCAGCTACCCAGCAGGCTGATACAGGAGAATCGCTTGAACCCTGGAGACGGAGGTTGCAGTGAGCCAAGATTGCACCACTGCATCACTCCAGCCTGGGTGACAGAGCAAGACTCCATCTCAAAAAAAAAAAAAGACAGGCATCAGAAAGACAAAAGCTCGCCTACATCACTTTGTCCTATCAGGATATATTTAATTACCTGGCTTGGTAAGCAACAACCATTGAGTGTAAATTGTTTAAAAATCACTATACTAAAAGAATCAGATTTGTTGTATAAATGTTCTTTGTCAAATACATGATGTTTTCCATTTTTGGCTGGAAATCTAGTTTCTATTATTTATACCGAGATTTATGTAACTTCTAAATGACTTTTGTATATCTTTGTGTGCACTGGCTCACTCCTTTTTTGCATATGGTCAGCATTGACTATATGTTTGTGGAAGAAAAAGATAAATGAACAGCTGTCTTTAGAAAGCAAACATTTCCAAACATTTGGCCACAAAACGGGTGGAAATGCTGGAGATATGATAGGCTATGAACCTGATTCATTCTCATGCAACCTGAAGGATCCCATCTGGAAATCACCCCTCAAGAAGACAAAAAATAAATGTAAACAGAGAAGAAAAAAAGAAATGGACCCACTGGGAAGTTTAAGACATTGGGAATAATGTTCTTTTTTTTCTATCTCATATCTAGCCAGGTCAAGCAACATCAGGTTCTTTCCCTGAACTTCTTCCATTAGGCACTCCATGGAAGGCCCGAGTGGATGGATTAGCCCTTAACTGATCCATAACATGGTCATGCCATGCCCAAAACCATGGTAATCCATGGCCTGGGCCATAGAATACAGTCACTGACTTCTCCTCTGCCCAATCCTTATCATGTCTCAGAGATGAGACCCTAAATCCACAGAGGCTTAGGGGAAGGACAGGTAAAGTCCACACCTCCATCTAGAAGGCGGTTTCCCAAGTGTGGTAGGCAGGTTTGCCACTGAACATATGCAAGACCATTTTAGGTGGGGCCTCATTGAATGCTTATTCTTAAAGTAGTTCTAAATTTATCTATCTTATTCATTTGTATGTCCTAGGAAAGTTATAACCAATACAGAAACCATTGCATCAGTTGAGTACTCTCTAAGGTGACACTCACCAGCATTCCTTTCAAAGACAAGCTTGAGGTAAGGATGTCGTTAGGGAACAAGACTGTGTGGCTCTAGCTTTGGATTTGTGGGTCCTTTCCTTGCTTTTAGACCCCCATCTCCACTGGGCTCCCAAGATGCTACAGACACACACAGGATTGTTCAGTCATGTAGGCTTTGGAAAGGCAGTAAATCACAGAAACATGAATGCATTCACACATGACAGATTCTAAGAAGGCTTGCAGTTTTTAAAAAAATCCTGCCTACCTTTGTTTGGTCTTTTCTTCACATCGCACATATTCTTATCCCACAGGACTCCCTTGCAAGTTACTGTTTCACACTGTCCAAATTTTACCTTTGGGCAAAATCCAATCATGAAAAAGCTGAATGTTTGGGCCAGAGTGTCTGGGGTCCTTGTACAGTTGTTTTATTGGAGGGACCTGCTTCCATTAAGAGATTTTTTTTTGTAAGGCATATGAAATTCATTGCCCCATGTATTGTGGAGCTATGGTGAGGAAGTATTTGACTTCATCACACACAGTTTCCTCCAGGAAAACCCGGCATAGAAATCTCTCCAGCCTTGGTTCCAGTAGGAATTGTGCTTCTCCTAAGTGAGCTGGCTTGTGTTAAGTTGATGGACAGCATGAGTCCTTTTGTAGATCATATTTCCCTCTTTGCTTTGGCCACCAGTAAGCTCACAACCAAACTTGTAGTTTACCTTTATATACTGGGCAGGACTTGAGGGTTCAAATATCTGTGCACAACTCTACCTCTGGCTTTTTCTTATTTTCTTACCCTTGTACTTCTTTGCCCTGACATCTTATTTACGCAGGTTGTCCTGTTGTTTTCCTTGTTCTCTATAAGGTGTCTTAAATAATGTAGGAATAGATCCATAGGTGTTTTGGCCCTTCTTTCACTTCATAAAGTTGGAGCTGGGAAGAGCATCCAGCCCACAGAATGGTAAGGCCTAACTGCACATAGGAAAGCAAACATCCTGTTTGTCCCATGGAGGAACATTTTGCATTTCTGTGTGGTTTGCTTTTTATACTTTTGGTAGATTGTGGCTTCCTCAAATTATTTGTTTGAGCGTAAATCATCAAAAGTGGTATTTGTATATAGCTTGACTATTTTAGCTTTTCAAAAAATTTCTTGTGTGCTTATAGCCTGGGCATTCATGGGTCCCACCCAGCCTCTAAATAAAAAAGTTGGAGCCGGCTGAGCGTGGTGGCACAAGCCTGTAATCCCAGCACTTTGGGAGGCCAAGGCAGGCGGATCACGAGGGCAAGAGATAGAGATCATCCTGGCCAACATGGTGAAACCCCGTCTCTACCAAAAACACAAAAATTAGCTGGGCATGGTGCTGCATACCTGTAGTCCCAGCTACTCCGGAGGCTGAGACAGGAGAATCACTTGAACCCGGGAGGCAGAGATTGCAGTGAGCCGAGATCATGCCACCGCACTCCAGCCTGGAAACAGAGCGAGACTCCGTCTCAAACAAAATAAAAAGGGGCCACTCACCTGAAAAGCTCAGAAGCCACCCTGGTCCTTCTTCCCCACTCTCCGCGGATGACAACATCTGGCACAACTGGCTGACAATTTGCAGGCTGCAGCCAGCATCCTCCTGTCTTTCTATTCTCACCAGAGCCCATGCTGCAACCTCCCAGCAATTGCAGCATTCTTATTTTTAGTACTATTCCACATCCGGGTAAAGGAAGACACTCTAGATCTTCTTTTATGGTGTTGAGAAACCAGAAGTTCCTGACAGACCCCGTGCTTGCTTCCTTCCCTTCATAACCTCATTTAATGGTTCTCTCCATTTCCCCAGCAGGAAAATCAAGACTCAGAAAGTTAAGATTAACTTAAGTTTGCATCCTTCTCTCAATCCCTCAGTAAATGACAAGGAAGTTGGGAAGAGTGACAGACTAACAATTCGGCTCAGAATTCAAGGAGCTCAGGCGGAAAAACAGTAAGAGATTAAATTATAGGATCTTTTTTCAATGTCCCTGTCCCCTCCCTCTTCAGCTCCCTCTTTCATTCTAGAAATACTCTTTCTACTCCACTTTTCCCTCCACAGAAAACTGCCAAGAGGCCTCAATTGTCCCCTTCACCGCTGGCCCCAGACCTCCAAACATTTCTTGTGCTTTGCATTTCTTGAGCCTTTCTCTCTGGCCTCCAATTCAAGCAAAAGGCCCAGGGGAAACAGGCGGTGTGATCAATGCATCCACGAAGGCAACTATGACAGCCCTTTCGTAATGTTCTTCTCTCAGAGAGCATTTTTAAAGGAGATCCCAGGGCAGCATGCACACTTTTACTCAAAGGAATAACATTCCTAATGCAGGACATTCAGGCGGCAAGGAGGCTGGGGAATAGCACAGAGGTCACCCTACTTCCTGGTGCCCCCCTCCCCTGCCTGCCGTGGGAAAGAAAGCCTCAAGCCCCATGTCGCGGTGTGGTACAAGAGGAAGTCCATCCCTCTGGCCTCCAACCAGTGCCCAGCCACCTTTTCCGGCTGGCCTATGACAAGGAACAGAGCTGTCACTGAGGGAAGATGGCCTGCAGATGGGTCTAGAGGTCAGGACTGCTAGGGGTCCCGGCTAGAGTAGCTGCCTTCCCTGGCCCGCCTTGGACCAAACTGGGCCAGACCCAAATGCCCATCCAGACTGCCTCCAATGGGCCACTCCTCTGAAAGCTCCATCCCCATCCAGTCCCTGAGGCTGACCCAGTCTTTGAGCCGCCTGCTTTCCTTGCCGGCTGAGTTCTAATGCAAGCAGGCAGCCTTGTGCCAACATCCAAACTCCCCCACCCCCTAGTGGAGAGAGGAAAACCACGCGCCTCCCACCCAGCTCCAGGCCCAGCGCCTGCCAAGACACGGCCATCTCTCCAGCCACTGGGGACAGAGAGCCATTGCTGGGAGGAACTTCCAGGCAGAGCCAAGAGGTAGCCCTGCCGGGCACATTTGTTCCTCCTCAGGCCTCCCTGAGGGTGCCTGACAGCATTTGCTCAACGTTTTCCTGGCCTGCCCATCCATGCCAAGTCTTAGACTGTGAGGGATCAAAGATGTGAATGAAAATGGAAAAAGCATGTTGGCACTCGTTGCCTCAATGGGAATACAGAGTGTTATGGAGACAAGACACGAGTTTGTGGATTATTCTTCCATAATCATCCAGATGTGTAGGCTGGCCCGGGTTGCAAAGGCCCAGTAAAACCTCGCACTCCCAGCTCGCAATCATCTGGCTCCAGAGGCCTATATCACACTGCCCTGTGCCTGTCACAGCTCAGAGGCTCTGCAGAGGCAAGTGTTGCTGTCCCTAGGCCAGAGAGCTGGCCTGACACCCCCTCTTTAGAGCTTGCCTCTGACACACTGAACATGTGGGGGACCTTTGCGTTTGGTTTTGGAAATTTTTTTTTTTTGGTTCGTTAGCTGATTTTCCATAAGTTGACAAAAAATGTGAGAAAATTCCATTTTCTCGAATTCCTTAGCTAGATGAACATTTGTGCCCAGTGACTGACTCTGATGTAGGGTTCCAAAGAAAGGTGACTGGGACTGTGACACACAGCCTGCCTTATGTCAAGAACTGTCAGAGAGGACAAGGAGAGGGGGAGCAAAAGAACATTCCAGGCATCTGCCAAGTCACCAGTCAGGGCATCAGGATGGAAAAGTAAACAAGTTCCCCATGAGGCTCTCCGGGAGCTCCCCCAAATCTAATGAGGGAGACAGATATGGGGGGAGTACAGTATTTATGATTTGCCCTGTAGAGGAATGAGCTATACTGGGGAGAAGCTGAGAGGAGGTGGTATTTTGTCTGAAAAGAAAAAAATCCCTCCTGAAAGACATTTTTAGAAGCATTCCCATCGAGTCACCATGTCCATCAGTGACTCAGTGCTTCACAGCCGATGAAGCCTTGGGTCCTCGTCCAGCCCTCTGCTGGCAGTTTCTAGAGGCTGCTGCTTGCTCATGTGTCCCCCACCCCCATCCCCCAAAGTCCACTTTTCTGGATCAGGGAGAATAATCGGGGCAAACACTGGACCCAGTAGCAAGAAGAGGGATGGTCTGAGGGAGATGGAATCCAGCCCCCAGTTGTTTCTTTGGACCTCTAGAATGTTTTTAAATTTTTTAATTTTAGTACTATCATTTAAAGTTAGAATGCATCACATAAAAATTATCTTGAATTGTCTCTTGTCTTGAAAAGAACTGGAAGACATGGTGACATGGGGCCATATTCCAGCATGGCATCTCTAGGCTGCCACTGGGTGGGAGCTGCCCGCTTCAGATGGAGCATGTACCAGTGAGCCTTTGCTGTGTAAGAAACCACCCCAAATCTTAGTGGCTTAAAACAATGATAATACATTAGCTGCAATTCTGGGTGTCAGCAATTCGGGCTGGGTTCTGCTGAGCATTTCTTCAGCCAGTTTTGCCGAGCCTCACTCATACTACTTGCTGCAGCCAGAGGCTGACAGGCTGCTGGTGGAATGCCTCGATTCTCCTCCATGTGGCCTGTCCAGCAGCCAGCTCAGCTCCTTCACGTGGGCTCTTCCATCATCAGGAGAGGGGAAAGCCCCAATAGGCAGGCACTTTTTGAGCCTCTGCTTACCTTTCTTTCATTAATGTTCTATTGGATAAAGGAAGATAAAAGATCAGTCCAATTCAAAGTCTGGGGAAACAGACATCACCTCTTGATAGGAAGAGCTGCAAAGAATTTATAGTATTTTTTTTCATGGGCTCCCCATCACACAGAAACTGGGGGTCAGTTGCTATTTCTTCTTGAACTCGAGCTGCTGATTTTCACATATCTGAAGTATTAGTCTTGTATTAGTCTGTTCTCACGCTGCTAATAAGGACATACCAGGCCAGGCACGGTGGCTCACACCTGTAATCCCAGCATTTTGGGAGGCCAAGGCTGGTGGATCACTTGAGGTCAGGAGTTTGAGACCAGCCTGGCCAACATGGTGAAACCCTGTCTCTACTAAAAATGCAAAAATTAGCTGGGTGTGGTGCCACGCACCTGTAATCCCAGCTACTTGGGAGGTTGAGGCGGGAGAATCACTTGAACCTGGGAGGCAGAGATTGCAGTGAGCCGAGATCACGCCATTGCACTCCAGTCTGGGCAACAGAGTGAGACCCTGTCTCAAAAAAAAAAAAGACATACCGGTAACTTATAAAGGAAAGAAGTTTAACGGACTCACAGTTCCACATGGATGGGGAGGTCTCACAATCATGGTGGAAGGCAAAGGAGAAGCAAAGGCATGTCTTACATGGCAGCAGGCAAGAGAGCGTGTGCAGGAGAACTCCCCTTTATAAAACCATCAGATCTCATGAGACTTATTCACTATCATGAGAACAGTATGGGAGAAACTGCCCCCATGATTCCATTATCTCCACCTGGCTCCACCCTTGACATACGGGGATTATTACAATTCAGTGTGAGATTTGGGTGGGGACACAGCAAAACCACATCATCTGGTCGTCCTCAACTTCCCTAAACCTGTTGGACCCCTGCAGACATCTAAGGTAAGAAACTAAACTGACAACTCTTCTGCTACTTGGGCTCAGAGCTGAGCTTGCCTGACCCTTCTATTCATGCCCATGAGAAGGTGAAATGGATTTGATGATGAAAATAAAACCCAGAAGTAGGATCCAACATCATCAACGAGGGCTTTGCTCAGTGATCCCAAAGGGAAGTCAGGATGGCTAAGATCCAAGGTGTTGAACAGCAAAGCAGAGAACACATCAGTGATGCTGAGACAGACCAGAGTCTCAGGTGAGAAAGGTATGATTATAGATGGGGTGAAAATATGACACAGGGCAAGGTTTTACAAGGCAGCTCCAGAAAGAAATCACAAAAATGACAACCAGGGATAAGAAAAGAAGAGAAAACTCCCCCTTCACCAACAGACCATTCTCATCACACTGGCTCTGCAGCAAAACACTCAGGGGCAAGGCAGTGGAGAGCCAAGCCACAGTGTAGGTTGCAGAGCAAGTGGGAGACCTGGAGGATTGTAAAACAGGATACTCAGGGGGACAAAACACAGTCTACATGAGCAGAGGTTCCCGTACATAGTACAGAACATCTCCAGATGATGCACGAGGACAGCAGGGCAGGGCTCAGTGCTTGGGGACCAGGGCAAGTTCTATCAGAACTAACTGGCAACACCTGTTACAGTGAAAACTGATGTTCTTCCCTCTCTTTCCATAAGAATTGTTTGGCTTTTGTTCCCAGGGGTACAAAAGTATATCTGAAGTTAATAAATATATTCAAATATGATAATATAATTTATATGCTAATATATACATTGCAATGAAGTGTGTACCACCACCTATGAAGAATTCTTGACAAAAAAATAAATGAACTTACTCAATCTGATCAAGACTTAACCTCTAGGTTACAGGAAATACTGAGGATAGAGGAACAGATAAAGCAACACCATGAAGAAACACTCAGATACTCAGACCATAGGACTTTGGACAACTCGACTGGCCCAGCCTTTCATCATCAGTATTTAAAAGGGGAGGGAGTAGAAGACTGTTCTAAAACAAAAGAGACTGAAGAGGTATGTCAGGTAAATGCAATGCAGGAAACATGAGTGGTTTCACATCCTAAAACACTAAAATCTCAGCCATAACAAAACACTTGGAGGATAATTAGAGATACTGCAACACGGACTGGGTATTTGATATTAGGAAATCGCTGTTTCTTAGGCATGAGACTATTATTGTCTATATGTAGAAGTATATTCTTAATTTAGGAGACACATACCAAAGAATTTATGGTTCATGACAGTTATTAAAATATTATCTTTCTGCTCCAAGTTTGCCTTTCTATACTTGACCTTGTGATGCTGGGTCCAGGACTCTGCAAACCATGTGATAGGCTCTGCCAAAAGTGGGAGCTAGAGAGAGGCTGCAAGGCTAAAGGGGAGGAAAGGGTTTGCTTCTTCCTACTTCTTGTTTGTTTGTGTTCTGTCACCTGACAGTGCTTCACCCTGGCAGAGGCACTTCATTCCTGTAGCAGCCACTGAATTAAGCCCCTTTCTCAAGAGGTCTGGGGCCCAGCCCCACAGATCAGAGACCAGCACCAGACTAACAGCTGCTCAGTCTCAAGGATCAGACTTTCAGCAACATAGGGTCCCTCCTCAGCCCTAGGGATGGTAGCTACTTCATAAAAATTGCTTCCTCTGTAATTCTAAGGAATCTAAGGCATTCTCTTTTTCTATTTCAGTTATGTAGTTAATAACTTTATACCTAATTAACAAATCATTATAGTAAATTATTTCCATTCAAATAACAGGTATGGTTTCTGTCTCCTGAAGGGGTAAAGTATGTCATAATGTTTGCAAGTTGCAAAAGGAAAAAACATAGATATTTAGTTAGATATACATACTTGTATATGCAACGCACACACATACACAAATGTATATTGAGATAAAAGATATAGAAGAAAAATGTTGAATCTAGGTGGTGGGTGGCACAGTAGTCATTGTATTAGACTTTCAACTTTGCAAATTTAAATGTTCTCATATTGAAAGGTTAAAAAAAGGGCCAGGCACAGTGGCTCACGCCTGTAATCCCAGCACATTGGGAGGATGAGGCGGGCGAATCACTTGAGGTCAGGAGTTCGAGACCAGCCTGGCCAACATGGTGAAACCCTGTCTCTACTAGAAATACAAAAATTAGCCAGGTGTGGTGGGGTGCGCCTGTAATCCCAGCTACTCAAAAGGCTGAGGCACAAGAATCACTTGAACCCAGGAGGTGGATGTTGCAGTGAGCCAAGATGGCACTATTGCACTCCAGCCTGGGTGACAGACCAAGACTCTGAATTTTAAAAAAAGAATAAAAAAAGAGGAAAATTAGGATGATGATATATAATCATTGTTCACTATGGTATTGGTATGAAAATTAAGTTGAGATAACAATTAGAAAGAAAGAAAAAAAAAACACCTTTACCATTTTCCCAGATATGCCTGCAGCCCCAAAGGCCATTTATCCTGTGAGAGGTTCGAGTCCTGCTGGCGAGGCTCCCCAACCTTCTTTGACAGAGAAAGCACGTGAACTTGTGAGCGGCAAGTCAGGTCTGCCAAGAACAGCTACATCTGCAGTCAACCCACGGAGGCCCTGCCTTGGCAGAGAATCCAAGCCTGGAGGGTCTTTTATACAGGACTCCTCCAGTTCATTCCAGCAGAAAAGAACCTACGCCTTTTTCAAAGAAGAGAAGGACATTCCACAAACTCCCTGACAAATCACTGGTTTGGATTACCTCAGTCAGTTCAAATCTCTGACCTAAATCCCTCGTGTTCTAAATTAATCCCCTTCTTCTTGCTCTTTCTTCCCACAAAGGCATTTTTGCTATGAAAGAAAGCCTTGCCTATAGCTTAGTAAATTGTCTGCACCTGTCTCTTGGCAAAACCTCATCAAGACCCTGGAGCCACCTCTATTGTCCTTTCTGCCATGCCACCTTGCTTTTCCTCCAAGCCTCTGACAATTTAGCCAAAATGAAGAGCTAGCCTCTCGTATGGTCCTGATCGCTACAGCCCATATTGTGTTGGGTTTCCATCTATCACTTGTGGGTGAGGTTTTGTCTGTTTCATGTCATTGACCACATCAGTCCCTGTCCCACCACAGGTCATTTATTCTGTACTCTTTCCTTCATTGGCTGCACCCTCACTTGATCCAATTTTTGGTGAACACAGTTGCTTTCACTGCCTTAAGAAAAACATTTGACTATCTCAGCCCACAATTTAATCTCTCTCAGACAAGGAAGATGGGTGTGAATTCTTGTATTACTTTACATGGAGGCCCAGGGAGTAGTTCTCCCATTCCTGGAGGCCTCTTGCAAAGCTTGTCATAGAGAAGACTGTGAAAGCAATGGCACCAGGACAAAATAGCAGGCCTCACCCCGGGAAAGTGGGGGATCCAAAACCTACAGCTACTTGGCCTTCACTGCCTGGTGGTTGGCTCTGTCATTTCCTACATCTGAAATAGCCTCCCTCCTTGCCTACTTCCTAAAAGCCTACCCATCTAGTGAGGTCTGGCTCTACCGTTCCGACCCTCACAAAGCTTCCTCTCCTCCCACCAGCAAGAAGACAAAGGGGCAATAAACACAGGAAGAGATCCTCACCCTCTCTTACAATGTGGAAAATGAACATGAGGCCAATCAGCCCACATTTTTCACCCCTGGGGTTGTGTAAAAACAAAATGTTTGTAATACTCAGCATCAGAAAGTGTCTGGAAAGATGAGGACTCTCATGTCCTACTTGCTGTGATCTAAATTGGTGGGGCCACTGTGGAGAAGAGATTGACACTATCAAGTAAAATTTTAAACATATACATCTTATGATCAAGAAATTCCACTTCTCATCAGCTATCTTTGGAGAGATAGATACTCCTAGCATAAATACACAAAGAGTGTATAACCAAATGTTCACTGAGAGTTGCTTGAAATAGGGACAAATTGGAAACAACTTAAGCATCCATTAATAGAGCAATGGATAAATAAACAGTTGCACAGCTATTCTATGAAATGCCAGGAAGTCATTAAATAGAATATAGTAGGTAAAAGCAATGAGACCCAGTAGCAATGAGTGTGCTAGCATGCAGATCCTGGTGTATGATAATATTTCCTATGAAAAGAAGGAAATAGCAGGGCTCCTCAGAGAAACAGCTGACTCCAGAGTGAAGGCAGGGCAGATACAAGATGGGCCTGGAACATTTTTTAATGCCAAAAAGGAAAGAGGTTCTCCAAAAAAAAAATGATGAGGACATCCCCTAAGGACATGGGAAGCGGGGGCCCACTGGCCAAAAATCGGACAATTTGAGCACCACAATAATTAAGGATAGTAACATTACAGACCATTGAAAAATCAGAACCCCTGAGTCCATAATAAATGGGTAAACAAATACGTAAGAGAGAAGGGAGAACTCTACCTTACAGCAGAATGCCAAGCCCACTGGTACACATGGAAGAAATGTTACAGCTAGAAAATCATCATTTTGCAACCATCACAATAAAGTTTGGATCTGGCAAGAATCATCAACGGATGCTAAATCTGGGGAGAAATGGTGATGAGGAGCAGGCTATTAGCATGACCTTCAGTATCCTCCAACAGACTGCATATTGGTTGAGGTTGTAAAAAGAAAAAAACAGTGACTATATGGTAAACAAATCAGACAACACTTCAAGCAGATGATCAAAGTTAGCATCACCAACGAGGGGCAGACAGACATTGTGAGTGAGTACCTTGAGAAGAACTCATCACCTATATAATATTCCGGCTGAAAGTGCCTACCTTGAAGCTCATCATCAATCTAATCATGAGAGACCATCACAAAACCCCAAATAAGAAAGCGCCAATTTTATTAAAAGAGACTATATTCAAAAGTGTCAATATCATAAAATACAAAGACTAAAAATGTTCCATATTAATAGACAACCAAAGAGACATGACAACTAAATGCAATATCTTATCCTAGATGGCATCTTAGATTAGAGGGAGGAATACAAATACTATAAAGGACCTCATTTGATTAACTGACAAAAATAAAATTTAGATTATAAATGAAATAAAAGTAGCATATCAATATTGAATTTAGAGTAGTTGACAACTGTTAAGGCTTTTTAAGAGAATATCCTGCCAGATGTGGTGGCTCACATCTGTAATCCCAACACTGGGAGGCCAAGGTGGGTGGATGGCTTGAGTCCAGGAATTCAAGACCGGCCTGGGCAACATGGTGAGACCTTATCTCTACTAAAAATTTAAAAATTAGCTAGGTGTGGTGTCCCATGCCTGTGGCCCAAGCTACTCAGGAGGTTGAGGCAGGAAGATCACTTGGGCCTGGGAAATTCAGGCTACAGTGGGCCATGCTCATGCCACTACATTTCAGCCTGAGTGACAGAAAACAAAACAGTCTCAAAAAAAAAAAAAAAGAACATCCTTAGTCTTAGGAATTATGCAGTGAAATATTTACGAAAGGAATATAGCGTATGCCACTTATTCTCAAATAATTTGTAAAAGAAAATTAAATTTTATATTTATATGTGATGGATATATAAAATATACATACACACATATTAAAATACATATATGCAAATATACATATATGCATACATACACACATACATATGCATACATATAGCAAATAGGGCAAAATATTACATTTGAAGAAAGGGTATTTGAAAATTCTTCTAACCATTCTTATTCTTGCAGCTTTTCTGTTTCAAAATAAGAAGCTGTTTCAAAATAAAAAGTTGGGAACAAAAAATGATGTAGCTATACATGCTAGCATAGAAAGAGCTCCAAAATACACTGTTGAGCAAAAGAAGAAAAATTACAAGGTAAATCTTTCTGTGTGATATTTCCCATATTGCCTACATTTGCGCTAAGTAATATATAGAGAATGGTCTGGAGAAGCACACACCAAATTGATTACATAGTTTACCTTTGTCACAGAAGAGAGGAGACCAGGATAGCAGAGTACTTTTGCTTATCTAAAATGTTTTTATTTTTAATAAAAAGAACATATTTATGAATTGCTCAGGCAATTAGAAATAACCTTTTTTTAGTCAAAAAGTACCATGCTGGCAATGTTGTGGAGAAAAAGGAACACTTATACGCGTTGGTGGGAGTGTAAATGAGTTCAACCATTGTGGAAGACAGTGTGGCAATTCCTCAAAGACCTAAAGACAGAAATACCATTCGACCCAGTGATCCCATTACTTGGTATATGCCCAAAGGAATATAAATCATTCTGTTATAAAGACACATTCATGCGTATGGTCATTGCAGCATTATTCACAATAGCAAAGACATGGAATCAACCTAAATGCCCATCAATGATAGCCTAGATAAAGAAAATGTGGTACATATATACCATGGAATACTATGCAGCCATGAAAAAGAACAAGATCATGTCCTTTGCAGGGACATGGATGGAGCTGGAGGTCATTATCCTCAGCAAACCAATGCAAGAACAGAAAACCAAACACTGCATGTTCTCACTTATAAATGAAAGCTAAATGATGAGAACCCATGGAAACATAGAGGGGAACAACACACACTGGGGCCTATCAGAGGGTGGAGGGTGGGAGGAAGGAGAGGATCAGGAAAAATAACTAATGGGTACTGGGCTTAATACCTGGATGATGAAATAATCTGTACAACAAACCCCCATGAAACAAGTTTACCTATGTAGCAAATCCGCACATGTACCCCTGAACTTAAAATAAAAGTTAAAAAAAAAACAAATAAAATAAAGATAACCTAAAAGAACAGGAAAAAAATAACTTTTTTAAGGTTAAAGTCTTCTTCTCAATTCCCATCAGTGACAAGAATCACAGCTCAGCTTTCCTGAGATAGTACTTATTTAAATATTAGAGCCCACTCTAATATTTGACAGTCTCAGAGACTATCTGGATTTAGGCCTTGAGAAACCTGGTCAGGAAATGGCAGCAGCACAGGTATTTGGAAAGACCCTGGGCTTCAGAGTCAGAAGAGTCTGAACCAGACATGGTTCAAACTTTTGAACTCACTAACATCACTCACTAACAGTGTGATACAGAACAAAAGACAAATCTCTCCGACTCTCTGTTTCTGTATCTGTACAAAGGGAAAATAGCCCCTCTACAGCAGAGCTGCAGTGAGCATTAGGTATAATGCATGGAATTTGTGTGTGCCTTAGACAGCATGTACTTTGCCCATCCTGGGGCTGACATGGAGCATCTGTTTATTGCTATTCATTCTATCTTTTTTTTTTTTTCTTAAATAAAGACAGGGGCTCACCTCGTTACCCTGTTTGAGGCTGGTCTCAAACTTCTGGGCTTAAGCAATCCTCCCACTTCAGCTTCCTCAAGTTCTGGGATTACAGGCGTGAGCCACCATGCCTGGCCATTCTACCTCTTTTTAGTGATTTGTTTGCATGTACTCTTCCCACATAAACCCATGGGCTTTTTAAGGAAGTGTCCATCCCTCATTCACCTCTTTGCCTCCAAATGTGCCTCACAGAACACTTTGTACCTTGGTACCTGAAAAACATTTGCTGGCAGAGTAAATGAATCTAGTCACAGAAAATCTGTACCAACATGAAAGTTAGCTGTAAGGCTCCAGGTTTACTTTACAGTTGTCAAATACAGGGAAACACGGACTCTGAAGTCACCGTATAGAAACCTGCAAGTGCCAAGAAGAAAAAGAGGTGACTATGACCTCATGTTCTCAGTGGAGGTGAGAGAACTGTGACTCAGCACTCCTGAATCAAAAGGCAGTCATAGGTGTTAGGTAAAACTAGTGCCTGGTCAAAAAGAGTTGGAAAATGCCAAATGAGACCAAACTAAACAGGCTTCTTTACTGCAGGACTTATCAGGGGCTTTAAAATGCTAATGTGCACGATGAACATCCAACAGACGATATAATTTGCAATATATTATAATGTCATCCAGAAGGTGACATTTTTGATAAATCTGAATGATGAGGTAAAGGCATTATCCATGTAAAATAAAGGGAGAGTGAGTGTTCCAGGCAGAGGGAACAGTGTCCACAAAGGCCCTAAGGCTGGAAGGTGAATTGTGCACTCATGGAACTGAAAGGTGAAAAGGCGTGGAGGCAGATGAGCCCAAGGAAAAGCATCTCTCCAGGGGAAGCCGGGGAGAGAGGCCAGAGCTAGATGGTGCAGGATCATGTAGGCTGCGTAAGAGTTTTATTCCAAGCGCAGTGGGAAGTTCCTGAAGGGTTTTCAGCTTGAAAGTTATACAGTCTAATGTATCCTGTAAGATCAGATTTCAGTTTCCTCCACTTTAAAATGGAGATAAATAAGAGAATGTGTAAAAGGTGCTGAGTACCTTGCCTGTGTCAAAAATGAATGGGGCCAGGTGCGTTGGCTCATGTCTATAATCCCAACACTTTGAGAGGCCGAGGCAGGTGAATTATCTGAGGTCAGGAGTTCGAGACCAGCCTGACCAACATGACAAAACCCTGTCTCCACTAAAAATACAAAAATTAGCTGGGCATGGGGGCAAACGCCTGTAATCCCAGCTACTAGGGAGGCTAAGGCAGGAGAATCGCTTGAGCCTGGGAGGCGCAGGCTGCAGTGAGCCAAGACTGCACCGCTGCACTCCAGCCTGGGTGACAGGATGAGACTCCGTCTCAGAAAAAAAAGAAAAAGAATGGAAGATGTTCTCAAATATGAGCTGCATCCCAAGCACCTTGGGTGCTTGTTAAAACCAAGACTGCTTGTTCTTACCTCCAGAACTTCTGAGCAGTCAGTCTCGGGAGGCCCAGGAACCTACATTTCTAACAAATTTCCAGGTGATCAGGCTGCTGGTCAGAGGACTTCTCTTCAAGAACCCTTGGGTGGGAGGGAAAAATAAAGAAGTGGGAGGTGCCTCCGGGAGGCTGCTGCAGTGAGTCAGAGCTGGTGGAGTGAAATGATACCCTTGAGATGGAGAAAAGTGGTCCAGAATAGAAGAGTTCTATTTTGGAGGTAGAATGGACAGAACTCATTGATGGATTGGAAGATGGGGCTGAGGGACTGGGAGAAGTCAGGCAGGACATTCCTAAATCTCTGGGTTGAGCAGCTAGGCAGGGATGGTAGCATCCACTGAATGGGCGCCCCTTGTGGAAGAGCAGCATTGGAGATACAGACTTGGACACATGAACTCTGTGATCTCTGCAACACCCAGCTGGCCATGGCAGGTAGGCGTGGTTGGGGGGGAGTCTTCATGAGGGCAGTGATCACATCTATCTTGCCTTCCATTACACCCCCAGATCTCAGCCCCGGCCTTCTGGTACATATTCAGAAAACATGTTTAAAAGTTGGTGAACAAAGGGAGGCTGAGAAGCCACAAAATCAAAGGTGCTAGGGGGTGCACATGCTGCCATGTTTCAGGAGGCCACAAACGTTCATCTACAGAGATTGGGTCACTGGATGAGCTAAAGTGCAATCTCCATCACTTCCAAACCTTGGCATGTATGGTCAAGTGGGAGGTTTGGAACAGAGCAAAAGACAGAAGTGAGCCACCCGCTTCATGGTAGGGTTCTTCCTTCAGAAGTCAGAGATATCATATGTGAGCCTTTCTTGGGTGGGTCTTGAGATGGAAAGGTTTGAACTGTGAGCTAAATGAGCATGAAGGCCAGAGGAATCTGGTTAACTTGGGCTTTTTATAAAATAAATTATGGGAAAATCAAGCTGTGCAACTCAGGGAAATGAGGAGGGAGGGATAGGGAAACAGGGAGAGAGGACACTGAGGATGGAAGAGAAAAATGCCTTTACCAAGGCTATCTACCCAGTAAAGGTCCAAGGGGGCAGTCCCCAGAACTTGACCTCCCAGGCCAACCTTGACCCTTGAGTCCTTGCCACGTTTTGAGCAGGCATGATGGACCCTCAGTCTCCCCACTTACCAAGTTGTAAATTAAAAGGCTGTAATTCCATCCAGGGGTTCTGGTGACATCATAAACCACAGAACCACAAGCTCAACTCACCAGAAGCCCCAAGATGGAATTACACTCTTTTTTCCTAATCCAGGCAGCTCTGGTCACTGCCATTTTTTCATGATATAATAGAATTGAGCAATATTTTAACCATTTGTGTGGGGCCTTTCTCATCTGGCCCTAGGGCTCCGTCTCTCCTGTCCTCGCCCACCCACTGGAAGCCTTTCGGCTGAGGGTGACCTTCAGGGATACCCTTGCCCTCCAAGGCTCCCCTTTCTCCAAGCCTGCTCCTCTCCCCTCTTTCCTCCAGGTCTCTTCTGCTCCTCCACCTCCTCCCAGGAGCCAGCAGCACTCTGGTTTCTACCTTAAAATGTTGCTTTTCGGCCAGATGTGGTGGCTCACACCTGTAATCCCAGCACTTTGGGAGGCCAAGACGGGCAGATCACCTGAGGTCAGGAGTTCGAGACCTGCCTGGCCAACATGGTGAAACCCTGTCTGTACTAAAAAATACAAAAATTAGCCAGGCATGGTGGCAGGCACCTTAATCCCAGCTACTTGGGAGGCAGAGGCAGGAAAATCCTTTGAACCCGGGAGGTGGAGGATGCAGGGAGCCAAGATCAAGCCGTTGCACTCAAACCTGGGGGACAAGAGTGAGACTTCTCTAAAAAAAAAAAAGGAAAAAAAAAGTTGCTTTTCAAGAGAAGCTCAGTCTCTTCTGGGTCTGTCAGGGCCCCAACAAACAGACTTCATGGTCTACCTGGAATATGGTCCCCAAAGTGGCATGAAAATGATGAAGTCATGTTTTAAATGAATGAGGGAAGTTTACAGCTTAAAGGGGAATCTTTCTGAAAGCAAATGACTGCTCCCAGTGTCCTTCACCGCTCAAGTCCTAGCCTGACACCTCCTAGCTCCTGGGGCCCCTAATTTCCTCCAAACACCGTGGAGCAAACCTTGGCGATTCCCATTTCTTTTGGCATCCTGTTAGATCAAGTTTCTCCCATTTTCTGAATACTGGCTGGAAATGTACTTCTTCAGCTGCTCCAATAAAAAAGTGCCGGAAGAGGTGACCTTTCAAGCACTCACACGTGCTTCCCCACCTTAGGCCTAAAGTTGATCCTTAAGTTCCTATGGGAAGCTTATCCAGGAGAAAATCCACAAGGGTGGGTAATAATAAAGACAGCCATCTCAGCCAGGCATGGTGGCTCATGCCTGTAATCCCAGCACTTTAGCAGGCTGAGGCAGATGGATCACCTGAGGTCAGGAGTTCGAGACCAGCCTGACCAACATGGCGAAACCACATCTCTACTAAAAATACAAAAATTATCAGGCCATGGTGGCACGCACCTGTAGTCCCAGCTACTTGGAAGGCTGAAGCATGAGAATCACTTAAGCCTGGGAGGCAGAGGTTGCAGTGAGCCAAGATCATGCCACTGCACTCCAGCCTGGGTGACAGAGCATGATACCCTCTCAAAAAAAAAAAAAAAAAAAAAAAAAACAGAAAAAGAAAAAAGAGAAAAACAGCTATGTCTCAGATACTTATACTGTTCTTCATCCCTTGTACATAGATATTATTTTCCTCCATTTTATGGATAAGGGAAACTGAGGCTCAGAGATACGGAGTGTTTTGCCCAAAGCCCCAAAGCCACTAAGTAAAACCCTTGGATTTGACCCCAGTCTGTCTGACTCCAAAGCCTATACATGTTTTCTCTCTCCTGGAGTTAAATATTTTGAGAATAAATGTTGCATGTCCTTCCAAAGAGACTTTAACAGTTGATTTTCATGTAACATGATTTTTTTTTAATTTTAGAAAGGATAAAAATTCTACATTATTTTAGGGTGCATTGGGTGCATTATGAGTCAAAAAAAACGCATACTAATGTTCTGTGTATTTTTTTAAAATAAGTCATTTCAAAAGGATTATAACTTCCCCCTAACAAAAAACAAAAATTTCTTTACTCCGCATTGATATCATATGGCAGAAATGAAGCAGATCAGTGACGTTTTTACAGTGTCATCCACAAGACATCAGTATTTGAGATGGAGCTTACGGAAGGGTTTCTATGCACAAGTCTGTCTGCCCACACTATGTGTGATGGGCAGCGTGAACCCTGAGCATCTTGGAAATGTTCCCCTCATGGCAAGAAGGAGGCGAGCTGCAGAGAATCAATGCTTCAGGGGCCAAGTGTGACTTCAGTACTTCATAAAACATGATGATGTTACAGTTTCAGAGGGCTGCAGGTTAAGCATCTCATGAATAAGGAACACGTTCAACATTGTTTCAGAATGCTACCTGCAAACATTTGAGAACACAGCCATTTTAGAGAAAAGCTGGGCTAAGACAGAATGGCTCAGGCTGGGCACGGTGGCTCACGCCTGTAATCCCAGCACTTTGGGAGGCCAAGGTTGGTGGATCACGAGGTCAGGAGATCGAGACCATCCTGGCTAACATGGTGAAACCCCGTCTCTACTGAAAATACAAAAAGTTAACCGGGTGTGGTGGCGGGCGCCTGTAGTCCCAGCTACTCAGGAGGCTGAGGCAGGAGAATGGCATAAATCCGGGAGGCAGAGCTTGCAGTGAGCCGAGATTGCACCATGGCACTCCAGCCTGGGCGACAGAGCGAGACTCCATCTCAAAAAAAAAAAAAAAAAAGAAAAGAAAAAACACTTAGCATGGGTTATGATTTCTTCAAAAAATGCCTCTCTCTGTCTGATGAAGCACGTGTTATGGATGGTTTCAGGAAGATGCGTGAGGCAGTGACCTAATTTTTTTCCTCTAGCATCAGGGACAATAAATAACATCTTCTCAGGGAATGCAAATGGGGAAACACCGTCAGCAGCTATTATATGAACTTACAAAGTAGAAGTGGATGCCACATTGAACAAGCAAGCATCTTGCTTCTCCAACTTCAAAGTGAGTTGACAAAAATCTCCTAGTGATGGAGAACAATTTATTCCTTCCCACAACAAACATTGAATTACCAAATTAATCCCATATCATTGTACTGCATGATGGAAAATCACCATCATCTTCTAAATGTAGAAAGACAATGAATCTGAAAATATCTTGTGGATTTTTCCCACAGACTCGATGTCCAGGATTCCACTGGCTATGATAAAGCACGAACCTGTAGGCAAAGGCAGCCTTGATCAACTGCAGAGGAAGCACCCACCCTTCATGGCCTGACCCAAAAGCTCTGATAAGGTTTAAAGGGCAGGCTCTGAGGTCAGACCATCTAGGTCCAAGCTTGCCTGTGTGATCTTGGGCAAAGTTTTTAAACCATATGTGTATATCCCCAGTTTCCTTGATTGTAAAATGAAAATAAGAGTGCCCTACCTACCTCATAGGCTTGTGGTGAGAATTAAATCAAGCAATCTATATAAAGTGCTTAGAACAGTGTGGAGTAAACACTCAGTAAGTGACAGATGCATGAGCGTTTGCTCCTCCATCAGTGCATTTGTATTGGCTAGAACTCTTGTCAGTGATCTGCATCTGATTCAAACTTAGCTCACATAACTGAAAGGTCCAGGGGAGTACTGGCCACTGGTACAGCTTGATTCGGGGGCTCCAATGACACCGTCAGGCCATGGTCTCTCTCTCCACCTCTTACCTCTTCTTTCTCTAGTGTGGCTCCATTCTCAGACAAGCTGTCCCCTCCTGGTGGCAAGATGGCGGCACCAATGTCAGCCTATATCCTCCCAGGTTCAAATCCAGCAGGAAAGAACACGACAGAGGTTGCAGTACGTCCTGCACAAATTCGAGTATGAATCACTGCCCGTGATTTCCCTCATTACTGACTAGGTTGAGCATGTTTTTTATGTTTATTGGCATTTATAGTAATAAAGAATGTTAACCTCATCATTTTATTCACGTTTTATTCACGTTCATTGTGCACAAAATGAGAAGAAGGCGTAATTTCTCCCAAGTAAACTGGTTTCCTGTGAGGGGTGTTCCAGAGTCTGCCAAAATAAGAGGTGCCTCCTCTTTTGGCACAAGCCCCTCACCCCTGTGATCTGTCACTCAGCTATGGCATTCTGTTAAAATGGTAATTCCAATGTGACCTCAGCCCCTCCTGAAGCCGAGGCAACACTCCAGCCTTTTCATTTCACATACTCTTCACCCCTCAAGTCCTAACCCCACACCTTCCTAGCTCCTGGGGACCCTAGCTTCCTCCAAACACCATGGGGCAAACCTTGGCTGTTCCCATTTCTTTTGGCATCATGTTAGATGAAGTTTCTTCCCTTTTCTAAATCCTTGGTGGAAATGTGCTTCTTCAGCTGCCCCTATCCACAGCCCTCAATAAAAAAGCACAGGAAGAAGTAACTTGTCAAGCACTCACACACTTTCTGAGCACAGTGGTTCCAGGGAGTCTGCTGCCTAATGCCCCTGAGGAGCTGGAGCCGACAATTCTGCCCATCAACAGGTTTGGTGCTTCTTGCTCAGCTCCCAAGCTGGTTTTCGCCTAGGTAAGGCCTGTTTTCTTTAAGGACTTGAATCAAATGTCACCTGAGCCTCCTAAACTGGGGTTAGTCATTCCCACCTCTCTACTCCCGGGCCAGCTGGCTCATGCCCTTAACAGTGCTGAGTAGAGATGGTCAGTTTCCTACCCACACTTTCCCCCATTAGACTCAGGGCTCCTGGAGGGTCCTTGAGTGCCTACACCTAGCCCAGCACCCAACACAGAGTGCAAGCCAAGCACTTGTTGGCTGACTGAGTGCCCTCTTGAATGATGGGATATTCGTCTACAACTGAGAGCCCCATCCTCCTCAGGACACCACTACAGCACTTCCCAGGGTGTGTTACACATCCTCATGGCTCAATAAGGAGCAAGAAGACATGATTGGGCTTTCTTTCTCTTCTTCCTCTTTTACCATATTCTGTACCACCAACCATGGACAAAAATAGTAGAAGACCACTAGCATGGTGATTGTATATTTGAGAGGAAATACACAACTTGACAAACACTTATCATGGGCTTCCAACATGCAAAGTGCCGAAGGGGAAAGTGGGTGAAAGTGTGGCGCGTGTATCAGTCAGGTTGGGCTAGGCTTTGCTGTGATAACAAATAATCCCTAAATCCCAGTAGGTTTTTTTATTTGTTTGTTTGTTTGTTTTTGAGACAGGTTCTGTCTCTGTCACCCAGGCTACAGTGCCATAGCACAATCACAGCTCACTTCAGCCTCAGCCTCCCAGACTCAAGCAATCCTCCCACCTCAGCCTCCTGAGTAGTTGGGACTATAAATGTGCTCCACCATGCCTAGCTAATTTTTAAAAAACATTTTCTTGTAGAGACGGGGTCTTGCTACGTTGCCCAAGCTGGTCTCAAACTCCTGGGCTCAAACAATCCTCCTACTTCAGCATCCCAAAGAACTGGGATTACAAGCATGAGCCACCACACCCAGCCCTCAGTAGCTTTTAACAACAAAAGTTTATTTCTTATATAGAATACATGTCTCCTGTGGTTTGATAGGGGTACCCAGGCTGATAGAGCAGCAATCATCTCCAGTGTGATTGGTCAGCATCCCAGATGGGATAAGAACAATTAAATGACACATGTCACTTTCACTCCACAACTCATGGGCCAGAACTAGGCCCCCCCAAACATAAGAGGTCCAGAAAGTACAATCTTTCCATGTATAGGAAGAGGGCAGAACTGGAAATGCTTAATGAGCATCACTCAAGAGATCCATGGTGGGTAAGTTCTGGCCTTGTCTTTGATGGAGGGGGAAATAAAATGTAGAGGGGGAATAGAAAGGACACCACTCATATGGAGGCAGGCAGAAAGGTGGCGAGGGAGGTTGTGGGTGGAATAAACAGGCTTCAGGGTCACCTGAATGTGTCACTCAATCTGCTTTACTAGAGCTGATTTGCTGCGTGTGTATTTTGTATCAGGTAAGCTCCTGTGCTGAGCTCTAGGATCATTTCATTAGGTCGCTTAGGAAGTTAGCAACAGTCAAAGATAGGTGACATCAGAAGGCTCCAGGGAAGCTCACAGAACTGGAGGGAAAATGGAAGAATCAGGCCTCCCACTGGAAATCAGATCAGCTCCCAACAGCAGGACCAAACCACAGCCTCTTCAGCTCCAATTGTTTCCTTTCTTCATGTCATGCAGGTCTCAGATTCCCAGCAGAGAGGCTGCTGGCATGGCTTGGGTTTTGTGCAGCCTTGGCAAAGAAGGGAAGGCCAGGGCTCCTCAACTGGCAACCCCACTAAGACTGAATGTGGTAGGAACTTCACCAGAGGGAAGGCAAGGAGCTGCTTCTGGAAGAAGGGGAGTGACTGATGACTGCTTAGACAAAAAAAGATGTTCACAAAAGCACTTTAGGTCCAAATGGATTCTCACAACCATAACATGAGTATCACTATTTCCAAGGTTTCAGACAAAGAGGCTGAGAGCCTCAAAGCCTAAGTAATGTCCCAATATCACGGTTTGTGTTTTAGTCTGTTTAGGCTGCTGTAACAAAATACTATAAAGTGGGTGACTTATAAACAACAGAAATTTATTTCAGATAGTTCTGGAGGCTGGGAAGTCCACGATCAAGACTCTAGCAAATTCAGTGAATAGTGAATGCCTGCTTTCTGGTTCATAGATGGTGTCTTCTCACTGTGTCCTCATTGACAGAAGAAGCTAACTAGCTCTCTGTGACCTCTTTTTTTGTTTGCCTGTTTGTTTGTTTATTTGTTTGTTTGAGATAGGGTCTTGCTTTATTACCCAGGCTGGAGTGCAGTGGTGTGATCATGGCTCACTGCAGCCTCAATCTCCAGGGCTCAAATGATCCTGCTGCTTCAGCCTCCCAAGTAGCTGGGATTATGAGCATGTGCCACCATACCTGGTTAATTTTTAAACTTTTTTTGTAGAGGCAAGGTTTTGCCATGTTGCCTAGGCTGGGCTTGAACTCCTGGGCTCAAGCAATCCTCTTGCCTTGGCCTCCCAAAGTGTTAGGATTATAGGCATGAGCCACCATGCCTGGCCTATTCCCATTTTTGTCATTGGCATTAAAAAGTGAAGAAGGAATTTGAAATTGCTACTAATCATGTGACCACCATATTTGTAGAACACTTAATAGTGTTCTCCTTGGTCCTCCTCAAACAGTATGAGGTAGGCAGACCCTCTATCACTCATCCTGTTTGTTGGATTAAGACATGATAAAGTTGGGCCCAGCATCCCATGGTCTTGTTTTTCCACTGGAGGTGACGACCTGGCCGGAGCTGCCCTTTCAGGTGTGGGACTGTTTGCTGGTCTGCAGCATGAGGCTGATTGGCTGTGGTCAGCTTGAAGCTGGAGGGAACGGTTGTGGTTGGAATTGACCAGGCACATGACCTGTGTGGGGACCCAGAGCCTTTGAAGAAAGAGCTTGGTCCCTCAGCCTCGCCTGGTAGTTTTCGGGAAGAGATCTCTATTCTTGTGTCTGGGCCTTAATGGAAGTGTGTCTAGGTGTTACTTAATGGTGTTAAAAGAACTGGGAAGTGCAACTGCAGGGAAGGAAACTCACCTCCCTGCCACATCTGACTTAGGAGGCCCCTAACAAATGTTTATGTTGTAAAATGGAAATGTGAACATACATTTTCACGGTTTTGGACATACATGAAGAAGTGAGTTAAAAGAACAGAGGGGCCTTGAGTATTGAAGCTTCTCTGCCACTCACCTTCAGCTTCCTGCTTAGATGTGGTTGGTGACCCCTGCTTCCTCAAAGCTTGGAGGCAGTGTAGTGTGGGGTTGACCAGATGTCTCTGGCATCCACTGTCTGGATTTAAATCCCAGTACTACTTGTGCTGTTCTGTGACTCTAGGTGAGTTATCTAGCTCTCTGAGTCTGTTTTCCTGTTAGTAAAAGGTGCCCTCCTTGTGGGCATGAGGATTAAGTGTGCTAATACACAGACAGCAGCTATAACAGTGCTTGGCATATAAGAGATATTTAAAGACATTTCAATAAATGGTAAATTGGAGAGACTGAGTGACTTGTCTAAAGGTATGCAGCTAGGGAGTGAGGGAGTCAGAATCCAGACTTAGATTGGAATCCAGATTCTGAATGAGTCTTCTTCCTGCCCTGCTACCTCTCACAGGGGATTTAGTGGTTCTGGTAGAAATGAGGTTGGTGTTTCACTTCACTTCCCATTGAAACTCTCCCAGGGTTCATTGTCTTATCTTCAATGGATGTCTTACCTCCTTGAGGAGAAAGCATAATCCTTGCCCCAAATTTTTCCCTTAAACTCAACTGGTCTTGCAGTCGTGAGGCCTGCCCTGACCCTTCAAAGGGTGCTCTGTAAGCTTGAGAACAATACAGAGCGTAGCATTTTTATATAGCATATGCTCACTTACATAGAGGAGAATAATTCCTCCACAGAGGGTCCTCTAGCTTGTCCCTGATGCAAACTGATTTGAACAATCAGAAGATGCCCATTCTCAAGTAATAGGGAGGTGGTGTAGGCTTCAGGTATGGTATGATCAGGGTGCTATCTGTGGCTCTGGGCTCAGCCCTCCTGCACACATTGACTCCGCACTTCAGTCTGACTCTCCATTGTGGCATATGGCAGTCTGCAGCAAATAGATTTGTATATTTGTTACATCTAGGGAGAGAGAGAGTACTGCACACTCAGTACCTTCATTCCAGTGGGGCAGCTTAGGCCACACACCCAACCTTACCCAATACCAGTTGCTGGGCCAACACTATGCTGATTGGCTCAAGGGAATTGGGAATCCCTCAAGCCAGTCAGGTCCATTGCTAGGGTAGGGGTGGGCTCAGGTGCAGAGGGACACAGGGGCTTCTCAGGGGAAGGATGGAAACCAGAAAATGGATTCTGTTGGGATGGAGGAGGGAGGAGTGGATGCTGGATCCTCAACCAAAACTGCCCACTGTGGCACATGAGGACAGGAAGGACAGGGTGATGTCTCTGCCTAGGAATCCAGGAAAAAAGATCTTATAAAAATGTCATTTAAGTCAAAACTTTAATAAAAATTACAAGGTCACCACATTTAATTCAGGAGAAAAGTGCCAGAGTGGTTGCCATTTATTTATTTATTTGAGACAGGGTCTCTCTCTGTTGCCCAGGCTGGAGTGCAGTGGCGCAATCATACCTAACCATAACCTTGAACTCCTGGGCTCAAACAATCCTCCCACCTCAGCCTCCTGAGTAGCTAGGACTACAGGTGTGCAGCCATGCCCAGCTAATTTTTTAATTTTTATAGAGACAGGGTCTCCCTATGTTGCCCAGGCTGTTCTTGAACTCCTGGGCTCAAGCAATCCTCCCCCCTTGGTCTCCCAAAGTGCTAGGATTACAGGCATGAGCCAACATGCCCAGCCCCAATTTATTTATTGAGCAGTCATTGAACAAGAAGTTTTTCGTACATGGTATCATTTGACAATTTAATCCTCACGACAATCTTTCAAAGTTGGAATTTCATCCCTATCTTATAGATGAGGAAACAAGGCTCTGAGAGGTCTTGTGACTTGCTGAAGGTCACACAGCTAAGAAGGACAGAGTGGAAAATCAAACTTGAGTTTCTGTGCAGCAAAAAGCCCCGGAACAAAGTTTTGCTTGTTATAATTAAGGAATTATAAACAGGAACTGTGAGTTTATTTGCTGCAGGTCTCAGACCATTGTCAGAAAGCAGGAAATAGATGTCCTTCCACCTCTGGGTCCATGAATAAACATGAAAAAAAATGTTGCAAAATGGGACCAGGAGACTTGGGGGATTAGGAAGCCACCACGCATGCCTCTGCCTAAAAGCCCAGAGTCCTACCTAGAGTTGAGGCAAGAAGCTAGGATCCCCTTCCCACTGCCCGGTGGGGAGATGCTAATAATTGGACATAGCTGGGGGAGTAATTTAAATGGTTGTTTTATGCTAACAAGGTCTTTGAAAAGGAGAGATCCTTTGGTCCCTTGTCCTTCATCTAGATGGCATCTATAGCATTAAAACGGACTTCTGTGCTAAAATGACTTTTTCTTGTGAAGGGCACTCAGCGGCACAGGTTATCATACTGATGTTGGTGTGGAAGCTTGGCCAATGAGACTCATGGGATCCTAGCCATCTGGTGGAGGGGGCCTGGGGGTTCTTAACTTAGAAAGTGGTTCTGTGCTTGTTCCCACTGGCTGCTGGAGTCAGCATCTGCAACCTTCCCCCTGCAGTGGATGTTGGGGTATGATAGTTTCCTATGCTGCCGTAACACATTACCAGAAACCCAGCGGCTTAAAACAACGTGAATGGCCGGGCACAGTGGCTCATGCCTGTAATCCCAGCACTTTGGGAGGCCGAGGCAGGTGGATCACCTGAGGTCAGGAGTGTGAGACCAACCTGACCAATATGGTGAAACCCCGTCTCTACTAAAAATACAAAAATTATCTGGGCATGGTGGCGGGCACCTGTAGTCCCAGGTACTTGGGAGGCTGAGACAGAATTGCTTGAACCCAGGAGGTGGAGGTTCCAGTGAGCCAAGATCGTACCACTGCACTCCAGTCTGGGTGACAGAGCGAGACTCCATCTCAAAACAAACAAACAAACAAAACCAATATGAACTGATTCTCCTGCAGTGCTGGAGGTCAAAAGTCCAAAATGTGCCTTACAGGGCTGAAGTCAAGGTGTTATCCAGGCTGTGTTCCTTCTGGAGGCTGTGGGAGAATCAATTTCCTTGTCTTTCCAGCCTCTAGAGGCTGTCTGCACTTGGCTAGTGGCTCCTTCCTCCATCTTCAAAGCACATTACTCCAGCCCCTGCTTGCATGGTCACATCTCCTGTCTGCCTGGGAGATGTGACAATGTCACATCTCCTCTTGCCTCCCTTTTATAAGGACCCTCGTGCTTATATGGGGCCCACCTGGATGAGCCAGGACAATCTCCCAATTTCAAGATCCTTAACTGAATCCCATCTGCAAAGTCTCTTTTGCCATGTAACATACATATCCACAAGTCTGAGGGATTAGACCACTGACAGCTTTAGGGGGAGCATTATTCTGCCTGCCACATGAGGAATAATACCAAAGGCATCACCTTATGACGCCATTGTCGCCCACCACTAAGGACTTGGAAAGGCACTGTCTCTAATGGATCAGCTTAAAATGGAAACTGATAGGGGAATGTTCTTAACATTGTTGTTCTCATCTGAGACTTGAGATTTTAGTCTGATAATCTTTAACACAGAGTTTTCAGGCTGTATACACATACACACCTAAGTATACACGTAACTAGGAAAATGAGGAAATTAGCTGGATGATTCCGTTTCTTAAAACATATTAGGCCTGATATTGCAAATAAATGACCTCCTCCTCACCCACCAGGTAGTTTAAACCTGAATGGCCACTTTCCTTTCCAAGCACAGGCTCCAGGTGTGTCATTGTGCTGCCTCTTCCCACCTGGCAACTGTAGAAGCTTGGTCACAGGTGACCAGCTGTGGTCACCACAAAGCCACAGCCACCATGCTGCAAGTGGACAGAGAATTGATGAACCAGGGCATCTGGGAGGTAGGAAGGCCAGGGTAGGGGAAGCTTGGGACATCTCCAGTGGGGTGGAGTTTCCCAAACTTCGAGCATTAACAAATCATTAACAATTCGTCCGTCCCGTATTGGTGACTTACTATACTATAATTTACTTAATATTTTTCTTTAAACTGACTAAATTTTAGTGAAATAAATTGTTCTATCTCATATAAGTTCCATAAATGAAAGAAATAGTATCACTTATAGAGAGAATATAATAAAACAAATAATTATTAAAATAAAATGATGTCCTTGAACCACCTAATATATTCTCATCTGGTGTACACATTAGAACTTTTCTAACTTTAATATGCATGCAGATCGCCTGAGGGGTCTTGTGAAAACAGTTCTAATTCACTCTCATCTCGGTGGAGTCAAGAATTCTGCATTTTTAAGCAATAATAGTAACTTGAAGTTCAGCATACTGAACAACAGACTCAAGGGACCTGGGGCCTGTTCATTCCACCCCCAGCATCCCCCCAACACCTCTCTACCCACTTCCATATTCTATTCCCCTTTTACATTTTATTCCCCCCTCCATCAAAGACAAAGCCAGAACTTCATGGATCTCATGAGTGCTTCTCACCAATTATTTCAACGCCTCCACCTCCCAACACATGAAAAGAATGTTCTTTCTGGATCCCTTATAGTTGCGGGCCTAGTTCTGATCCATGAGCTGTGAGTGAAAGTGACATGCATCATTTAATTGCCAGTACAGGAGCCCCTAGAGTTCTTATGCCCTCTGAGATGCTGACTGACCACTTTGGAGCTGGTGACTGCTTTGTCACCTTGGGTATCATTGTCAACCCCCAACGGGCATGGAGTCTGAGTAGGAAACAAACCTTTGTTGTTAAAATTCACTGGGACTTAAGGACTATTTGTTACTGCAGCAAAACCTAGCCTAACCTGTTTTACCCACTTTTCCCTTCAGCACTTTGCATGTTGGAAGGTCAAGATAAGTGTTTGCTAAATTGTCTGTTTTCCTCCCCAAATCCACAACCACCATGCTGGCGTTCTTATTCTATTTTTGGCCATGTTCAATGGCACAAAATGTGGTAAAAGAAGAAGAGAAAGAAAGCCCAATCATGTGTCCTGGCTTCTTACCGAGCTGCATCTCAATTACTAAGTGGGACCCACATAGTAATTATTCTAACCCTCTCTGAAGGCTTACACTTTCCATGCTAGCCCTGGCTCCCAGTCATCTTCTACTCTGAAGTTTCATTCTGAAGGGATTGAACAAGCCTGCCGAGGGTGAGTGAAGTTTCATCCACCCTTCGATGGAGCAAATATTTCCCAGTAGACCTGCTTGACTGATGTGGACAGGTTTCCATCAGGATAGGCAGCAGTTTCTTACACATGTGATAATATCACCTCTTGATAGATCACAAATGCAGAAGCAGGCTGGCATGGAACACATGACTATGGGGGAAGGACCCAAGTGCAGTGGAGCATGAAAACCTCTCAAAAAAGTTCTCAAAAAATGTCAAGAAGAAACCATCTCCCTTTGTGACAGCACACTGTTATCTCTGCGTTGGCTCTCTTCTCAGATCTGCTCTCCCCAAGTGGCAACCAAGATGACCACAAGCAGAGAGGTCCAGGCTTACAGGCCAGCAGCTCAGCAACCCCTGGTAAAAGGAAGAGCCCTGCTTTCCAACAATTCTATCAAAAGTCACAGAATGGAATTTCATTGGCCTGGATTCAGTCACATGCCCATCTCTGAACCAATCACTGTGACCAGGGAAATGCAAATGCTCTGATTTGCCAGGTCTGGGACATATGCCCACCACTAGAGTGGGAGATGGGAGTGGTCTCAGTCACAGCACGTGGACTGAGAGTTGGGGAAATGTGGTTCTTCCCAGGAAAATCAGGGTGCTGTTACCAAAAACGGGGTTAGCAGACTGGGGAAATCAATTCAGACAAACCAAACTGATGGGAGGTTTAATAAAAGCCTTAATTCCATTAGATGGATTTATCATAAGTGATGTGAGAAGTCTAAAGACCAGAATCAGTTGTCTGTACAGGTATATAGATCCACTCAAAAGCCCAAATTGAACAGGAGTGCAAAGTAGAAGGAGTGTGGGCAACAGCCCTAACATTCAATGATGCCCATCATAAACAAATTCTTAGGTCATCTTCAGTGTTACATCTGTAAATACAGAAGATTTCTCAATTAGCACAAAATTAAAGCAAAGGAAAATGCATGGTTTTTAAGTACCATTTACATCAAGTTAGAATAGCTGAATGAATTGCTGTGGTAAGCAGAGAAATGACCACCTCCTTCCCCTACCCCTACAAAAAACATCCCTGTCTTAATCCCCAGAACCTGTGATTCTGTGACCTTATATGGCAAAAGGGAATTAAGGTGACTAATCAGTGGATATTAAAATAGAGTATCCTGTGTTATCCAGGTGGATCCACTGCAACCACAAGAGCCAGGGCAGAAGAGGAGGTTAGAGAGATGCTGTGTAAGAAGGACTTGACCTGCCCAGTCTGGCTTTGAAGATGGAGGATGGGGCTGTGAGCCAAGGAATGCAGGTGGCCTCTAGAAGCTGGAAAAGGCAAGGAAACATTCTCCCAGAGGGCCTGAAGAAGGAGCTCAACCCTGCCAATACCTTGATTTTAGCCTAGTGAGACTCACATAGAATTTCTAACCACAGAAATGTAGAATAATTTGTGTTGTTTTAAATCATCAATTGAGGTAATTTCTTTCAGCGGCCATAGGAAACTAATAAAATCACCCATTTCCAGTTAAAAATGTAATTAAGAAAAAAAACTAATAGGGCTCCTTTGTAGCCAAGGATTTATTTCATCACTGTGGCCAAGGAGATGAAGTGCCTGGGACACATGCCCATCCCTTGAGTTGGAGATAGGAGTGACCTCAGTCAAACCTCATGGACTGAGAGTTGAGAGTAGGTCACCCCAAGAAAATCAGGGTGCTACTACCAAAAAGGGGGAAATGCTTGATAGAGAGACAAAACTGGCCAAGTGCAGTGGCTCCTGCTGTAATCCCAGCACTTTGGGATTACAGGAGGATTACCTGAGGCCAAGAGTTTGAGACTAGCCTGGGCAACAGAGCAAGACCTTATCTCTACCAAAAAAAAAAAAAAAAAAAAATTAATTAGCCAGGCCAGGCACAGTGGCTCATGCCTGCAATCCCAGTACTTTGGGAGGCTGAGGTCAGTGGATCACAAGGCCAAGAGATTAAGACCATCCTGGCCAACATGGTGAAACCCCATCTCTACTAAAAATACAAAAATTAGCACGGCGTGGTGGCGCACGACTGTAGCCCCAGCTACTTGGGAGGCTGAGGCAGGAGAATCTCTTGAACCCGAGAGGCAGAGATTGCAGTGAGCTGAGATCATGCCACTGCACTCCAGCCTGGGGATAGAGCAAGACTCCGTCTCAAAAAAAAAAAAAAAAAAAAAAAAAAAAAAAAAATTAGCCAGGCATGGTGGCATGCACCCACCTACTTGGGAGGCTGAGGCAGAAGGATCACTTGAGCCCAGGAGTTTGAGGCTGCAGTGGGCTATGATGGCATCATTGCACTAAGCAACAGAGCTAGACCTTGTCTCTAAAGAAAAAAGAATAGGAGAGAGAGAGAGAGAGACTGAGACAGACACAAACAAAAGCAACTTTGGGCTTCTCCAGCTGCCAACCTCCTCCCATCCCTCTAATCTCAGCAATTCTAAATCACATTCTTTGCCAAGCTCAACAGGAAGATGAAATGCCTACAATGCAATATCATTTTAATGCAAAGTGACACTGACAATATTCCCAAAGATGCAAGAAGTCATGAATTTGGGAGAGTAATGGTGAAGAGCTGCTCAAATCAAATGCAGGCCCTTTAGCAAATGAGCATCTGGCCAAAGTCAATTAGCTAACAATTAAAACGGAAAAAGGAAATGTCTGTAGGAATACGTTTTTAAATGAAAGTTTCAAAAAATATTTACTTGATTAAAAAAATTATTATTTGAACATCAGAGTTTGATGTCCTCAAATATTTTTGTCAACATCGGTCTTTTTTATGGTAAGACTCTTGATATCAGGTAGTGCTACCTTATGATTTTTTTTAATTTATGTTTTAGAAATATCACACACATATAACACAAAACAATAAACATTTAATTCTTACTTTGTATGTACCACGAGTTAGTGCACAGTTAGAATTATAATGTAAATTTGGTTATGTATAAGGTACATGTTTCCCAACTAAATGGATGTGGAGGGCAACCTCATTGAGGTCTTGATCTGAACTTCCCTGACCCTAATGATACTGAGCAAGAATTCATAAGTTGATTGGCTTCTTGCACTTCCTCTTCTCAGAAATATCTGTTCATGTCTTTTGCCCATTTTTCTACTTTCTTTTCTTATTGATTTGTAGGTGCTCTTTTCATATTAATGACACCAACCCTTTGTTGTATGTATTGCAAATATCTTCTCCAAGTTAGCATTTCAATGTATTGAAGGTAGCTTTTAATTTACCAAGTACCAGTCAAGGGTTTTTTGTTTGTTTGTTTGCATGTTTGTTTTAGATTTGATAAGAAATATTAGCCCCAATTTTAAGAAGATTTAAGTGTTCCCTGTACTAATTATGTTTGATTTTTAAAATCAACACAGTGAAAGATGCTGATACATTTTTACTCTGACTTTTTTTCTGTTAGCATTCCTAATCAGCACCAGGAATTAACTCAATCTTTCTTGGGATGGACCAGATCAGATATACTTAGCAGGGTTAGTATTTTCCTCACATTATATTGTTTGTCTTAAAATTGATGCCTCTGTTAAAGACTTTCAAGTTACTTTAAGTTCCTTTTTGGAAATTAGAAAACAATCTAGTTGCATCACCATTGCACTTAAAAACTATCAGTAAGGTTAGCCATTTTCAAAGATATCTAGAAGAAACCAATCTTGTCATATTCATCTCCAGTATAGAAAATTACATATTATCTTTTTAAAAAGTGGGATCTAATTAAACTAAAGAACGTCTGCACAGCAAAAGCAACTATCAATAGAGTAAAAAAAACAACCAACAGAATGGGAGGAAATATTTGCAAACTATGCATCTGACAAAAGCATATCATCTACAATCTATAAGGAACTTAAATCGACAAGAAATAAAGAATCCCACTAAAAAACGGCAAAGACTATCCACAATAGCAAAGACATGGAATCCACCTAGACGCCCATCAACAGTGGACTGGATAAGGAAAAGGTGGTACATATACCCCATGGAATACTATGCAGCTATAAATAAATGAGATCATGTCCTTTGCAGCAACATGGATGTAGCTGGAGGCCCTAATCCTAAGCAAATTAACTCAGGAACAGAAAACCAAATACCACATGTTCTTATTTATAAGTGGGAGCTAAACCTTGAGTACACATGGACACAAAGGGAACGACAGACACTGGGACCTATTTGAGGGTAAAGGGTGGGAGGAGAATAAAAACTGAAAAACTACCTATCAGGTATTATGTTGATTACCTGGGTGACAAAATTATCAGTACACCAAACCCCCAGGACATTCAATTAATCCATGTAACAAACCTGCACATGTATACCTTGAACCCAAAATAAGAGTTGGAAACAAAAATATGGGCAAAGGACATGAACAGATACTTCTCAAAGGAAGATATACATGCAGCCAGTTAGCATGTGAAAAAGTGCTTAACATCACTAATCATTAGAGAAATGCAAATCAAAACCACAATGAGATACCATCATATACCAGTCAGAATTATTATTATTATTAAAAAATCAGAAAATAACAGATGTTGGCAAAGTTGTGGAGAAAAGAGAACACTTATACACTGCTGGTGGGAATGTAAATCAATTTAGCCACTGTGGAAAGCAATTTGGGAATTTCTCAAAGAACTTAAAATAGAACTACTGTTTGACCCAGCAATCCCATTACTTGCAATATACCCAAAAAAATATAAATCAGTCTACCAAAAAGACACGTGCACTTACATGTTTATCACAGCACTATTCACAATAGCAAAGACATGGAATCAACCTAAATGCCCATTGATGGTGGACTGGATAAAAAGAATGTGGTACATATACACCATGGAATACTATGCAGCTATAAATATATGAGATCATGTCCTTTGCAGCAACATGGATGCAGCTGGAAGCCATTATCTTAAGCAAATTGATGCAGAACAGCAAACCAAATACCACATATTCTCACTTATAAGTGGGAGCTAAATACTGAGTACACATGGACAAAAAGGGAGGAACAATAGACACCGGAGCCCACTTGAGGCTGGAGGGTGAAAGGAGGGTGAGAACTGAAAAACTACCTATCAAGTATTATGCTCACTACCTGGGTGATGAAATCATTTGTACACCAAATCTCAGTGACACATAATTTACTCATAAAAAACCTGCACATCTACTGCTGAATCTAAACTAAAACTCAAAAAAGAAGAAAAAATAAAGAAAATTCTATTCATGCATCGGATTTCATTCACCATCATGCACTAAAAAAAAAAAAAAACTACTGCAGCTAGAAGAAAAATAAAGTTAGATCCCTACCTCACACCATATAAAACCATTAATTCCTGATAGAGTGAAGTTCTACAAGGACAAATAAAACAATATAAAACGAAAATACAAAACATTTTCATAACATTTTTGGGAGGCCTTCCTAGTAAACAAGGATGAAAGTCAGAAACCCCAAAGGAAAGAGAGCAAAAATATCCAACAACATTTTTAATTTTTTAGGGTTCAATCTTCTTATCAGCCCAATTAAAAGTGAATAAGCAATAAGGACACTTACCCAACCAAAAAAAAACAAAGTAGGATAGATGCTGAATGGGTTAACTTGAATTTTATTATGTCATTGAAGACCCAGGCTCTATCTTGGTACTCCGCCATCCTCAGCTCTTTGGCTTTTGGCCTTGGGCTTGTCCCAAGATGCTGTCGCTGCTGCAACCCTCACATCCCTGCTCAACAGTGTCCAGAGGCAAAAGAAGGAAAGGCAGTACCCCTCAGATCCCTTTGGAAAGTGTGAAACTGACTCATAGGCTTTCCTTCTCAGAAACCCCCCATAGGTTTCCCTTCACATCTCTATGGCCACAATTCCATCACAAGACTGTGCCTAAACCTCAGAATGAGTAGGAGTGGGATAACTACCATTGGCTTAAACTAATCAAGATTCACCCTCTGGGACTGGGGAGAAGCCCATCTTCCCACAGCCCTGAAACTCATGGCTGACCCTGTTAGCAAGGAAGAGGGAGGAATGGCTGTTGGGTAAGCAACCCACAGTTCCTATTGTGGATAATATAAAATCCCCTCTTGAACATAAACAAATAATTACTGAGTTTAGGATATGTGCCAAGCAGCCTTCTGAACTTCATAGACCAGTACAAGAGTCAGCAAACTTTTTGCGTACAAGGGCACATGACAAATATTTTAGGCTTTGAGGGTCATTTGTTCTCTTGCACAGCTACTCAACTCTGCTGCCATAGCTCAAAAGCAGTCGTAGACGATACGCAAACAAACAGGCATAGCCATGCTCCAATAAAACTTTCTAAAAATAGGTGGCAGGACAGATTTTCACCCAAGGGCTGTAGTTTGTGAATCCCTCGTCCAGTGGAAAGATAAGCAAGTAAGTCAATATCTCACACTTGCTGCAGACATGTTTTATTTGGCCAACCCAGAGTTTAAGCAAGATATGCACTGTCTGATTGACCACAGTCTCCACTATTCCCTATTGTCTTACACCATGCCACTTTTCACATTTACTGCCATTATTCCTGGGTAAAAGAAAAGGCTGTTTCACTCAGAGTTCTGGGAAACATCCACTTGCTTATTTATGGCATCTCTAGCGGCAGATTTTTGTACATAAACTTCATTAACAAATGCCATGTAATGAAACTGTTCCACTATGACCCTTGGTATACGTTGGTACTACAGTACCAAACATACATACTGTCTTTCTAATAAATTTCATGAAGTTATTTAGGCACTGATTTTCTAAGCATGCAGTGTAGAGGAGCCCTGTACTAATTCTTTCTCTGAAGTGATCAGCAGTGGTCCCTGTTGACAAGCTCAGTGGTAACCCAATCTCTGTATTCTGCTGACAAGCTACACTCCCGTGGTTTATGAGATCAGTGGAATCCCTCCATAGAATTATACCCTTTTATTGAGTCCTGAACCATATATTATCATGAATGCTAAGCCAGTCGAAATGGTCCATCCCCTCTGCCTTAACATTAGACAAAGCCTTGAGCAATTACCCTTCTCTGCAGAGAATGTCCTTTATTTGGCATCAAATCCTGCTGAAACTTTATGTGCCTGGGCCTCCTGCACTTTATCTCCAGGCTCCAAGCCGAGCTGCCCTTAACTGGCATCGGAGTCCGAGGCCATTTGGACAAGGACCTTGAGGAAGTTGAATGTCTCCCTTTCCATAAAGAAAGAATTAGCAAAGAAAATTAAAAGTGTGCGCTCAATTTCAGAGGAAATGATTATACCCCTGACAAAGAGTAGCAGCCTTCAGGGGATGTCAAGCACTTGGAAAGCATGCTTTCCACCCACAAGGAGCCAAGTAGTGTACCTAAGCCTCCCCAGAAAATGATGCTTTCTTAAATGCTTCAAAACAAGGAGACATTCATTCAACAAACATTTCTTCAGCATCTGCTCTGTGTCAGATACTGTGCTAGGCACCACAGATGCAACAGGGAATGGAAAAGCCCAGAATTGACAGTGTGTTGCATGTTAAAGAAGGGCTCACACCTGTAATCCCAGCACTTTGGGAGGCTGAAGCAGGAGGATCACTTGAGGCCAGGTAAGTGACCAGCCTGGACAACATAGTGAGACCCCATCTCTACAAAAAATACAAAAATTAGCTGGGCGAGGTGGCATATGCCTGTAGCCCCAGCTACTCAGGAGGCTGAGGTGGAAGGATCACTTGAGTCTGGGAGGTCAAGGCTGCAGTAAGCCCTGATCATGCCACTGCACCCTAGGCTGGGCAACAGAGTGAGACCCTGTCTCAAAAAAATAAAAATAATTTTTAAAAGGGAGCTGGGAGCAGACAGTAAACAAGTCACCAAGTCTGTGACATGAAAGTAAGTTGTCATAAGTGACATGGAGGGAAAAAACAAAGTGCTGTGTGTGTTAATTTGCTGTTGCTGTTCTCACACATTACCACAAATTGGGTGGCTTAACACAACAGAAATGTATCCTCTCACTGTTCCGGAGGCCAGAAATCTAAAATATAGGTGTCAGTAGCGCCATGCTCCCTCCAAAGCTCCAGGTGGCTGCAGGCACTCCCAGGCTTATGGCTGCACCACTCTATCCTCTGCCTCCAATGCCACACAGCCTTCTCCTCTCCCCAGGTGTTTCTCTTCTGTTTGTCTCTTGTAAGAACATGTGTCATTGCATTTAAAGCCCACTCAAATAATCCAGGATGATCTTATCTCAAGATCCTTAATTGAATTGAATCTACAAAGACCCTTTCTCTCCAATAAGGTCACATTCATAGGTTCCAGCAAGTAGAGATATCTTTTGGCAGCACCATTCAACTCACTACATTGTAGGAGATAATAAATAATGGGGTAGCTTACTTTAGGTGGAGGGGTCAGAAAAGGCCTCTGAGAAGGTAAGACTTAAGACACAACTTGAAGAATGAGGAAGATCACAACATGCAGAGAAGGGGAGAACTGGGCATAGGGAGAAAGCGTTGCTGACCGAGGGCACAGTCTGTGCAAAGGCCCCGAAACCAGCTGAGTTTACAAAAACTGAAAAAAAGGCCAGTGTGGCAAGAGCAGAGCGAATAAAATGGCCTGAGATGTGCTGGGAACGTGAGCAGAGGCCTGTCCTGAAAGCTTTGGAAGCCACAGTAAGAAGCTGGCATTTTGCAGCCAGGAGCAGTGCCTCATGCTGAAATCCTAGCACCTTGGGAGGCCAAGGTGGGCGGATTGCTTGAGGCCAGGAGTTCAAGACCAGCCTGAGCAACACAGCGAGACCTTGTCTCTACAGAAAATATTTTTTTAGCATTTTTTTAATTTTTTTTTAAATACAAGCAGCTGGCATTTTACCTCAAGTGCAAGGGAAAGGCACTGAGGGTTTGAAGCATAAAAATAACATGAGGAAATTCACATTTCATCACGAAGGTTTTTCAAATAGCATAGCTAGCCTTCATTTAAACCAGAAATTATTGCTTTTACTGTAGCTTTAGCAATAACAAATGCATAGAATCATTTACCCTGTTATATGCATGAATTCATTTAATAAAATGTATATATAGTGCTCATTTTGGCACCACATATACTAAAATTGGAACAATACAGAGAAAATTAGCATGACCCCTGTGCAAGGATGACACAAAAATTCATGAAGCATGACATTAAAAAAATATATATATACAATAACCCAAATACAAGCTAGGGCACCATGTGGTCCAGAGTATACCTGTGTTGTGGACTGAATTATGTCTGCCCAACAAAAAATCCTGAATTGTAGTCCTAGCCCCAGAATCTCAGGTGTGACCTTATTTGAGAATAGGGTTATTCCAAATGTAACTAACTCAGATGAAGTCATACCAGAGTAGGGTGGGCCCCTAACCCAATATGTCTGGTGTGAGAAATTTGGACACAAGCATGCATACAGAGAGCACTCCACATGAACATGAAGATGGCCATCTACACACCAAGGAGAGAGCCCTGGAACAGAGCCTGCCCTCACAGCCCTCAGAAGGAAACAGCCTCACGGATGCTTTGACCTTCAACTTCCAGCCTCCAGAACTGTAAGACAATAAATTTCTGTTGTTTAAGGCATCCAGTCTGTGGCACTTTGTTATGGCAGTCCTAGCAGACTAACACAGTCTGATAACACTTTAGGAAGCGAGGTCTTCCTAAATGTGAGCAATTCCAGTCTTTACCAGCACCCCTGCTAGAACACCGAAGGGGGTCTAATTCACAGCCCATACCAACACCTAATCAAGCCATCTTCTCCACTCTTCTCATTCTCCACTTCTCTTCCCACCCACAGAGCCCCCAGCAGCCTCTTTCCTCATGCCTGGCCTTGACTAACTCCCCACCAAAACTGCTCCCAAAATCCTACAATAAGGTTTTTGATTCCTTCATGCCCCACGCCCACTTCCTGGACCTGTTCTGTTTTTCTCTCCAGTGGTTCTTTACTCTCAAGTACTCATCACCATCCCCTCTCCCCAAGGATTACTCCATCAGATACATGGCCTGGGAGCCCTGCCGGGTCCCTTAGCAGACAGAGAGAGACAGAGCCTAAGAAGAGAGACAGAGAGAGAGAATATTGAGGCAGGAGTAAAAACACAATTTTATATCTTATACATTTCTTTTCACATGCAAACTTTTAATGATAACCTCCATGAGAACAGAAACTACATCTTGTACATTTTGCACCCCCTGTAATGTGGAGCAGACCACTTTGCATGAAGGTGACACAGATTGATTTTTAAAATCTTGCCTGAGACCCTGAATCCTTGCTCTATGATCAGGCATTCTTCCTACACCATCTATGAAGTTACTGAGCTGAAACCGTCTCGTCTAGTCTTAATTAAGCTTTGGCGACATCTGTCATGAGTGACTGGTGACATTTTTCCATCCACTCATCACTCCTAAAAATGGACTCACTCCTGCTAACGAGGAATCAACAACCTAAGGCGGCCAGGAGCATAGGTGAGGGAGGGTGCAGGAGGCCTCACAGACATATGCAGGGAAGGGGAGGAGTAGCTGCCACATTGGGACCCTGCTCCCAAATGCAACTAGCATAGACAGCAAAATCCCCTTCTACCAGAAACATGTTTTGTCGATCAGACACAATCCTAAAAAGGATGGAGTAAAGCAGAAAGGGACAGTGTCTCCAGGGGAAGCCAGGGAAGGCCAAGATGCTATGTACTTCATTATGGCCTGCAGGATCCTGAGGGAAGGAACTATACATAATTCAACTTTGTACTTCCTGTCTCCCCTCCAATCTCTACCTCCAGGCTCCTAGCCTAGGACCTAGCACTCTTTGAAACTGACTGGGTAGTTGGTTGGTTTGTTGGTTGGATGGTTGGTTGGTTGGATGGATGAATGAGCAACCAAAATCTCCATTCCCTTCCTGAGTACTATTCTTCAGGGATTTTGCAAAGCCCATCATCAACATCTTAAGCCAATCTCTACTGCCTTAAGCCAATCATCAACGTCTCCGACTAAGAAAGGAAGTTAAAGATTTCTTAGAATCCCAGAGTCCCCAAAGATGCTCATGAGCTATCAAAGGGAGCACATCTAAGGGATCACTAGAGAATCTTCTATATTAAAACTTTCTAACTTTATACTTTTTTTTGACCAACTTACTTTTATCCTAATGTTTTACAAACTTCAACTACAAACGTTTTTAAGCACTTACTGTGCATAAGGTCCCATAAAGCAGTCTTTTCACTTTAAAAGTTAAAGTCTTCAAACTTTTAAGCTCATGTTACCTCCTAAAGAATTTTGATACACTAAGTAAGTCCTTGCACATTTTTGGTTGACATCTAAAATTAACATAAATTTAAATAATATGAACGATGCAATTCCCACTGTATTGTAAATATTGACATTTTATAAATAAAACTGTTACATTACTCTTTTAAATGTTTCCAATGGAATCTAAATACCATAGTAATTTGATACTCACCATCAGCTATTTTAAAAAATACAAGAACAAACTCTTCTTTATGAGTCATAAAATTTTACATTTTTCCTTTTTCCTCTTTGAAATCAAATTTATTTGTTCTAATATAATTTTGTGCTAGTAAGTCTTTTATAATCACATTGTTATCCTAATTCTATGCAAGAAAAAAATGTATATAAGTTGAAATTCTAGTTTCCTTTTTACCTCCGGGACCATTAGGATCTGAGTGCTAATAATTTTCCTCTGGATTGAATATCATTGTAACCATTATTTGTATACATTTGATCAAGGCAATGTAAACATATTACAAATTTTGGTATATGAGTAATAAACATATACATACAATCTATTGAAAACATATGTCTTAATCAGGTTGAGGGGGACATGGAGGCTTTGCAGACATCGGTGTTTTGAATGTCACTGTTTGGTACTTCCAGGGAGATAGGGCTGGGTCTTTCTTTGTTAAGGTGAAAGAAAAACGTCTGGAAAGAGTAGGAGGCAAAAACAGAACCAGCCTCCACGACAGGCACATTCTCAGGCAGACGTGTGTTAGCACAGGACACATAGGGAATTCCTTTGAAGCCACCTTTGCCCACATAGCCCTTGGAAAGTTCTCCCATACCTCCTGGGGTATCAGTAGCTAAGGTTTGAAGATGAAATCATGAACAATTCAGGTCAGAACAAGACCCAATTTCAGTCTGTCATGAGTTTACATCTGGGCAGGTAGGTGAGCCATAAGCACTCCACCTGAGATGTATTAACAGTGAGAGATGGAAAGCACAATTTAAGGCAATAGATGTGGTGGGCAGAATAATGGCCTCCAAAGATGTCCACATCCTAATCCCTGCAACCTGTGACTATGTTACCTTATGTGGCAAAGGGAATTAAGGTGGCCAATGGAATTAAGAGTGTCAATCAACAGATCTTAAAATAGGGAGATTATCCTGGATTATCCAGGTGAGCCCAGTGGAATCACAGAGGTTTTTAAAAGTAGAAGGGGAGGCAGAAGAGGAGATCAGAGTGATTCAAATGTGAAGAGGACTCAACACACCCAGGCAGGCTTTGAAGATGGAAGGAGCGGCCATGAGCCAAGGAATGCAGGCGGCCTCTAGAAGCTGGAAAAGGTGGCCTCTAGATTGCCCCTTGAGAGTCTCCAAAAAGATCCAAAACCAATGGCCTTTAAAAGAAAAAAAATAAAAATAACAAAAAGAATGCAGCTAGCTAGCCCCTTGATTGTAGCCCAGTGAAACCTTGTGTTGGACTTCTAGTCTGCAGAGCTGTAAGATAATACATTTGTGTGTTATTAAGCCACTATGTCTGTCGTAATTTGTTACAGTAGCAATAGGAAACTAATACAATAAAGAAATGGTCTCCACATAGGACAGGAGGAGCCCTGGGTGCTCAGAAAGAGGTGCCTACTCCTGCTGGGGTTGAAGGGTGTTGTGATCAGCACTGGCCAAGTGCAGGCAGTCAACATCCGGGTATGAATCCCAGTCCCTTCCAGCTTGGTGCTGCCAGTCTGAGAACCCATTCAGCCACCTGCCACTGCTGTTCTCATGTTCACCCTGTTGGCTACAGGGCCCCAGCATGTCTGAATAAAGGCTGAACCCTCACAAGCAATACCTCTCCTGCCTCAGCCTCCCAACTAGCTGGGATTACAGGCATGTGCCACCATGCCTGGCTAATTTTTTGTATCTTTAGTAGAGACGGGGTTTTGCCATGTTGACCAGGTTGGTCTCAAACTCCTGACCTCAGGTGATCTGCCCGCCTTGGCCTCCCAGAGTGCTGGGATTACAGACGTGAGCCACCGCGCCCGGCTGAAACTTTATATTCTTTTAGAAATCATTTTAAAACATCATGGACTCAAGGTCATTGTGAAATGAGAGGAAAGCTTTTTACAAAAAGGATGTGAAGAACAGTTCCCATTTTGTACAAATATATATGCATCACCATTTTTAAAACTGGAAGAATTTATATCAAGATGCCAGCGAAAGGCGGGCTTTTATTCCTTCTGACTATCTGGGGATTCTAATTATTTGACAATGAATTTGCATTACTTTTGTAATAAGGAGAGGGGAAATAAAAGATTTTTTAAAAGCAATGGTCTATAATAAATGAAGATGTTTAAAATTCTAACCAAAAGTATTTTTATACCTAATCCTATATTAGTGAAGGTTGCTAAGGAACCATGTGCTGCAAATTAGGAGTAATCCCAGCTATAGCTCAAAAGGGTAAAAATCAGAGCTGACAGTCAGGTAGACAGAAGTCTATGGATGGGAGAAAAGAATCATGCGGCCTGTGTCTAATCTTGCTGCCACCTTCTTCCCCTGATCACATGGAAAAGAAAGATAACTTCTTTCCTAAAATACGGGAGGGATGAGCACAGAAGGACGATGACCCAAGACAGCCAGAAGCATCTCTCCAGAGAATGACCAGGGCCAGGGGAAAACGAATCATCACTAGTATTTATCTGATACTACATGCCAGGCACTGGACTCAGCATTCATTTAATCCTCACAACATCCCGAAAAGGCAATGATATTATTTTCCCCATTTTACAAGCAAGGAAACTGAAGCAGAAAGAGTTAGGTGACTTGCCCCAGGTTACACCACTACTAAGTATCAGAGCTGGCCTCAGAGACCAGCTGCCGAGAGTTTAACCATCAAAGGCCGCTGCCTCCCGAGAAGGCAGATCCAGAGCTTTTGTGCAGGCAGAGAGCAGGAATGAGACTCGAAGGCAGTTTTCATTGCCAAAGTAAAAGCGAGAGGAAGTATTGGTCTCTCTTCTCAAAACAGAATGACAAATAGGATGAAGAAGTATTCATAGTTAAGGAGTAGAGAGAAAAGTATAAGATTTTATGTTGGCATTTATTTATGTATTTCTGCTAGGTTTCTTGTTTCTATAAATAAGCTGTTGTTTGATGTTTGTATTCCTCTGCTTAATTAAAGAGGGGCATGGTGAGTGTGTGTCCACATATGTGCATGTTTGTGTGAGTGTGCACTCGCGCTTGTGCATGAGAGCATTTGTGCATGTGTGCAGCTTGCATGTAGGTACACACGTGTGTGCACATGAGTACCTGCATGCAGGGGGTATGGTTGCATGTGTATGTGTCCACGTGTGTGTGTGCGTGGGTGTGCATGGCTGTGCAAGTACAATGAGTGGCCACACCCATAAGAAGCATGACTGTTCAGACCATCACCAACATACTTGTGTTTTCCCATAAGCAACCTGGCCTAATTGCCAGCAAAATTCCTCAGAAGAAATAAACAATCTCCCAGAAGCCAGCCCTGAACCCCGTGCTGGAAACAACAGCAATGTCTCCTCCTCCATCTCCTCATGCGCCCACAGGGCCCCACAGACAGAAGGGCTCAGTACGAGCTGTTGACTGACTGCAAGCGGGGCTGTGGCAGGCAGGCAGATGCATTTGCCAGAGGCGTAGGTAGTGGACAACTCTCCTGGTCTGACGACTGGCCTTCCTCAAATTACTAGAAGATTTAAAAGAAGAAAGCTTCCCTTACTTCCCCGTCCCCTGAAGATGCACAGGGTGTAAATGACAAGCACAGACCGGCCCAGGCAGGGCAGCAGCAAAGGCAGCCCATCTCCAACTCCACCTCCTGCTCAAGCGAAAAATTTGACCCACACATTCTGGAGCTGGCCTTTCCCTGCTGTGATGACAGCCACCTCTCCCTCAGGTGGTACCATTCATGTCCCCATGAGAGGCCATCCCTCTTTTTGAGGTTTTCTTGGAAATAGCAGAAAAGCAAAACCTGATAAATCTTTTTAGCAAGCAGGGATCTTCCTTGTCTAATCTTAGCATCATCAATAACTTCAAAGCATATTGCAAGTATTTTTTTCAAGTCATTTTGCAGCCTTTATTCGACTCAAGGCAACCGGCAAAGCTTTCCCAGGGGCAGCTTTTGGGAGACTCCAACTCAGTGTGACAGTGGAATCTCCCAGAAAACAGGTCAAATGGGGAAGATCACTAAAGAGCAACCTCCCCACAGATGGCCGGGAGGGAAACTAGAGAAGTTTCTCCCTGTACTCTTACCATCCGGGGAGATCCTTGTCCAATCTTGAAAGCCAGAAAGCCCTGGGATCATTTCCAAACTAACGGAGCCAAGTGTAGGAAATGGGGAACACACTGCAGGAATGGAACCTACTGAGCATTTAGGTTATTTTGTTTTTTAACATCTAGAAGAAAGGTGTCCTTTCCCCAAGAAGGTAAATTACAGAACAAGAGCAGGCTGTGAATAGCTAATGCAAGGTATGATGGGCTAGCGGATATGGGCCTGAGGGAGCTGATTATTAGAACTTGAGGGATGACTGCAGAAAGCTTCGCTGAGGACCCAAATCATGGCTTCATTCCATAGACGCCTCATTGACAGCTGCTCTGGACCAGGCCCTGGGATGCACATTTTCTGAATGTCAGCAGGTGACATGAGCCAGTTTGCTCACCAAGCAAAGCGGTGAATAAGGACTCCACTCCTTCTCCCTCTGACCATCCCTCTCTACCCTTCTGAGGGAGGCTAGCACCCCTCTGCCTCGCAGGCTTCATCCACTCCCACAGAGCCAGCAAAGAACAACCTTCTATTTTCAGAGATGAGGAATAGAGACCCAGGAAGGTCAAGTCCCTCGACAAACCCGGGGCAGAGGCCGTAGAACCAAGATCTCCCACACCCAGACTCGGTGGCACCATTTCTCATGGCAGGACTATCCCCGAGCAGGTGCTTGGAATCAGAGAATGCTGCTTGGCTCTTGGTGTTAATCAAATTATGCACAATGAGGCTGCCCGGAAAAGTACCCCGTCCTAAGTAGGGTGGAATCCCAGGCTGGAGATGTCACCATTTCTCGTCTGCAAAACAGGCATGATTCCTGGATCCTTTATCCCTCAGGCAGTGCATGTTCAGAGAACTCCCCACACTTCTTGAGGCCTGTGTGCCAAGAACTGAAATTTTAAATGCCTTAAATGCCCTACTAATGAGGCCTAGCCTACTTCTGGAGGGAAGGTGTGGGTGGAGAATGGAAAGACCCTAAGGCTAACGGAGATCAGATTTGCATTTTAGAAGGACTGGTTTACAGACACAACAGGGATTAGAGGTGAGCAGAAAGCCCAACCACCAGGCCACTGTAATAGTTAGGTAAGAGGGGACAGGGGTGAAGCTGAGGCTGTGGATAGCCAGCCAGGAGCTCCAAAGATATTTTTATGTTACACATAAATTCTGCTGGGCACAGTGGCTCATGCCTATAATCCCAGCACTTTGAGGCACCGAGGTGGGAGGATCACTTGAGGCCAGGAGTTTGAGACAGCCTGGGCAACATAGCAAGACCCATCTCTACAAAAAAAATAAAAATTGTTTAAAAATTGTTGAAATAAAATAAATTACCTTCTGGAAATGAATGGTGGTGATAGTTGTACAATAATGTGAATGTGCTTCATGCTACTTAAGCGTACATTCAAAAATAGCTAAAATGGCCTGGGCACGGCAGCTCACACCTATAATCCCAGCACTTTGGGAGGTTGAGGCAGGAGGATCACTTGAGCCCAGGGGTTCGAGACCAGCCTGGGCCTGTTTAGGGAGACCCTGTCTCTACAAAAAAATTTAAAAATTAACAGGGCATAGTGGCTCATGCCTGTAGTCCCAGCTACTCAAGAGGCTGAGGTGGGAGGATTGCATGAGCCTGGGAGTTCAAGACTGCAGTGAGCTATGATAGTGCCGTTGCATTCTAGCCCAAGCCACAGAGCAAGACCTTGTCTCTCACACACACAAAAAAGGCTAAAATGGTAAATTTTATGTTTTGTATATTTTACCACAATTAAAAGGGGGAAAAACAAAGGCTGGTCATGGTGGCTCATGCCTGTATTCCTAGCACTTTAGGAGGCTGAAACAGGAGGACTGCTTGAGGCCAGGAGTTTGGTACGAGCCTGGGCAACACAGCAAGACCCCATCTCTATGAAAAATGTAAAAATAAAAAAAATTAGCCGGGCATGGAGGTGAGTATCTCTATACCCAGCTATCTGGGAGGCTGAGGCAGGAAGATTGCTTGACCCCAGGAGATCGAGGCTGCAATGGACAATGAGCCATGATTGCACCACTGCACTCCAGCCTGGGCGGCAGAGCAAGAATGTGTCTCATAAATAAATAAATAAATAAATAAACAAATAAACTCTCCCCCTCACCAAGTAACACTTCTCATTTGCCAAAAGAAACAAAAGTCATAAATGCAATGACAAGGACCACCCTCCCTAGGTCTCAAATACCATGAAGAATGGAGATGGCTAATATTTACGGAGGGCACTTACTGCAGTTAGATATTGTATTACATATGACTATTAACTCATTTAATCTTCACAACAACCCTACAAGGTAGACACTATTATTGCACTCATTTTACAGATAGGAAAACTAAGAAGAGAGAACCTCAATAACCACCTCAACATCACAAAGCTGATCTGTGGCAAAGCCAGGACTTGAACCCAGTCGATCTAACTTCAGAGCTTTCATGCTTATGCACTACGCGAAGTTGTCTCAATCTAGCTAGATGAAGAACATCCAAATTAGAACAAAAACATGTTGTCTACTGACCAACTAGCCCCACTTTTCAATTATTTGGCTCCACAGAGAACAGGAATCCAGACAGCTGACTGAATTTTTTTCCATTTTCACCCAGATGTTTGGCATCACACAAACAAGATGATGAGTGGGAGCCACTTAGGAATTAGAGCTCTGTCACCAGTAGAAACGCTGTCTTAATGCAAGGTTGTCATTTCACGAATTAACATCCTACCCAACAATGTTTGCTAAACCTCCTAGGGTATTTTACTTTTTGAGGATCTGTTTCTGATAGCCGTCTGGTCAACGCAGTGTACGCTCAAGTATTCGTTAATAGACATCCTGACCATCCTTCATTCTCCACCCAGTAATAGCTGAAGTCATATTAGATTTTTTTTTTTTTTTGCATCACAAATAACAAAAACCGTGCATATTTTAACTTCATCTCTGGGATTAAAGTAAATACATAATTTTGGCAAATTACTCGGAATTACGGGCTAGCAACATCTGGTTCGGATATTCTCAAGTAAATTATTGGCACGGTCCCTGCCACATTTTTAATTTTAACCAAAATGTTCTCAGAAACATGTGTTTTCTGTCCCGCTTGCATGTAATCAGTTCGAGAGCGCCTCAGAGTTTTAAACAGGGGTTTGAGACATGAGCTGCCCTACCTGCACACCTCCCTCAGGCCTCAAAGAGCTGCCCTCCCTCCCAGCACCGAGGGAGGCGGCCACCTGGGCCAGCCGCCCGTGGCTTTCTGTTCCTGCCTCTAGCGCTTCAGAACCAGAGAGGCCCACAGGTACTGTGTGTACACGCTCCTCACCCTCCGTTCTGCTCCCAAATTACATACCTCGCTTTTATGTCAAGTCCAATATAGCTTCCTTAGCAGTTTTTTTTTCCTCCCCTCCTTATTCCACATCAAGAGTACCCAATTACTTTTATAAATACTTGTTTTAAAAATATCACAGTGGTTTCCTGCTGCTTCGAATTCTGAAGGGCTATGCAGGATTTTAGACTCTTATAAATCTCTCAAACAGTTCATATTTTATCAACAAAGTGTGTTTTTTTGAAAACCCTTAGTAGAACATCGAGAACTTCTTTTTTTCAATTATTTGACCTTTCCATAAAAACGACAAAATAAAAAGAATTTTTGCCATTTCAAAAGTCATTTGCAATGCCCTCCTTGTGTTCATTCATTCTGCCTCACTCACCAACGAGGGTGGTGTTTTTGGTTAAAAGAGAAAGCATGAGGGTTGTCAATTCCAAAACATCCTAGCAGAGGTAAAACAGGGTTATGGATGGGTCTTTAACAGAAAATCCCAGGAAGGCTTTGGCTTTTGTTACAACTGAAAAGTTCTCTAGCTCAAGGCAGAGACTTCTTAAGTGAATGTTCACTGTGGCCCCGGGGCCGTGTGGCAAAATGTCACCAGGGACATGGAAGCGGTTAGCCTATACTAGGGAGGTGTCCTCGGGATGCCGCTGTTCTGCACAGTCTACTGAGCTATTTGGATTTACATAGGCACAGCTGTGGTTTTTCCACTTGGAACAACTTGGAGATACCCAAGGGATGGCCACTTGGGCGGGAACCCCCAACGTGATTAGGTAGCCATGAACAAGATGCAGTTCTAAGCATGACAACCCTGAAGCCGTAGCTACCATTCAAACAAATGTCTGAAAGATCAAGCACATCATGCCTGTCTCAGTCCATTCCTGCTGCTATAACAAAATACATTAGACTGGGTAATTTATAAACAACTGAAATTTACAGGCATACCTCAGAGATATTGTGGGTTCGGGTCCATTCTACCACAATAAAGTGAGTCCCACAGATTTTTTGGTTTCCCACTACATATAAAAGTTATGCTTAGGCCAGGCACAGTGGCTCACACCTGTAACCCCAGCACTTTGGGAGGACAAGGTGGGCAGATCACCTGAGGTCAGGAGTTTGAGACCAGCCTGACCAACAGGGAGAAACCCCATCTCTACTAAAAATACAAAATTATGTGGTGGCACATGCCTGTTATCCCAGCTACCTGGGAGGCTGAGGCAGAAGAATCACTTGAATCCAGGAGGTGGAGGTTGTGGTGAGCCGAGATCGTGACATTGCACTCCAGCCTGGGCAACAGGAGTGAAACTCCGTCTCAAAAAAAAAAAAAAAGTTATGCTTACACTATACTGTAGTGTGTTTAGTGTGCAATGGCATTATGCCTACAAGAGCAATGTACATATCTTAATTTAAATATAGTTAATTGCTAAAAAACGCCAGCAATCATCTGAACCTTCAGCAACTTGTGATCTTTTTGCTGGTGGGGGGTCTTGCCTTGATGTTGATGGCTGCTGACTGATCAGGGTGGTGCTTGCTGAGAGGTGAGGTGGCTCTGACAGTTTCTTAAAATAAGACAACAGGGAAGTTTGCCGCATTGATGAACTCTTCCTTTCATGGAAGATTTTTCGGTAGCATATGATGCTGTCTGATAGCATTTTACCCACAGTATAACTCCTTTCAAAACTGAAGGCAATCCTCTCAAACCCTGCCACTGCTTTATCAACTAAGTTTATGTCATACTCTACATCCATTGTTGTCACTTCAACAACGTTCGCAGCATCTTCACCAGGAATAGTTTTGATCTCAAGAAACCACTTTCTTTGCTCATCCATAAGAAGCAACTTCCCATCCATTCAAGTTTTATCATGAGATTGCAGCAATTCAGTCACATCTTCAGGCCCCACTTCTCATTCCAGTTCTCTTGGTATTTCTACCACATCTGCAGTGACTTGCTCCACTGAAGTCTTGAACCCCTCAGTCATCTATGAGGGTTGGAATTAACCTCTTCCAAACTCCTGTTAATGTTGATATTTTGACCTCCCCCCATGAATCACAAATGTTCTTAATGGCATCTAGAATGGTAAATCCTTTCCAGAAAGTTTTTAATTTTCTTTGCCCAGATCCATGAGAGGAATCACTACCTACGGTAGCTATAGCCTTACAAAATATATCTCTTAAGTAATAAGACTTGAAAGTCAAAATTACTCTTTGATCCATGGGCCACAGAATGGATGTTGTGTTAGCAGGCATGAAAACAACATTATTCTCCTTGTACCTCTCCATCAGACCTCTTAGGAGACCAGATGCATTGTCAATGAACAGTAATATTTTCAAAAGAACCTTTTTTTCTGAGCAGTAGGTCTCAACAGTGGAGTAAGTCATGCTCCAAACAGATGTGCTGCTATCCAGGCTTTGTTGTTCCATTTACAGTGCTCAGGCACAGTAGATTTAGCATAATTATTAAGAGCCCTGGGATTCTGGGAATGGTAAATGAGCACTGACTTCAACTTAAAGTCACCAGCTGCATTAGCCCCTACCAAGGAGTCATGCTGTCCTTTGAAGCTTTGAAGCCAGGCATTGACTTCTCCTCTCTAGCTATGAAAGTCCTAGATGGCATCTTCTAATATCAGGCTGTTTCATCTACACTGAAAATCTGTTGTTTAGTGCAGCCAACTTCATCAATGATCTTAGCTAGATCTTCAGGATCACTCACTGCAGCTTCTCCGTCAGCACTTGCTGCTTCACCTTGCACTTTTATGTTATACTGACGGCTTCTTTCCTTAAACTTCTTGAACCAACCTCTGCTAGCTCCCAGCCTTTCTTCTGCAGCTTCCTCACCTCTCTCAGCCTTCATAGAATTGAAGAGAGTTAGGGCCTCACTCTGGATTGGGCTTTGGCTTAAGGGAATGTTGTGGCTGATTTGATCTTCTACCCAGACCACTCAAACTTTCTCCATATCAGCAATAAGGCTGTTTTGCTTTCTTATCATTTGTGTGTTCACTTGAGTTGCACTTTTAATTTCCCTCAACAACTTTTTCTTTACATGCACAACTTGGTTAACTGGTGCAAGAGGCCTAGCTTTCAGCTTTTGACCTGCCATCCTCACTAAGCTTAATCATTTCCAGCTTTTGATTTAAAGTGAGAGACATGCAACTCTTCCTTTCACTTTAACACATAGAGGCCATTGCAGGGTTATTAATTTGCCTAACTTCAATATTGTTGTATCTCAGGGAATAAGGAGGCCCAAGGAGAAGGGAGATGGGGGAATGGCTAGTCAGTGGAATAGTCAGAACACATACAACCTGTGTTGATTAAGTTTGCCATCTTATATGGGTGCCGTTTGGGGTGCCCCAAAACAATTACAATAGTAACATCAATGATCACAGATCACCATCATAGATCATGAAAAAGTTTGAAGTATTGTGAGAATTACCAAAATGTGATACAGACACATGAAATGAGTACATGCTGTTGGAAAAATGGTGCTAGTATGCTTGCTCAATGCAAAGGTGCCACAAATCTTCAACATATTTAAAAAAAAAAAAACCAGTAACTCAAAGCACAACAAAGCAAAGTGCAATAAAACAAGCTGTGCCGGTATTTCTTACAGTTCTGGAGGCTCAGAAGTCCCAAATCAAGGCCTCAGCACCTTCGGTGTCTGCTGAGGGCTGTTCTCTGCTTCCAGGGTGGTATCACAAACACCGTATCCTCCCAGGTGGAAGAGATAGAAGGGCAAAAGGAGTAAACTCTCCCCCAAGCCCTTTAAAATGTCACTAATCAGGCCAGGTGTGGTGGCTCATGCCTGTAATCCCAGCACTTTGGGAGGCCAAGGCAGGTGGATGACCTGAGGTCCAGAGTTCAAGACCAGCCTGACCAACATCATGAAACCCCCGTCTCTACTAAAAATACAAAAAATTAGCTGGGCATGGTGGCGCATGCCTGTAATCCCAGCTACTTGGGAGGCTGAGGCAGGAAAATCACTTGAACCCGGGAGACGGAGGTTGCAGTGAGCCAAGATCATGCCATCGTACTCCAGCATGGGCAACAAGAGCAAAACTCTGTTTCAAAAAAAAAAATGGCACTAATCTCACCTATGAGGTCAGAGCCCTGAGGGCCTGATCACTTTCCAAGGGACCCACCTTTTAATATCCCCATCTTGGGTGTTAAGTTCCAACATATGAATTTTGGAAAGACACACACATTCAAACCCTACCAATCTCCTAATTTTCTCTAAGATATAAGTTTGTTTTAGGTTTGGAGACCATGCTGGGCAAGGAGATAGGAAGAGGGAGAATAAGAAGAAAAGGTAGTTAAGGACTATTTCAGAGCCTTTGGCCTCAAACACCAAAAGAATAAACCAACTGTTTAGATTACTGTTTCGTTGTTGTTGTTGTTGCTGCTGCTGCTGTTGCTGTTGTTGTTTGTTGGAGATGGGCTCCTGCTCTGTCACCCAAGCTGGAGTGCAGTGGCACAATCGTAGCTCACTGCAGCCTCAAACTCCTGGGCTCAAGTGATCCTCCCACCTTAGCCTCCCGAGTAGCTGGGACTACAGATACGCACCACCATACCCAGCTATTTTTTTTTTTAATTTTTAGTAGATACAGGGTCTCACCATGTTGCCCACACTGGTCTCAAACTTCTGACCTCAAGTGGTCCACCCGCCTCGGCCTCCCAAAGTGCTGGGATTACAAGCATGAGCCACCACACCTGGCCAGGAATGTGTTTCTAATCAGCTTAAAATCACCACTCTCCCTGATTTACCACTCAGTCCCACCACGTGCATTCATTCCGCAAATAGTAAGTGACCACCTACCATGTGTTTATCTCTCCTAGGAGCTGAGGGAGAGCCCAGTAAGTACAAAAGGGGTACCTATCCTCAAGAACCACACTGAGGGTGCAACCTGAAGCTCTGTAACTCCACAGCCACTGCATGAGCAAAGTCTCAAGGATGCATCCAGACAATCCACGAACAGGAATAGGCCAGGAGGCACAGCTCCTAGAGGCTGGATGCTCAGAGAAGGCTTCAGAGGAGGTAAGTGAATTAGGGTTTGCCAGAGAAACAGAACCAGTAATACAGTTGACCTTTGAACAACACAGGTTTGAAGTACATAAGCCTACTTATACCTGACATTTTTCAGTAAATGTATTGGAAAATTTTTTGAATTTGAAATTCTCACTAACTGTGTAGCCTAGAAATACCAAAAAAACAAAAAAGGTGTGTCATGAATGCATAAAACATGTAGATAGTAGTCTATTTAATCACTTATTACCATAAAATATACACAATCTATTATAAAAAGTTAAAATTTCTCAAAACTTACACATACAAAATCGACCACAGGCACATTCACATTCTAGAGAAATGTAAACAAATGTAAAGATGTAATATTAAATAATTGCATAAAATTGACTGTAGTACATCCTGTACTGCTGTGATAATTATATAGACATCTTCTGTCTTCTGCAATGAGCTCAAGTGTTTCGAGTATCCACTTAAAATGCTGTGTGACTGTGACACCAATCGTCCACGTGTGAGCAGTTCATCCCTCCAGTAAATTGCATATTGCAGTAAAAAGTGATCTCTTGTGGTACCTGTGTATTTTTCACTGTGTTTAGTGCAACCTTAAATAACACCATGGGGCCCATACGAGGTGCCACTGATGATGCTGGAAGTGCTCCCCAGAAGCAGAGAAAAGCCATGACATCACAAGAAAAAGCCGACTTGCTTGAGATGTACTGTAGATTGAGGTCTGCAGCTACAGCTGCCTGACATTTCAGATAGACAATTCATCTTGCAAACAGATGGTAAGAACTTACTTACGGTATTGGTAAATACAGTACAGTCCTGTACATGTATTTTCTCTTTCTTATAATTTTCCTAATATTTTCTTTTTTCACACTATCTCAGAAGAATCAAATTTCATTGTCTCTAGCTTACTTTATTGTCAGAATACAGTATATTTTACAGTATATAATATTGTAGGAATACAGTATATAACATACAAAATGTATGTTAATGGACTGTTGGTGTTATCAGTGAGGCTTCTGGTCAACAGTAGGCTATTAGTAGTTATGTTTCTGAGGCGTTGATATGGTTTGACTCTGTGTTCCCAATCAAATCTCATGTCAAATTATAATTCCCAACGTTGGGGGAGAGGCCTCGTGGGAGGTGATTGGATCATGGGGGCAGATTTCCCCTTGCTGTTCATGACAGTGAGTGAGTTCTTACGATATCTGGTTGTTTAAAAGTGTGTAGCACTTCCCCCTTCACTCCCCTTCTGCTTGGCCATGGTAAGGTGTGCTTGCTTCCTCTTTGCCTTCTGCCATGATTGTAAGTTTCCTGAGGCCACCTAATGATGCTTCCTGTACAGCCTGCAGAACTGTGAGTCAATTAAAGCTCTTTTCTTCATATATTGCCCAGTCTCAGGTAGTTCTTTATAGCGGTATGAGAACAGACTAATACAGGAGTCAAGAGTTATACTTGGATTTTCAGCTGCAGGAAGGGTGGGCACCCCTAATCCCGAGTTGTTCAAGGGCCAACTGCATATGTGCGGGGCAGTGGGGGTAGTGTGGAGAGAGAGAGGGATTTCTTGTAAGGAACTGGCTCACACGATGGTAGAAGCTGGAAAGTCTGGCCTGCTAGGACAAGCCAGTAGGCTGAAAACTCGGACAGAAGTTGAGGCTGCAGCCTTAAGGCAGAGTTTCTCTAAGGAGACCTCGCTTTTGCTCTTAAGGCCTTCTGCTGAATAGATGGGTCCACCCACATCATCGAGGTTATCTTCTCTACTTAAAGTCAACTGATTGCAGCTGTTAACCACGTCAATAAAATACCTTCACAGCAACACCTAGACTAGTGTTTGATGAAATAACTGGGTAAACAACCTAGCCAAGTTGACACATAAAACTAACCATCACAGGAGGCCTCCCAATAAGGAACAAGAAAAGGCAGCATGAGGGTGTGCAGCCTGGGCCTAGACAAATGGTAGGTCAGAGGGCTGATGGCCACGGGATGAAAACAGGGCCCATGAAGCAGGACCTGCTGTCTGGGAGTCACTCGAACTCCCTGCTGAGAAGTTTGCCACCCACGCCGCAGCCTCTGGGAGCTGCCAAAAGTTCCCCATGATACAGGCGCTACCACAATCTGGGAAGTCTGAGGATGAGCCGGAAGGAACAGGCCACTGAGAAATCTGCTCTATAAACCCGAGGGCAAGACCAGAACCCAGGTTGGGGAGGGGAGTGGAGGGACTGAGCGCAGGAAGGATGCCCCACATGAAGGACGCCCCTGGGCAGAAGCAGCAGCACGAGGAGACAGAGCCAGCTCCAGTGCAGGGTGAGGAGTCTGACCCTTGATGTTGACTGAGACCACTGGGGACATGCAGACAGACGCCGAACACAGGTGGGGACCAGGTGGGCTACTTGGCAATCAGTGATAGAAAACTGCTGGTGCCATGGAAACTGATGGAGTCTCCAGGGAAGAGTGCAAGAGAAAAGGTCAGAGAAATTGGCCAAGGGGCTAGGAGTGACCCTAGAAATAAAGACAAGCCTGGCCCTCAAGCCTTCTCCCGCATGTGACGGCACCAGGTGCAGTCAAGGATGGGGGAGACACAGCCTGGAGGAGAGTTTCCTCTATGTGGAATCAGCCCCTCTGGAGCCTTGAGGCTGCCAGCAGAGGCCCCAGGAGAGGATGAGTAGACTTGCACCAGGCTGAATGGAAGTCCCTGGACACCTAGGAGGATGGGCACCGGGAGGCTCAGGGGTTCCTGAAAGCAGAGTTGTTGGTAACAGGGATACAGACAGCAGTAACCTGGGAGAAAGGGTGAGGTGCATGGAGGATGGGGAAGGACTGGGCGCACAGGGCCTTGTTACTTGACAGAGGTGAAAGGAAGTGGGAGGAGCAGATGCAAATTAGATGATACTCACACAGCCAGGATACAGGAGACCCAGGCTCAAGTTCAGAGTGAAAGGTTAGGCCAGGCACCGTGGCTCACACCTGTAATCCCAGCACTTTGGGAGGCCAAGGCCGGTGGATCACTTGAGGTCAGAAGTTCAAGACCAGGCTGGCCCACATGGTGAAACCCCGTCTCTGCTAAAAATAAAAAAATTAGCTGGATGTGGTGGTACACACCTGTAATCCTAGCTACTCAGGAGACTGAGGCAGGAAAATCACTTGAACCCAGGAGACGGAGGTTGCGGTAAGCCAAGATCACGCCACTGCACTTAAGCCTGGGTGACAGAGCGAGACTCCATCTCAAAAAAAAAGAGACAGAGCAGAAGGTTAGTGTGGCAGCAGCCTCAGGAGGAGGCAAACACTGCCAACAGAGTTCTCAACTTCACACACCTCCCTCGTGCAAAAGGGAGAGGGGAGGGAGCAGCCCCAGATGATGTCAGAAGCTCACACTTCTATGTAGAGTGTACACCAGCCATGGCTTGGGGACTCTCCACACTAACGTGTGTTAAGTCTCTTAATTACCACAATACCCTAAGAGACAGGTACTAGAATTGTCACCATTCTACAGGAAGAGAAACTGAGGAACAGAGAGGCTAATAACCTGCCCAAGGCCACACAGCTAGCAAGTGGCAGAGCTGGGATTCCAATTAGACCGTCAATTTAGGTGTGAGAGGTTAAGTGACCTGTCCAAAATCATAAGGCAAGGAGATAAATTCAGGACTCAGGCACAGGCCCCAGCTATATATATGGTGGCTGGTTTACCCACCCAGAAGCAAGCTAGCTGATGTGGTTTGGATCTGTGTCCCCACCAAATTTCATGTTGAATTGTAGTCCCCAGTGTTAGAGATGGGGCCTGGTGGGAGGTGACTGCATCATGGGGCTGGATCTCTCATGAATGGGTCGGCACCATCCCCTTGGCGCTATTTGTTGTCATGATAGTGACTGAGTTCTCCCAAGATCTGGTTGCTTACAAGTGTGCGGCCCCTCCCACTTCACTCTCTCTTGCTCCTGCTCTTGCTTTGCCTTCCGCCATGAGTAAAAGCCCTCAGGCCTCCCCAGAAGCAGGTGCTGCCATGCTTCCTGTACAGCCTGCGGAACCGTGAGCCTACGAAACCTCTTTTCTCTGTAAATTACCCAGTCTCCAGTAATTCTTTATAGCAATACAAGAACAGACTAATACACCAGCCTAGATGACCCTGTAAGCAGGAGCTTGCGATGCCCTCTCCTGACCCTCAACCAGGCATCCTCGTTCCCAACATCCTTGCAAAGGCTGGTCCCAAAACAGCACAATGTCTTCACAGGAGCCCGAGGCCTGGCATCCAAAGGGCAAGGGTTGCAGCTTCAGGCACCAGCAACCTGAGCACCTCTAGAGGTGCCCTGTGGAGCTAGCGGGCCACCTGCCAGCAAGGTCCTCCCACAGGTTTACATTCAGATTCAGAGGATGCCAGACATGCTAAAAGTGGCTCAGCCCAGGGACTCTGAGGAGATGCCTCACACCAAGGTCCCTGCCAGCTCTATGAGACTCTGTACCTGTACTGAACCATGAAACACAGGTTTGGCATTTGGAGGTTTATCAATGACGCACGGTGCCATTGACCTCTTAGCCTGCTGAAATCCCAACTGGTAATTAAACCAAATCCAAACAACTGAGAGAGAGTAAGTCTGCACTTTAATAATCATCATAATGCTTTTACTTACTTTACTTAATTTTTGTAGAGACGAGGTCTCACTTTGTTGCTCAGGCTTGTTTTGAACTTCTGGCTTCAAGCGATCCTCCTGACTTGGCCTCCCAAAGTGCTGGGATTACAGGCATGAGTCACCACAGCCAGGCCCGTATTGCTTTTACATTGGTACCTTGCCTTTTACTCCTAAACTCCTTTGTCATACAGAAGGGTCACTCACTGCAGCCTAAGAACCAAAATACTGCTTTGGGGCTCATCCACCCAGTCATCACCTTAAGACTCAACAGACAAACAGATATTCTGCTGACTTCTCATTCTCAGCCAAAACCCTTGTCTTTGCTGCAAGACAGTAGAGCCAACCCTCCAGCACCTCTCAGTCCCCTACCCTCCATATTCCAGCTCCTCATTTGCGCCTCATTCTCTCTCCTCCCTCAAGCCCACTGCTCAGCCTGTGTTCCACAGGCCCTGTTCCTGTTCCTGTTTGCTCCACTCAGCCTCCTCCTCCGCAGCTGTTCTCAGGACGAAGCTCACGGGGGAAGGAGAGAGCGAGCTCTACTCCCAGCAGGAGGCTAGAGTGGGTAGGAGGGCAAGAAGTCGAGCTTGATGGCTAAGCCCTAGTTTCCTGAGGCCCCCTCACTGGTCACTCACGCAACCTCCTCAGAGCCACACATGGCAAGTGGCAGCCCTGGCTACCACATCCACAGTTCATGGAAGGGGAAGTTGCCCAAGGTCCAGAAATTTGCCAGGGACAGTTAATATTTTCCTAAACATATCCTCACCCACGACACAAGTCAGAGTTCCCCAGAGTGTAATGTCCATTTTGTGGTGCCCTGGAGATGATTCAGGGAGAAATGGACATATGCTTTCTATTTAGGAGTTTTGTATTTAATTTTACGATCACCTTCTATTTATGGGTCTGGATACTGGATTTCATGTGCGGTCATGGTATAAAGTTTCCTGCTAAAATAAATTTTCTAAGTGAAAAAAAGAGCCAATCTTTTTAAAAAGTAGAAAGTAAGTCACTGCAGGGGTGGAATGCAGATATGCCAAAAACCACAAAGGTGGTAAGCAAATGAGTGCTGATTGAATGATTCTGACATCAATTGCATACAGACCCATCCTGTAGACCCACCTTGGTCCTTTGTTAATTGAGAAGAAATCAGAATCACAAACCAATTCCATTTGATGGACAGATGTCTGCCGAGAGCCTCTGCTGCATACAGAACTGTTAAGAGTCACACAAAAGGGGAGTTTCCGCAGCAAGCCTTGACTCAGGAATCTTACTTTCTGCAAAGAACAGGTGGAGACTCATGGGATCTGCCAGAGAATGGAGCAAACCAATACGTAAGAGAGTGAGGCAGGCACAGCGCAGTGCGGGGCATGAGAAACAGGGTTCAAGAGACCTGGATCAGCATGCAGGAGTCTAGAAACATTCTTTCCACTCTGACCTCACCACCTGGACCCTAAAAAGTCCCTCTTGGACCCTGGTGACCTTCCTGTGGCAGTGAAAGCCACAAGAGGACTGTGCTTCTAAAGGTGGGGAGCATCGTGAGAAAATGACAGCCACCTGCCTGCCATTTCCCCTGCTGCCCTGTGGTCCAGACAGCCCCCGTAGGAGCCCGCAGGGAAGGCTCTCCTGGGCTATGTTTGATCAGGCATGACTGAGCGTCACTCTCTAGCCAGGCTTCCGCCTACTTTCTGCCTTCCTTGTACTGTTCCCTTACTTTCAAACTTCGCATGCTGTTCTCTGTGGTGCTTGCTCCCTCCCATTCAGAAACTGACCTAGGAGCCCTAGACCTTGAGAATTCCTGCATGGCAACAGAGGCAGGCATATGGAACTACCACACTTTCTTCCAAATCTTCAGAGCTGACACTTTCGGGGGCCTTTTGGTGTCTTGTGTACCACGAAGCCACGAGCCTCCGTGGTAGGGGACCGCCCTCCCCACCCTACCCACAGGGTCCCAGGGTGGGCTCCAGTTCACACCACATGACCACAGACATCGGAGTAGGGATCGGAGCCAATCAGATTCTCCTCTGGAATTAGAAACTATTACGAATTTGGAACCGGAGCTGAGAGACTCCAGCTCGCTCTGGGCTGGGCTCTGTACAGCAGAGGTGCAACATTCCAGAGTTAGGGGAGGCCATTTCCTGCCAGGTGGCCCAGAGCCACGGAGGAGGCAGAGCTGCAAACAGGAGCAGAGACGTGAAGGGAGATAAGCACTGCCCAGGCCACCACAGTCTATCCAGGCCCTAAAAGCCGTGCCCTTGCCCAGCCTTTGCCCAGTGCTTCCTCTGCCTAGCGTACCCTCCCTGCCCTTCTCCTCCAAGTCCTACAGGGCTCAAGAGTTCCATCATGTTTTACAATAAAATCCATACTCCTTCCCCTGGCCCTTGACCCTAGGGCACTCATTCTTGCCACCCTCCTAGCACTCGCTAGGCTCTGGCCACACCAACTGTCTTAGTCTGTTTTCTGTTGCTTATAGCTGAATACCTGAAACTGGGTCATTTATAAAGACAAGAAACATATTTCTTACAGTTATGGAAGCCAAGAGATCCAAGGTCGAGGGGGAGCATCTGCCAAGGCCTTCTTGCTGCTTGGGACTCTCCGCAGAGTCTCATGGCAGCGCAGGGCATCACATAATGAGGAGGCTGAGCATGCAGGCCCAGGTCTTTTTTTTCTCATAAAACCACTAGTTCCCCTCCCATGATAACCCATTCATCCATTAACCCACAAGTGAATTAATCCATTCATGAGGGCAGAGCTCTCATAACCCACCACCTCTTAAAAGCCCCACTTCTCAATCCTGCTACATTGGGGATTACATTTCAACATGAGTTTTGGAGGGGACATACATTCCCACCACAGTGCCAACCCATTTTCCATTATTTGAACAGGCCAACTTATCCCAGCCCCAGGGCCTCTGCACTTGCACTGCTTTTCCCTGGCTGGCTTTTTTGTGTCTTTCAAGTTCCTGGAGAAATGACCCCAGTTCAGTCATTGCCTGACCACCCTGACTAGCATAGGACCTTAGTCACGTCCCTTTTCTTGTTACTTGATTGGCTGCATGTGACCAGCTGGTTTGTCCATCTAAGTCAACCTGTGTCCCCCAAATCCCCACACAGCACCCAGCACATCAAAGGTACTCATCAGCTGTTTGTTGATAAATGACTGAGCTATGAGGCTCTGGCCTCCACTAGTCCCGCTGGAGAGCCACACTGCTGCAGGTAAAAGGAGAAAGGGTGACACTCAACAGGGCCATCACCATTAGCTTGGCCCATGTTCAGAAGTTTCTCCATCAGCGAGCCGGCTCAAGCAAGTCCTCCTAAGGAAACACAAGTCAGTGAAGAACTTGACAAATGGATCCCACGGCTGGTCAAAAGACGGTCACACTCTAAAATATGCACGACCAGATTTCGTGCACCGCTCAAGTTTTATCTTTGACCGTACTTATGGAAACATTATTCAAGAACATCGTGAACACACAAAAATAAATCTTTAAAAATACCATTTGGACGACATACACATACCAATGAAAGATTTTCTCTTTCTACTACAGCAGCCCATTAAGGCGTTTTCAAAGAGCAAATGTGGTAAGTTACTGCACACAGTAACCCGCAAATAAAAACGTACCCAGTTACGACCCACACAGCTTCCTCACAAATCAAAGCCACCCCAATCTCCAAGTCTAGATGGAGCCACCCAACCGGGGGGAACGGGGGAACAGCTCACTGACTCTGTTTCCTTGCTTCCTGCCTTCTGAGGATTTGAAGACAGTGCCCAAAGGAACAGAAAGTCACAACTCTTACTGAGACTCAGATTCCTGTCACAGAATGGCCACAGCCACTACCCCCTGCTTTGATCAGTGAGGGAATCAATGGCTATGCAGTGCCTGCCAGGCGCCAAACACTGAGCAACATTTGCGACACATGATCACATTTAACCCCATGACAACCTATAAAGTACATAGTGTTATTCCTGTGCCTATGTTGACCCGATTGAAGCTCAGAGAGGTTAAGTAATCTGGTCATGGTCACACAGCTAATCCACATCAAGGCTGAGACTCGAATCCCTCGACACCTAGCTCCAAGCCCCTACCCTTCCCACCCACACCAAAGCCATCCCCACTTGCGCACCCCATAGATCATCTCTCCTTGCCCTCGAACCTTTCCCCATGTGGCTGCCATCAGCAAACTGAAGTCAAGGGCCTAACATCTTCCTCTTTTCTGTCTTCCCTAAACACCCACCACATGCTGGGCCTCCAGTGCTCACCGTATGGGAATGGCTTGGCCAGGCTGAGCTGTGCTGATCCATGGCCACCTCCCTCTGCCCCGCCTCGCTTTTCTTCTGCCTCCCCCAAGGGAACTGTTTTCTTCTTTTTTTTTCTTCATCAATTATAAGCCTTCTTGCTTTAGTTTAGTGTGCCTAATTTATCTTGTTACCCACATCTTTTTGTTGATAACCTTGCCAAAAAACAAGAATAATTTAAATATGTTCTTTGTCTTTCTTTTAGTTTATAATCCTACCTTTGTTTCTTTTCATTTGTTCCCTCTGAGCCCTTTCTTCTAGTTATATTTTTATCTCTCCCTAGTTCTTCTGCCTTTCTCGAGGTTTTAAGATCTTAGGGAGAAAATATATACATACGCACATATATATGGCTTAGCCTATATATATATATATATATATATATATATATATATATATATATATATACACGTGCAAACTAAGCTCAGTTTGATCAGCATCAAAATGAAAGTGTTTTGCAACATGATTCGTCATCCTTATTGTTCACTGGTAAAGGTGGAGAAAATGGGTCATGACTTCTAAAACCATAATAAAATACAAAGATCTGGGGATTTGAATACCCAGGTTCAAATTTGGACTTAGAGCCTTCCAGCTGTGTGGGCCTCAGACAAGAATCTCTGTGCTCGAGGTTTTAATCTGTAAAATGGGAATAATCATTCTACTCCCTTCCAAGGTTGTAGAGAGGTCTAAAGGGGCCATGTCTACAAAAGCACTTTTAACCTATAAATAATCTCCGCATAAAGCAGTATGGAATGAGGAAGTGCTACAAGAGTAAGGAGGATCTGAATTGTCTATTGTACATCTCACCTGAATGGCCTGCTCATCCCTTGCTTTCGACACCTTCCTCTGCAAACTGGGCTCCCCCTCTCTGAGTCCCAGTTCCGCAAACGGAACTAGGGGCCTTTTGTCATCCAACACACACACACACAACCACACACACACAGGCGCACATACACACATTTAAAGCTGTGTGTCAACCATTGTAGTGGGTGCTGGGGATTGGACGTTGAACATGGCAGGCAACGTCCTCTCCATCAGGGAATTTATCATTCATTTTGGGTAGGAGAAGGAATAAGGCAAGAAACCATTAAAACAAATAAATAAACAAGGTAATAACTGGGCGAGACCTCTGATTTGCAGGAACAGCCTACATTAAGACCCTAAAGCAGGGGGAAAAGCTTGGCTAATTTGCAGTAAAGAAAAAAGGCACCAGGGCCAGGCACAGCGACTCACGCCTATAATCCCAGCACTTTGGGAGGCCAAGGCGGGCGGATCACGAGGTCAGGAGATTGAGACTATCCTAGCTAACATGGTGAAACCCCATCTCTACCAAAAATACAAAAAATTAGCCGGGTGTGGTGGCGGGCGCCTGTAGTCCCAGCTAGTCTGGAGGCTGAGGCAGGAGAATGGTGTTAACCCGGGAGGCGGAGCTTGCAGTGAGCCGAGATCACGCCACTGCA